>NC_000008.11:37738890-38041920 GCF_000001405.40 Homo sapiens
TAAAATAATATTAACATTTCAAGAAAAATGAAAGAGCCTGCAGGTTGACTTACGTCAATCAAAGCAAGCCTTAGGATAGTGGTTCCTACAATAAAGGAACCCATTATGTCACTGTTTATTTTATTGGTTTTTTTTTTAATTCTTTGCCTAATATAAAGCAAAGAAGCACTTATAAGTCTTGGGTTGCTTTCTTTTTAGTAACCTCCATGACCAAGTGTTTTGCTTTATGTCTTTATGAACTCTTCTTATATGTGCTGTTGTGATGCTTGTTTCTGGATTGCTAACAGCAAGTTCTAAAACTCTGATTGGAATTCCTCTCTCCTTTAATTCTTTCTCCCCATCATCTGCTTACATGTTCCCCAAAAAGGCTTTTAACTTCATCATTTACATATAACTTGATTAGAAAGGTAACTCTATTGCCAAAACATATATTTCAATTATTTATAAAGTACTTCAAATTATTCTTTTGGTTGGTCATGTCATTGGACTCCAGCATTAGTGCAGGTAGTTGATAACCATATTACTGGACTTAACTGCCCTAATGGATTGCCACAAGCCCAACAGATATGACAAAGTAAAACAGACTTCTTATCTTTTTTTTTTTTGAGACAGTCTCGCTGTGTTGCCCAGGCTGGAGTGCAGTGGTGAGATCTTGGTTCACTGCAACCTCCGCCTCCCAGGTTCAAGCAATTCTCTGCCTCAGCCTCCTAAGTAGCTGGGATTACAGGTGCCTGCCACCACGCCTGGCTAATTTTTGTATTTTTAGTAGAGACGAGGTTTCACCATGTTGGCCAGGCTGGTCTTGAACTCCTGACCTAATAATCCACTCACCTCAGCCTCCCAAAGATCACAGGCGTGAGCCACCGCGCCTGGCCAGACTTTCTCTTATCTAAGTATACCCATGGATTCTGCTGTCTTTTTCTTTTTTTTTTTTAGACAGAGTCTCACTTTGTTGCCCAAGCTGGAGTGCAGTGGCACAATTATGTCTCACTACATCCTCAACCTCCCAGGCTCAAGCAATTCTTACATCTCAGCCTCCCAAGTAGCTGGGACTATAGGCATACAACCACCACACTCAGCTAATTTTTTTCCTTTTCTTTTTTTGTAGAGACAGGGTCTCACTATTTGAGACAGGTTGGTCTCAAACTCCTGAGTTCATGCAATCCTCTCACCTCAGCCCCGCAAAGCGCTGGGACTGCACTAGTGGGTTCTGCTGTCTTTATTCCATTTAGCCTATGTGCCTATTTTTCTCCTTGCAAAAGCATGAACAATAGTTTTATGTTTTACCATCAGGCTTCCTAGAATATTAGGATCTAGCTGAGAGGAAGAAAGGGATCTGTAGCCATGGCTGCAGCACATGTCACTCTCTATTATATGTTTATAGGGCTGAAGGGAAAGTTGACCCTCATGATATTGATCTAACAGAGCCTTCTTGCCAAACTGAAGCTGCCTCTCTCTTCCCCCTCCTCTGCAGAGGCGGTGCCCTGCTGACTTCGACCAGCGGCCCTGGTTTCCATCTCATGCTCCCTTTCATCACATCATATAAGTCTGTGCAGGTATGCTTGGCCTCTGTGGTATGGCTGGACGACTGCAAACTTGGGCTGTTAACTAGTGCATGATTTGAAATTATTTAGCCATTGGATGAGTAAAATGCCATTCTAGAGAATGATATAAGGATAATATATACATATTATATATATATAATATATATATATATACACACATACACTATATATATATAAAATGAGGCTGGGGATTATTCCTTCAAGATAAAGCCAGAGAAGAACCTGTTCTGAGTATATGGAAAGAAAAGTCAGGGTTTATGTGTGTATGTTTTAAATCACAGGCTACCATGTTAAATGGAAAGAAAACATAGTAATTTTGCTGATTCTTATTTGAATTCAGAAATACGAACATAATTTTTGCAGTGAGTGGGGAGGAGTTAAACTAAGTGAGGGGAGGTGACATCTAAAATAGGAGTGAGGTTAGTTGTGGCAGATCTAAAGCCTGGCTAAGTTGGACTTGCCATCTCTGAAGTATGTCCAGCTAAGAAGAATAACAAGATTTTACACTTTACACTGACCCAGGAGAATGTCTTGGGATACCTGCTAGGCATTTTCCCTGTAAGTTTCATGTGCTGTTTACCAGGCTTTGTGGCTTTCAAACTGCATTCAGGTACATTGTCTCATTTGAGTCTTGTAGTAATCCTGAGAATGGGCTGAGCATGTGCTAGGGTCTGAGACAGGTTAAATAGGTAATCTGCTGTTTCAAAACTAGTACAACAGCCCTCCCCCTTATCCACTATTTCACTTTCCACAGGCTCAGTTACCCACAATAAACCATGGTCTGAAAACAGGTGACTACAGTACAATAAGATATTTTGAGAGAGAGAGAGAGAGACCACCTTCAAATAACTTTTATGACAGTATATTGTTATAATTGTTCTATTTTATTATTGTTGATCACTTACTGTACCTAATTTATAAATTAAACTTTATCATAGGTATGTGTTATAGGGTTTGGTACTCTCCCCGGTTTCAAGCATCCACTGGGGGCCTTCGAACATAAAGCGGTGCCTAACATAAATAGAAGAGGTAGAAGCAAGCACAAGTCTTAAGATGCCCAATCCAGTGTCATCTTCACTAAACCATTATTACTCAGCTTGTTGATGTGGTGGTTCACTTATAGTGAGGCTGGGGCACGGGCCTTTACTTGGCTTAGCAACCCTGTGAGGAAGGAGGATTAGGTGGGGTAATCATGTTTAATGAAGGCCATGCTCAACCCAAACAGTTATTCCAGGACAAAGGCATTTAGGATTCTGAAAAGTAAGTTACTTTGTCACTGCCCATCTTCTAGCACTTTATGTTTCCTCTGTTTCCAGACCACACTCCAGACAGATGAGGTGAAGAATGTACCTTGTGGGACTAGGTAAGGTACCCAGAATAAAGCTTTTAAGCCCAAATAAGTCAGAGAAAAGGCTGTCTGGCTGGTTGCAGGAAGAGACAGTGAAAAGGGAGGCACCCTTTCTTGGTTAATTCCCTGTCTCGTAGCTCCCTATATTGATTTGACCAGGTGATGGAGTGCAGTAGAGGAAATCATAGAAGGTTCAGGAGGGGCTAGAATGCTGTATGTGATAAGGAGTTTGCACTTACTCTATTAGAAGTGAGGATCGGCCGGGCGCGGTGGCTCACACCTGTAATCCCAGCACTTTGGGAGGCTGAGGCAGGTGGATCATGAGGTCAGGATATCGAGACCATCCTGGCCAACATGGTGAAACCCCGTCTCTACTAAAATACAAAAATTAGCTGGGTGTGGTGGTGCATGCATGTAGTCCCAGCTACTCGGGAGGCTGAGGCAGGGGAATGACTTGAACCTGGGAGGCAGAGATTGCAGTGAGCCAAGATCACACAATTGCACTCCAGCCTGGCGACAGAGTGAGACTCCGTCTTTAAAAAAAAAAAAAAAAAGAAGTGAGGATCACTAGTCACAATAACAAAGACATGGAATCAACCCAAATGCCCATCAACGATAGACAGGATAAAGAAAATGTGATACATATATACTATGGAATACTATGCAGCCATAAAAAGGAACAAGATCATGTCCTTTGCACGGGACATGGATGGAGCTGGAAGCCATTATCCTCAGCAAACTAATGCAGGAACAGAAAACCAAACACCACATGTTCTCACTTATAAGTGGGAACTGAATGATGAGAACACATGGACACATGGAGGGGAACAACACACACTGGGGCCTGTCAGTGGATAGGGGGTGGGGAGAGGGAGAGCATCAGGAAGAATAGCTAATAGATGCTGAGCTTAATACTTGGGTGATGGGATGATCTGAGCAGCAAACCACCATGGCACACGTTTACCTATGTAACAAACCTGCACATCCTGCACATGTACCTCTGAATTTAAACAATGGAAAATAAAATAAAATTTTAACGTTAAAAACAAAAAAAGAAGTGAGGATGCACAAAGGTTTTTAGCAGATAAATGACCTGATACAAGAAGATAACTTGCATAACTAAAGAGAATGTCATAAAGGTAGGGGAGACCTTCAGGGCAAAGAGATCCGAAGAGAACACTGCTACAGCGGTCCCACTGGAAAGCAAAGACAGTTTAAACTGGGATAGAGTGACAAAGAATACCACAAAGAAACACTCTGACAAATCCGGAATTGGAACATCCCACAAGATCGCAGGCCTGATCTCTTCACAAAGTGGTTGTATTTAGAGGGATGCTGGATTGGACAGAGACTTACAAGAAACATAAACAGAAGCAAGGGTGAGCATTGATTAGAACCTGGTTCAAAATTAACAGCTATAACAGATACGACAGAAACTATATGAGTCCACTCAGGCTGCCATGACAGAGGACTACACACCAAGGGACTAAAATAATAGATATTTTCTCACCATTCTGAAGGCCCAAAGTCCAAGATCCGGGTAACAGCAGGGGTAGTTTTGGTGAGACCTCTCTTTCTGGCTTGCAGGTGACCACCTTTTTGTCACATCCTCACAAGGCCTTTCCTCTGTATGTGCAAGAAGAGAGAAAAAGGTCTTTGGTGGATACCAGACCTTTTGGATTACAGCCCACCCTTATGACCTGTTTAACCTTAATTACCTTCTTAAAGGTCTAATCTCCAAATACAGTCACATTGGGGGTTAGGGCTTCAACATATGAATCTGGGGGCGAGGCATACACAGGTCAGTCCATAACACAAACTGTTGGGGAAATCTGAATAAGGACTGGGTATTAGGTGATATTACAGAATTATTGCTAATTTTCTTAGGCTTGGGAATGATACCATGAGTGTGTAGGAGAATGATTATTCTTAAGACAGTGCTCACCAAAGTAAAGGAGTAAAGTATCCTAACTGCAGCTTACTTTGAAATGTTCAGAAAAAAAAAAGGTCAATAAATAAGGTAAAATGTTATCAGTGTTGAATTCAGGTATCTGGATATGGATGTTAGTTATACTACTCTTTCGGCTTCTCTATGTTTGAAATCTTTTTATAATAAATATTTGAGGGCAAAGGGAGTGTGACACCAAAGTAATAGTGAAGACAGTTTAAGAAACATTGATCATAACATTCCACAGTAACCTTCTAAGTTCTGAAAACTTCACCTTGACCCTCCTTAGTCTTTTCCGTGCAACTGATTAATCAAAAGGCATTGCTGATTCCAAAGATATGAGTTACTCTTTCGTACTGGTCCCCAAAAGTCTCATTCATGTCTTTGTAGAGATGTTCCTAGGCAGTGTGATTTCTCAGGAGAGTATGTTGTTGCCATGAGCCCTGCAGAACCTCCCACTTGGAGATCCAAGCTGCCTTCCAACTTCCCGTGAACTCTTCTACTCCTTTTCTGCCAAGCCCCACATCTTACGCCATCACCCTGGGGGACTGCACCATATTCTAAGGCTTCCCAGTGACTTCTTGTCCATTCTCCCTCCAATAGTGGTGGTGTGATGATCTACTTTGACAGAATTGAAGTGGTGAACTTCCTGGTCCCGAACGCAGGTACGTCTTAACAGTTTATTCCCACCACCAGCTCACTTTCCCCAGCATGCCACTCCCGTGTCTGTTGTAGCACCTTGGAAAAGGAGAGCTGCCGTGTCTGAGGGCATTTTGAGTCTTGCCTTTTCTTATGCCAAGCCCTCTCCTTCCCTCTCAGTGTATGATATAGTGAAGAACTATACTGCTGACTATGACAAGGCCCTCATCTTCAACAAGATCCACCACGAACTGAACCAGTTCTGCAGTGTGCACACGCTTCAAGAGGTCTACATTGAGCTGTTTGGTAAGAAAGTCTCTCCTGAGCATGCCGTGCTTAAGCAGGGTTCCTGGAACCCCGCGTCTCTCCACTGCCTAAAGCCTGGCTGCCTGCAGGGTGTGATGGTCACTTATGGACAGGAAATGTTAAAGAATCTTGTGCTCAGGAGCTGGTCACAAAGGAGTTCATGGAGAATGCTGATAGCTATGCAACAAGATCCTTAGAGGGCTGGAGCTTTGGGCACAGGGACCATAGTGGAGTAGAGTATTCACTTCTGGCCTCAATCAGAGGCTGGAGTGGAAATGTGTTCCCACTGTTCCTAAACTATCATTCTATAATGAAGACAAGGTCCATTCTAGAAGAACCTTAGAGATTGTCCAGACCAGCATCCTCATTTTAAGCTGAGGGTACTGTGACCCAAAGCAAGAAAGTCACAGAGCCAGATGCCAATTAGTAGTGGGGCTGAAACAGGAGCCTTCCTCTCCTGGCTCTTCAGCATTCTTCTCACCATGCAACACTGAATGGAGGGCCCCCAGGAATGGGTGATGAAAAAGACATGATTCATAGTTAATTCTAGAAGTGAGATGAGAACCATAGCTCCTTCCAGTTCTCAGAACCTTTGTGATTATTATTTTTTTACTCTGTACCTGTAGCAACGAATAGAAAAACACTTTAAACAAAAAGATTCCACGTGCCTAAGTAGATATGTTTTGTCCTTTTTACCTTTTTCAAAGTAAAGGCAACCTGACTTAGCAGCAAAGGAAGGACACAGTTGGGTAACTGTTATAACTTGTTTGCAGTCAAGTATTCTGTTTAAACTCACTGCCAGAAATTCTCTAATAGCCAATGCCAAAAGTAAATGAATTTTTAACCAATAGTATAACTGTTCTTGACACTAGGACTGGAAAATGATTTTTCCCAGGAATCTTCATAAAAGGGACCCTGAGCAAGAACATTTTTCATAGCAGACAGGAGGACTCATCCACATCGCCAGCAATCATAATTAAGCAAACCGCCTTTTGCACCATTTAAGATTTAGGAAATCATCCAAATTACTTTTAATGTTTCTGCAGTAGAAAATGAATCTAAATTCATTTTATAGGGTTTGTAGTCTTTTATCTGTTTTGGATTCACTGTGCTTTTAAGAAAAAGTTGGTAAATTTGCCGTTGATTTTTCTTTTTAACCTCAAACTAATAGAATTTTATAAAATATTAATTTTCTCTAGCCATTGTCTTAGGACTTGTGACATTACATGAACATTTCAAAGCACTGAAAAAAGACAAAGGATCCCTAATGTCCCTGAAGAGGAAATTAAAATACAAAGTTGTTTTTCATTAGCAAACTTCTTACTTTCTTACAGCTAAACTTGGTAGCTTAGTGAAGTACAGCTGCTTGTATGGAGGAGCTGGGGAAATATATTTGCTTTGAAACTTTTTTATTTTTACATCTCAGTCTTGCTAGCAAGCACTACTTGGCTTAGAATCTGTCATATCCATAAAGGAGGAGCTCATGTCTCTAGTCCTGGCCCTTCAACTCAGAAGGTTCTTCTATACTTTCCTTCTCTCAGGACTCTTATAGCCCAGACTTTAAACATGAAGCTGCATAATTTTCATCACTTCTTACTCTGCCGCATCCTCTTTGCCCATGTTATTAAAGTATTATCTAATACTTTGAAGTTTACCTGAAGAACCTCTTTGTGTGTACTTAGTAATACAACTTTTTTTCCTGTCCCAACACCTTTTAATACAGTTGAATGGATAAAAACATGGATACAAACACATGGATATAGTTATCACTGAAGCAGTGTGACATAAAATAATACCTATGTATACAACACTCCTCTGTAAATAGCAAATGTAAAGTAAAAGATACACAACAGATCATTTTGTTTATCTCACTATCATTTATTAATCTATAATGTATCCCTCCTATGTATCCATGCAAGGAAGCAATACTAGCTGCCCGACTAGAGGGCAGCTCCCTTGGGTTACTTATTCAGACCCCATTTTCATTCGGATCTGAGCTGTCTTACCCGCTCACTGCAACTTGGCTTTTCCTTCTTTGAGTATAAAGTCTGACATGGGATGGCTCACCTATAGCTTCAGTGTGTTAAGTAAAGAAAGCTTTATGCAGATTCTGGTTTTTAGTGGGTCTCCTCTGACAGTAGAAAGATTCAAACCACAACCAATTCCAAGAACCCTTCTAAGAACAGAGACAGAGTCACTTCAAAGGATCTGACTTGCTATACCTAAATATAATTCACGCTGCTTTTCTCTATGACGTACCATAATATTTTGTCCAAAAATCTTGAAACATGTTATTAACTTTGAAGAAAGAATAAAACCAGCCACTTTAGAGACCAGAGACACTCAAGCACTTATCTATTCATAAAGTTTCTACACAGCTGAAGAAGTTTGCATCAAATGGACAAAAAATAGTAAAGAAAATCTAAATACAGAAAAAAAATTAGAGAAAAATCCATCTCCTAGAAAGCAGGTCAAATGGACTCAGTTAAAGACCTCACTGCATGTAGGAGAATCAATGGGAAACAACATAAAGCCTTCTGCTGGGATATAAATAGGAACCAGTCTATGTAATCAAGAAGTTACTTTGTCTCCTGATCTAAATGCTTGCCTCCAGTCTAGGGCTCAGAAAAAAAGCCTGGTTATTTGAACTGGTTGTCAATCAAGGTCCCCTTCATTTTCACTTTCTTGGCTTCCCATTCAGCCAGCTCTTGCAGTGGCCTCTTGCTCATGCCTTTGCGCTCCAGCTGTTTTTCAATCACTTTGGCATTCTGTGCATACGAGTCAGCAACTTCCCTAGCCTCAATCTCCTCTTCCTCTTCATCAATGGTAGACACAGTGACAGAACTGAACTTGCCCATGTCTTTGGTCCGTTTGGTCATCATCACCTTCTTAGGAGGCTCTTGTTTCTGAGTATATATGTTCGTTTTCCCAAAGCCCTGGCCAAACTTGACGACTGCTCCATCCACAATGAAGGTAACGGGAGCATTCTTCGGCTGGGATTGGTAGAAGAGCAGCAGTCCACACTTTGCACATTTCTTTCTGTACTGTAGTTCAATGCCTTCAGGTCTCCGCAGATACATAGTCTCTTCGTCTTCTGTGTTACAAAACTTATGGGCATGTTTGGCAGCATCAATCACACGGGACCGGTCCCGGGGCCTCATGGGCAATTTCTCTAACTGACAGTCCAGCACTAGGACCACCTGGCCGCACAAACAGTAGTACACATGGAGGGGCTTCTCGCCGTCGTCATATTCCTCCCGGTCCCGAGTGTCAGAGCAGACTACTGACCGAGACACTACTTTCGGCATGGTTTCCAGGAGCAACCTGAAAAACTCTACGCAAAGAAGAGGGTCGCGCCGAAATGACGTCACGAGCGCGCCTTGCGCCTTTTCCCTGCGGCTACCTTAGTAATACAATTTAAATGGCATTTATCAACATTTCCATAACATATAAACATCAATATTACTAAAACAACTTGAAAAGTATTTCTTTCACATTTTTCCGGTAAGCTACTAGCCCAGGGCCACAGGTTTCCACCTTGACAGATATAATTTGGTCTGAGGAATGACGTTATTAACTTATGGAGGATACGGGCCATTTAAAGTTTGGTTGGTATTCTACTTAAAATTACTTAAAATATGAAATGTAATATTTAGTTCTAGTTGTTAAATTGGTTGACCCCTGGCAGGTGTGAGGTGCCGACTTGATGGCATTTCTCCTTCGGTGCTCAGAGGCTTGTGAGAGCACATCCTATATGTGGAAACGTTACCGTCCCTTGTTTACTGATACTACTGTCTTAAAATCCTAACAATCAAGGCCCACCAGTTAAACAAGCTTGTTATTTTTGCTACTAGCCAGCTTTCATGGGCCTCCGTTTTGGCATCAGTGAAAGAGCGGAGACTTTCTCTTCCTCAGAGGCTCTTATTTGAGCACAGGTGACCACGAAAGGACCACTTAAAGCAGATGGCGGCTGACAGCAAAGGAGAGATGCAGTGTACAAGTCCCAGCCTGATTTCACTCTGTCTTTTTCTCTAAGCCCCTCCGGGATCTTATCAAGGATATCATGGGCAGAAGGCAAGGAAGAGGATTCTAAAACCTGAGAAGCCCATGCCAGAGAAGTCAGCTTTGGTACTGCTGTTCTGAGATTGCAGCTGGAAAGGAAGGTGGGGGGAGAGTCAGTTACAGCTGTTCCTACATTTGTCTGTGAAACAACTCATGTGGATTCCAGACAAAGAAATCAGGACCAAAGCAAACAGCACATCAAAAGCCTGGGGCTCGCTTCCAGAACTGTAAATTTTAATTTTCCCTTTGTGTTGTTTGATGGAGTTCCTAATAGAAACAGTCTTCCTTGGGGCTCTCCTTGACGTCAAAGTCTGTTTTTCTTTTAGAAACTTCTAAAATTACTAGATTTAATGTGCTCAGCTCTTTCCACAAAACCTAAATAGCCATTCCACCTTCCTTCTTCTTGGAAACTGTGAACCTTCCTTCTCTTTTGCTGCTATTGTCTAGGGAAAGGCTGCTGCCTCACGCAAGAAATGTGCTAGAATTGTTTGTTCTTCCTTTTTTTTCTTTTTAAGCTCTCACCCCCTGTAGGGCATGGTTAGTATTTTCAGAACAAAGGTTGAGTTTTATCTTGAGGCACAGAAAGAAAATGCCCTTGCGTTCACCATGTAGAGGGCTGCCTGCACAGGCTGCTTCAGAAGTTGGGCAGGGGATCTTTAGATTTGTGGGCTTTGATAAGCACACTCCCTTGGGAAAGTACATTCTTGAGCTGGTGATTGAGCTTGCACTTTACCTCATCCTGCCCTCCCTCATCTAGAAAGTGTAACAACTCCTTTTTCTCCATCTTTTCTTTATTCCAGATCAGATTGATGAAAATCTCAAACTGGCTTTGCAACAGGACCTGACCTCCATGGCCCCTGGGCTGGTCATTCAAGTAAGCATTGCTGCATGGGAGCAGCCCCTCTCTCTCTGACACTGCTTCCCTTCTCCCAAGGGATGTCCTTTTTGTGCAGGAAGATCAAGGCCCAGTGGGAGCTGGGTGTGTCCCTCACTACCCTCACTTTCCCATCAGCTGCTGTTTTAATCTCTCTCCAGGCTGTGCGGGTAACAAAGCCCAACATACCAGAGGCAATCCGCAGAAACTACGAGTTGATGTGAGTATACCCTCCGCCTGGGCTGTGACCACCACTGCCTCCCACCTCCCACCTCGTCCCATCCCAGAGGTAACCAAAGCTGCCAGGCTTCTCGGTTATCCCCTTGCTGGAGGATTTGCTACAGCCCATTGCACTGTAAGATTGGGCAGGCGTGTCAGGGCCACCACTGGGGCTCCCTACCTGTGATTGAGAACCCCAGGATAATCCCTGTAGAGCAGCGATGTTTTGAAAAGGGCCAGGGGGCCTTGTTTGTGTTCAGTGACTCATGCCCAAGGTGGAGACAGGAGCAAGAGACCAGTAAGTGGACAGGCAGGTGTATTTTACTAAATTATGTTTTATTTCCCACAAATGAGTTACTTGGGAGGAGAAGAGCTATGTTACTGTCAACAACAGATCAGCTTTTACCTGGGCCATCGAACAGCCTTCCAGGAGGAGTAGGAAATGGGAGTTTGCCTCTCTTCAGCAGAAGAATTCGACTTACCTGGGGATAGTGAAGCTCCTGAGTTTTCCATAGCTGCCTCACGGCTTTTTCTTCTCTTCAGGGAAAGTGAGAAGACAAAGCTTCTCATTGCCGCCCAGAAACAGAAGGTGGTGGAAAAGGAAGCAGAGACAGAGCGGAAGAAGGCGCTCATTGGTCTGAATGTGGTTCTGTGATCCCCCTTTCCAGGCAGAAAGGCTGGGGGTGGTGGGAAGATGCAAGGAGGCTAAGGCCTGGTGAGACCCCATGGTCCTCCAAACCACTTCCACAGCACAGGAGTGGCAGGTGGACTCCCAGAAACAAAGTTGAAATTGTCAGATCATGGCCAAGGATAATGAGTTTTTTGAGTTTCCACTTAACTCTTAAATGAAAGAAGCCCCACCTGTTAATTCTTTCTTTTTTTTTTCTTTTGAGACGGAGTCTTGCTCTGTCACCCAGGCTAGAATGCAGTGGCACGATCTCAGCTTACTGCAGCCTCTGCCTCAGGTTCAAGTGATTCTCCTGTCTCAGCCTCCTGAGTAGCTGGGATTACAGCGGGTGCCGGCACGCCTGGCTAATTTTTGTATTTTTAGTAGAGATGGGGTGTCACCATGTTGGCCAAGCTGGCCTCGAACACTTGACCTCATGATCTGCCCACCTCAGCCTCCCAAAGTGCTGGGATTACAGACGTGAGCCACCGTGCCCAGCCTGTTAATTCTTAATAATAATGGCTAATACTTAATTAAGCAATTACTGTGAGCCACATACTTTTCTAACCACTTAATATGTGGGTTAAGTCAACCCTCACAACCACTGTGGAGGTAGGTACTGTATTATCCTTAACCTCATTTTATCGAACCAAAGCACAGAGGGGTAAAATACCATGCCCAAGGGCATATGGCAAGTAAGGGGTGGAACTGGGGTTCAAACCAAGGACACTGGCTCTAGAAGCTATGTTCTAAGTCACTGCACCGTATTATCAACAACTAACCTGACCCCTGTCTACAGTGAAGGGCCAGGTAGAACCCTACTAGAGTACTTCATTCTTACAGAATATTCCTTTGGGAGAAGTTCCCTTGTGAAGTTAGGGCTCATGCTTCCTATGTTGGGCCCAGGTCTCCTTGGTTACTGTCTCACACTGATGGAAGGGGACTGTGCTCACTGGCATATCCCACTCTGCCCTTGTGTGCACTCACAGCTGCCCTCTGGGGGCTCTCCAGACAAGCTGGCCCACCAGGACACTCAGCTCGGGTGAAAGGTGAAATTAGTCAAACTCTGAAATGCCAGAACCGTAATCCTCACTATCATTTATTCAGAGGCAGAAAAAGTGGCCCAGGTGGCTGAGATCACCTACGGGCAGAAGGTGATGGAGAAGGAGACTGAGAAGAAGATTTCAGAAATTGAAGGTAAGCAGAAGTGGCAGTCATGCCTGAGTCCTCCTCAGACCCCGCCCTGTGGCCAGTGGGTTGGGGAGCCATTGCCTTTGCCCTTTAACTGTGCTCAAGGATGTCATGATCTCTGTGCAACAGCAGCTTTTCTCCATGTGGAGACTTGAGTTTTGAGGCTATTGTGGCCAGGCTAGCATCTGTTTTCTACTTCAGAGAGCATTTGTTCATTCAGCAAATGTGGCTGGAGTGCCAGTATGTGCCCAGGATTTTGTTAGGCATGAGAAAAAGGAAGTCCCGTAGACCCTGCTTTCTTGGAGTTCCCAGGCTAGCAGGGCCTTGGAGCGGTGGGAGTGTACTCTCAGCAGTTGGCTCTCCCCCTTGCCTTAGCTACTTCTGCTCCAAAGTTGGTCAGTGCCACGGTTTTGGGCTCAAAGTCTGTTCTCCAGGTCTATGCAGATATTAAGCCAGGTTTGAAGAAGACAGATTTTCAGCACCTGTCAGACAGGAGCTGGAGAGAAAGGTTTTCTTTGCTGGCTTTTCTGAATATCATTCACCTTCTGTTCCTGCTTCTAAGCCTGCACCTCCTTCCCACTGCCCACCTCTTACTTCTTGGGGTGGCTTATTTCAAGCAAATTCCAAGGCACAACTGGGACCTCAAGGCCCAGCTTCAGGCTACAAAGTGTTATGTCTAATTATACTCATTATTGGGCCTGTCAGGCTTTGCAGGGGCCCATAGAGGAGCCAGTTAGGATTTCACAGATCAGTGGCTCCTCATTAGGGAGCTCTTAGCAAAGCAACACGTTTTTATTTCTCACAAATACATGTCATCAAGTGCTCAGGCCAGCTGAGGGGGCCCCACAGCAGCCAGAACCCTGGCTGGACTGCAGGTTCCTTCCACGCGGGGTCACACTGAGGGCACTCAGTGAAAACCCACCCACAGACTAACCTTTCTCCCAGGCATGTTGCTACATATATTACTCACATGAGGCTGGCCCGTTCCCAAGACAAGGAGGTAAATATCAAAAATTTTCTATCAGCTTGACAGAAAGCTAGTCTCAGAGCTGATTAGGGAAGAATATGACTTGCATAGAGGAATTAAATAGGTCTTAATCCAAACACGTGTTGGTCTGGACCATGGCGTGTAATTCTCTCTCAGAATCGCGCCAGCTTAATCACTGTTAATTAGGACCTTTTTGAAATGATTGATGGAAATAAAAGGGAATTGAAGTTGGAGAGGGACTGAACTATGTTATGTTCGTGGCATTCAGTTTTAGGGTGGATCGACCTCTGACCGTACTTAGAGCCACCTTTGAGCTTTCCTGCTTTTGCTATGTAGCACAAGAGGGAGGAGTGGAGAGCTCTGGCCTAGAGCTTGAGGCAGGGTCCCACTGCTGTGCTACACAGACATGGATCTCCAAAAGAAGTAAGACAGGAAGCGCTTCTGGCTAACAGTGCTTTCTTCCATAGTGCTGTCAACATGTATGTTTGGGCCATAGCCACAGACTTGCTGTCCTTGTCATAGGGAGATGCTTTCAAAACACTTTTTCATCTTAGTTGATCCTTACAACAACTTGTACAATAGGGGAAAATGCATGTAAAACACAGAGGAAAAAGCAGTCTGCCCCAAGTCACAGAGGCAATCAGGGGCGAAGTTCCAGGGACCAGAACAGAGTCTTCCCATAGCCTCTGCACTTCCTGCAAAGAACTCAGTTTTAGCACTTCACCAAGTTCACTGCACTCCTTCCCCCTCAGATGCTGCATTTCTGGCCCGGGAGAAGGCAAAGGCAGATGCTGAGTGCTACACTGCTATGAAAATAGCCGAAGCCAATAAGGTAAAGACCCCGCACAGCCTGATAAAAAGGAGTCTTTGGGTCTGGGTCTGTATTGCAGGAGAGTTTCCAGTGTTGAGCGCCTGCCACCACCCAAAGCCCTTCATGGGCAGAACTGAGGATGCCTTTGCTGTGTGGTGCAGGTACTTTCCTTCTCCTTGGACATGCCTTGATAGAAGTTTAGTTTAATTTTGTGTTAAACATGGAAACTTTTAACTTTTGCACCTATGCTCCAAGATCTGAGATGACTGTCTCTTACAGAAATGTAACAATGAGACCACAAAAAGTAGGTAGGGGCATAAATATAGGAAAATTGAAGGGGCACCACTCCCCTCCTTCTCTAATATGGTTCAACATAAGTCTTCCATACTTTTTTTTTTTTTAACAGCTGAAGCTAACCCCTGAATATCTGCAGCTGATGAAGTACAAGGCCATTGCTTCCAACAGCAAGATTTACTTTGGCAAAGACATTCCTAACATGTTCATGGACTCTGCGGGCAGTGTGAGCAAGCAGTTTGAGGGGCTAGCTGACAAGCTAAGCTTTGGCTTAGAAGATGAACCCTTGGAGACGGCCACTAAGGAGAATTGAAAAAAACTTGATATGACTGCAAATGATACTTAAGCAGATCTTTATTTTTTAAGATGAATCAGAATGTTCCTCCCTCCCCGACTACCTTCTCTGACTGTCTTCCAGTTACTGTGGTGAAAAAGAAGAAATGAACTTAAATCCACTCCCTTTCTAGGGAAAGGAGGGTGGGGACTGATGATGGGGGGTTTTATTTCAGGTAAGCAGTTTATATGACTTCCAATAAGATTTGTAAATCATGGGCTTGACCTTTGACCTCTAGACACTAATTTTATCCTTTGAGGCTGGCTTAATTAGGGATGCTGTCATTAAGGAGAGGGAGAAATGTAGAGTGTTACCTCCAACTCATTTGATTTCCCTTACTTGGGAAAATGCAGTCCAGTGTTCTCACCTCTGCCTCCAAGGTAGGAGATGTCTGTGGGTGAGGCTCAGCAACTGAGCAAATATGTGCCTGTGAGTTTGCCAGTAGAGCTGTGAAGAAACAGCTGCAGAGAACATTTGACCTTCCTGGCATTCTTGTCTGCATGTGTGTGAGTTATTTTAGAGGTGTGCTTTCTTGAGCCCTCATAAGGAAGTACTGGTGCTAGGTTTTGCAAGATTTTGTATACACTTTGCTCCTTGCCCTAGGGCTCAGAGTGGTGGTTTCTGACTACATTTCTAGAGTCAGAGCTTGATCACCACAACTCAATTATTTCGGCATCTTTTCACCTATGCTGTGATTTGTTTTTTTTTTTTCTTCTCAAAAATTCTGTTCATTGGTTCCACTCAGCATCAAGAAGACAGGGACAAACAACTCAAGTGTCTTAACAGCTGCTGGAGTGGGATCCTTGTTATCTCTTAGCCACTGCAGGACCTGCCTGACAGGTTATGTGTGCACCTCGAGATGAAGTGTCTTTCTATTATTGTAGAGATTCTGTAGTGAAGAGGTCTGACACCATGTGTGGAGGAGGAGGAACGATCAGTCAAGAGATGTCCTGGTCTTAATGCCTGTGGCTTGTGCTGGGAGTGGGTCTGACTTAGTGATAAAAGGACTCTATTCACTAAGTAGCCTGTGTTTTTAAATCCAGGGCTGCAGGCAGCAACGCAAGTCAGGCTGAACATTCAGTCTCCAGAGACAGCTGTGTGGAGCAAATCAGAGTTCATGCCCAAGTCCCCAGGTTGGAATGGCTGTGCCAAAATCCATTCAAAGGGTTTTCTTTTTCATTACTAGGTCAGAACATTTTGAGTCACCTTGGGAGATTCAGGATGGGGAGAGCAAATTTGAACAAAAGGTTTTTCTTATATCCTGAGATTGAGGGGTAGGGGGTGTCCAACCTGTATAGCCCATGGGTTGTGTCTAGAATTAAGTGGAGGGCAGCTATCTGGAGTTAACTTGCAAGCATATTGGTGCCCTCCATGACCACCTCTGGCTTAGGACTTGGCCCTGTTATGAGCTGACCCCCACCCCCCACCCCCCACCCCCCCCCCCCGCCAACTCCTATACCCATCTTCCCTAGGTGAATCTGTGAATGGTCCTTTCTGGCAGCAATCCCTGCCTTCTTTTTGGGCCCATGCCCAGACTTCTGGTTTAAGGAATGGTCCCAGAGCTTGGGCCAGCTTGCTCAGAAGTTTTGGGAGCATTGAGCCTGCCTAGAAAGATACAGTGTTAGCTCCCCTTACTTCAAAGTTGCCCTTCTCTGTTCTGACTCCTGGGACTTCTGGTCCTGGGCACACTTTTTGCAGGCAACAAAATGTGCCTGGGAGTGATGGATTTTAATGTGCTCCAGAGTCCTTTCAGAAGGTGGTCATTTCCCTTGGCCGGGCGCGGTGGCTCACACCTGTAATCCCAGCACTTTGGGAGGCCAAGGCAGGCGGATCACCTGAGGTTAGGAGTTCGAGACCACCCTGGCCAACATGCGAAACCCCATCTCTACGAAAAATAGAAATATTAGCCGGGCATGGTGTCAGGCACCTGTAATCCCAGCTACTTGGGAGGCTGAGGCAGGAGAATTGCTTGAACTCGGGAGGCAGAGGTTGCAGTGAGCCAAGATCATGCCATCCCACTCTAGCTTGGGCAATAGAGCAAGGCTCCGTCTCAAGAAAAGAAGGTCATTTCCCAAGACTAGCATAGGGAGTATCCATTTAAAATACATTCATCTTCCTCCCATTTCCGTGCTATTAATCACTTGTTAGAGCAACATGACATGCCCAGCATCCCACTTCCCGAAAATGTCTACTCCTTCTACTCTGAGCTCTTGTTGCCTAGACCTCAGAAAACACCAATTCACCACAGTAGAACCGGGAGCAGGGATAGCTCAGCTTCTCTGAATAGCACACTTTGCTCAGGTCTTAACTTGAGGGCCTCTCCGGTACTAACATCCTGCGATAGCTTGTCCCATGAGCACAGAAGAGCCTCAGTAGAGTCAAGTCCTGCTGCAGCTGCCCCACCCCAAGTTTCTATCATTTCCTCTTTAAACAAAAAATATGTTATCCTACACATTAGTGTCAATCCAATGGTTGTCTCTTATCTGTCTAAATAGCAAAATCATGAAAATCAGCTGTTTTATTTGCATAGGACAACTAACCTGTCTGTGTAACTTTGTTTTTATTTTAACTCTTACTAGAAAATCTAATCTTAAAACATTTGAATTCTAAACATGTAAAATGTGACAGCCTGCAATTTTGTAGACAGTGAAGTAATGGCTGCTATTTATAAATGGAACATCTATCAAAATAAGTAACTGTTTATAAAATTCAGTTTTTGTAGGGTTTTCCAAGGAAAAATCACCTTGGTTGAATGTTTCTCACTCATTAAACTTTGCAGAAGTGATTCATATTCAGTACTGTTTTTAATCACTTTTTAAAATATAAGGACCGAATGCAAGGAAACCAAAGTTTATTAATAATTTTTATATAACTAAAATAAAATAGATGTGGAGGGATCTGTGATCATATAAAAAGGGAGGGTTACTGAAAGAATTTTAGCAATATATTGATTCAGGAAAAGGAGCTGTTTTATAAATGATCATTCACTGTTCCTATGGTTCTATGTATCTTTCAAACCGATACCTTTACTATTTAAAGAGCGTAAATAGTGAAAGTAAGATGGTCATACTTACTGACTTTATCTATTTAAGTTTGATGGAGATAAACTATATCTTGGCTAGTGGCTACTGTGTCTGTGAATGTAACCAGTACTTCTTTAAGCTCTATTCAGTAGGGTTCCAGCCACTGCTTTTTTGTTGTTTCTAGCCACTGTTTTTTTTTTCTTGTTTCCTTATAAAACAGGTAATAACCAATCATTTTGTGTTTGTATTTCCATTCCTTTTTATTTCTGCCTTTGTGTAGACTGATGATTAAGTAGGCAAACTACTTCTACTTTCAAAGAGCCCCAAGGGCTTAATGACCCCATTTGTAACTGAGAAATGATTCTTGTTTTAGTAATCATTCTATAAATGATACTGCTGGATTGATTGCCGTGGGTTGATAGCTGGAGGAATTGTTTTGGACAATACTAACATGTGAATTTATGTCTTAGTTTTATTTGCAGTCTTGCTAAGTAAAATGAGTCTTTGTATCTACTTTTTTATTAAAGTGAAATTTAGCAATAGTTAATATTAGGTGACATAAATAAAACATCCCAGACTAGTGAGTTAAGTACAAGATCTCTCTAAAAATAAACAGATGAAAATCTATCCCCATTATCGATACAGAATTTGTGAACGTGGCATAATTCTTGGTAGGTGCTATAGAGATTTATCATTTTAAACAGTTCACACACCACTGCAATTCTGCTCCAAAGGACAAAGATATTTTCAAGTGAACCAAAATTCATTTTGATATCAGTTCAGTGGACGAACTCCCAGTCTTTACTCTGGAAAGCTGCCCAGCTTAGGGTTGCCAGATAAAACATAAGATACCTAGTTAAATATGAATTTCAACAATGTACAATTTTTAGTCTAAGTACTATGTGTCCTAAACACTGCATGAGACATACTCATACCAAAGTATTTGTTGCTTATGTGTAATTCATATTTAACTGGGTATCCTGTATTTTTACTTGTTAAGTCCGGCAACCCTAGCCCAGGCTTTCTCAGGTTTTTTTTAACAGGGATCCCAAGCTTTTTCTATTGGTTTGAGAGCCTGCTACACAAATAATATGATCTTAACAATTGAATAGTTATGTTAAGAGTGTAGTTACTGCAGTTAGACTGCCAAAGTTCAAATCACTGCTCTACTACTTCTTAGGTGTGTGGTCTTGAATAAGTTTTTTGACCTCTCTAAGCCTCAGTTTCTTCATTAATAAAATGAGTTGCATGGCTTATATGAAATAATGCATACGAAGGGCTTTCACACTGTACCTTGCATGTATGTATTCAAAAACTTCAATCTGGAGAAACGGGCTAAAAAACATACAGCTATTAAATGGGAGCCACTAAGTAGAAAGCCAAACACGTGAAAAAAAATGGAATAAGATTACAAATGGGATAGCACATAGAAGAAGGGAATGACATTGCAATGCAGCAAACACAGTATTGAGGATACATACCTCTACAAAAATGTTGTGTAGAAAATAACCTGGTTTAAAGAAAGAAAAGAAAAGAAAAGAAGCCAGGCACGGTGGTTCACACCTGTAATCCTAGCACTTTGGGAGGCTGAGGTGGGTGGATCACCTGAGGTCGGGAGTTCAAGACCAGCCTGACCAACATAGAGAAACCCCATCTCGACTAAAAATAGAAAATTAACCGGGCATGGTGGTGCATGCCTGAAATCCCAGCTACTTGGGAGGCTAAGGCAGGAGAATCACTTGAACCTGGGAGGTAGAGGATGCAGTGAGCCAAAATCACGCCACTGCACTCCAGCCTGGGCAACAAGAGCAAAACTCTATCTCCAAAAAAAAGAAAAGAATCTGATTTGGCCCTGTTGAGAGGAACTGTCCAGTTCTGGTCTCCAATTTTAAAAATGAAAAAAATTTGAAGAAGCTAGAAAGAAAATGTTAAAACCAAAAAGAAAAAAAAAGTAATTAAGAAATAAAGCTCATAGGTTGATGCCAGAAAAGGCAGAAGGGACATTTAATGACTTCACGATTATAAAAGTTACATACTGGTAGCTAAAAAGAGGAAATTCACTTGAATAAAGGAGGATTTGTAAAGAATTTACTTAAGATCAGGCTTGCTAAATTTTCAAATGGGGAGGAGTAGTTACTTGCAAATAGAAAATAAATATTCTTCTCTGATGGTCTTCAGAAATTGTGAAGACTCTGTGCTGTTTGGGATGGTTTAAATGTCATTCTTTCTGTATGAAACCTCCCTAAGTCTTCCCTAGGTCTAGGGTTCTACTATCTCTATAGACATTTCAAAGGCCAGATGTGATGGCATGTGTGCCAAGGGCTTGCTGTCATGGGCTACTCTACCTGAATTCATTTAAACTGGGATGGGACATGGGCATTATTTCTCCGTTTCTCTTTAGAGCTAAGTAACCAGGCAACAGTAATTTTCTATTTTACTTTTTACTTTTTTATCCCCCTAAAAGACTCACAGTAGGCTCAGAAGGAAACAATTTTTAAATCCATATATGTTTTTCTCATAATTTGGATTTATTCCAGACTATGAGGGTGTTTTAAAAGCTTGATGGCATTGATGGTGAATAAGTATACTAGATTTTAGATTATTTATAAAATCTGTTTCTCTGGGCATTTGGCTTTTTAATCTTTCTCTTTTCCCCTTGGTCCTTGCAAATTATTGGAGCAATTTAAAGACAATTACTGGTGATGAAATGATTTTGGACTTGTATTTTTCAAGGATTAGGTAGTAGGGGAGGATGAAAGGTTAAATTGGATGGTTGATGTCCCAGGAAGAGGAAGAGAAGAAATTAAAAAAGCAAATAAGGAAAAAAAGGGACAAAGTGAAATAAAATTAATTCAAAAGTACAACTAAGAAGAAATTGGAATGTGAAATGACCATGGGACTGGGGGCACCATGATCTTTTTGTCTCCATTTCCATTTTCATAAGACCACAGAATGTCAGAGATGAAAAGCGAGCATATTGGAAGTAAATCGGCAGTAAAGCCTGTCTTACTCAGCCTGGTCTCTCTCAGGGTTCTTTACAGAGTAACGCCTCAGTAAATGTTCACTGAATGGATAAGGGGGTGGGAGGATGACCTTGCCTTGTAGTTCAAAGAATAGAGGTCCCTGGCTGGGCACGGTGGCCCACGACTGTAATCCCAGCACTTTGGGAGGCCGAGGCGGGTGGATCACAAGGTCAGGAGTTCGAGACCAACCTGGCTAACATAGTGAAACCCCATCTGTACTAAAAATACAAAAATTAGGCGGGCGTGGTGATGCACGCCTGTAGTCCCAGCTACTCGGGAGGCTCAGGCAGGAGAATCACTTGCACCCAGGAGGCAGAGGTTGCAGTGAGCCGAGATCGCGTCACTGCACTCCAGCTTGAGTGACAGAGCAAGACTTCGTCTCAAAAAACACAAAAAAGAATAGAGGCCCAATCTAGTAAATGAAGCTACAACTACTTGTTGTCATAGTGACGTAACACCTGGATTATACATTCCCTAGATCTGTGAGGTATTTATGGTTTTAAAATGTTTTCCAAATAGCACATTATTTGAAGTGTTTCATCTCACCCAATCCTTCCTCTACACATCCCATCACCATGATCCCCTCTGTCCTCCCCATCACTCACTGCTGGCTCGCTCCTTCCCACCTGTGTCTCTACAGCAAGCATCTATTATGCTCACACCACAAAGGGCCATTCTGGTCATTTTAAATTTTTTTATCATTTTGGTTGGAGTACAGATGTATCAAGTCTAGAGACATTTTATCTGAACACAATTACTCCTAATGTTGGCAGTCCTAGTTTGCAGATAACCCAGTTAATGTGTACCAGGGTAAATGACCAGAGACTTCCCAAAAAGAAGTCCCTTATTTTAAGGATCTGAGGTTCTGCCTAATGTGACTTTCCCAGAGCAGAAGATGTGAAATTCCATCTCTGTTCCTGGGAGTCTGGGGAAAAACTGTGAGAGGAGAGAGTAAGAATATTGCCCCTTCTTTCCGGAAAGCTCTAATAAACCCCATCACCTCAAGACAAGACCACCTGAAGAACAAACATTAGCCATTTCTCTAATATAATAGCATCCCACTTCATTAAGTTGAATTAATGTTTGAGAAACTTTCAACAGAAATTGCAGCCAAGAGTGCTTTCCTTAACAAAATTGATCTCCTTCTCCTTGCCCGTAGCACCTACTATTTCACCACCTGACTATGTAGCATTCTGTATTATTATTTGTATGGCCTGGCTCCTCATCAAGTTTATAACCATATTGCCCACAGAAGGGGACTCAAGAATCAAACTCAGGGCGTTGTGGTGCCCGTTTGTAGTCCCAGCTATTCTGTGAGGCGGAGGTGGGAGGATTGCTTGGGCCCACGAGTCCCAGATAATCTGGGCAACATAGCGAGACCCCATCTCAAAAAAAGAATCTAACTGAATGTGCTGAGCTCCTGCTAGACCATCTAAAGCTGCCTGTGGGCTGGGCGCGGTGGCTCGCACCTGTAGTCCCAGCTACTGGGGAGGCTGAGGCAGGAGAATCGCTTGAACCCGGGAGGTGGAGGTTGCAGTGAGCCCAGATCGGGCCACCGCACTCCAGCCTGGGTGACAGAGCGAGACTGTCTCAATAATAATAATAGTAATAATCATGCTGCCTGTGTCCCCTGATGAGACAGCACTGGCCGCAGGTGGCCGCTAACCTCTCGAAATAGGGATGGCCCGAATTGAGACATATGCAAGTCAACACTACACCGGGTTTCAGAAACACATACGATTTTCAAAAGAATTAAAATATCGCATTTAGTTTTTCTATTGATTGCATGTTGAAATCTTACTTTGGATATATTGGATTAAATAAAGTATATCATTAAAATTTTTAAGCTTATGTGCCTATGAGAAACTTCCAAATTACACAGTTGGATGGCGTTATATTTCTCTTGGACAGCAGTGGTCTGAAAGATGACAAAAATCACGATACGTTTGAATCACGCCATGTCTTTAGGGAAAAGAAGAAAGAAGAGTTTCCTTTCGTATCGCTTAGGGGTTCCTCGCAAGAACCATCTGACAGAGAAAAGCCCTGGCTCCCGCCCCAGTGGCTTCTAATTCTGGTCCCCGCGCCCAGAAAGCCGGGAACGGGCAAGCCTGGAAAGGCGTTTTGAAAGGAAACAGGATCCCCCGAGTATAGGATGCGTTTCTGCCTCACAAAAGTCCCTTGGGGGTGGGGGGACGGCAGCGGCTGAGGCGCAGGAAAGAGGAGAGCACACGGGGAGTGGCCCTTGGAACCAGGCGCGCAAAACCTCAGCCCCTAGGCTCCATTTCCAGGTTCGCGGGTGACCTCCCCAAGATGGCCGCCGCCTGGGGGCGGGCCTCCACGCTGCACGGGTGTTGATTGGGTGAGACGACTCAATGATGAGCAATGATTGGTTCACACGGCGCAAGCTGGGCGGAACCGGAAGATGGTGTGAGCCACGGGCTGCCGGGGGCCTGGGGCTCGGCGTCGGTCCCCGGGGGATGTGGAGAGCTGGCAGCATGTCGGCCGAGCTGGGAGTCGGGTGCGCATTGCGGGCGGTGAACGAGCGCGTGCAGCAGGCTGTGGCGCGGCGGCCGCGGGTGAGGAAGGAGGCTGCGTGGGGACGGTGGGCGGCCGCCTTGAGAAGAGGGACACCTGCGTGGGAATGGGTCGTCACGGTGACGCAGAGGGGTCTCCCAGAGAGGCGGGACTGGTCGGCCGCCTAGGGCCACCGAAAGGCTAGCGAAGGGTTTCCCCAGCCTCCTTACCTTGAGTCTGTTAGGTTTTCTGGAGATTGGCTTCGTTGGAGCAGAGGGTACCGCTACCTCGGGAAAATGACTTAGTGCCTAGGTGTCGTGGCCACTTGCGCACCGCGTCGTTTCGGGGTCGATAGCCTTGGCGGATGCGAGGGGGGCCAGGCCTGTGCCCACGGATGGTAAGGGGAGACGGGGGTACAAGAGCACCCCGCGGAGGCCAGAGACGCCCGAGATCGCGTGTGTGGCAGCGTCTCACCTGCTAAGTGCCCAAGAAATGCCAGTGCCGCCCGGAGGCCGAGGTGAGGGTGGACTGGCCGGACTTCGCTGGCATCAGAGCGGCACTTGTTTATGGGGCAGGAGGGAGAAGTCCAATCCCAAGCCGGTTAAGGGGAGCTTTCGTCTTTTGTGTATATATATATTACATCCTCTTGGACTTTGATTAGACCAAGAATCAAAATCTGCCCACCTCAGTGCAAGTTTAAGCTGAATGGTGTGGAATGAGACGGACCTTAACAGAGAGGTCACAGGTTTCTCTGATCGAGCATTTATGCTGGCTGAAGACAAGACCTGTATTATAGTCTTTCTTTGACTATTCCTTAGACGTTACCTTGAACAAGTCAGGTAACTATTCCGGCCCTCAGCTCTGAAAGCTCTGAGATCTCTTCTGATGTTAATATTCTGTGATTCTCGGTGATTCTCCAAGAAAAATCTAGGGCTTCCCCTAATAAACATCACCTTGGAGGTTCTCTCAGGGAAACTCTCAGGCAGATGGGCTGCCTGTTCGGGTAACTCTCTGGAAAGCGTCAATCATCAGCATACTCCCAGTAGTCACGACTTGGACTCAAACGAGGCTGGTTACGCATCGCTGTGGAAGGAAGGAAGAGGAGACATTTTTCTAATTGATCTGACTCCGTCACGTCCTTGAGAACACTGTGATTCTGTGAAAACTTCAGGGGATGATGGATACAAGAAGACTAAATCGTGCAAGGATAAACGAATCTCTTCTCTTACTGTTTCTATGTGGATTGGGTGGCAGCAGAACGCATAGAACCCCCGCTCTTTGTATAGTGGTCGTGAGAGGATGTCACATAGGTCTGATCCTGAATCCAGAATTTTTTGTGTCGCAGCCTTAGTTCTGCCACTGGTTCTTTTCTTTCTTTTTTTTTTTTTTTTTGTTGTGTTGTTTTGTTTTGTTTTGTTTTGTTTGAGACAGAGTCTCGTTCTGTCGCCCAGGCTGGAGTGCAGTGGCACGATCTTGGCTCACCGCAACCTCCACCTCCCGGGTTCACGCAATTCTCCTGCCTCAGCCTCCTGAGTAGCTGGGATTACAGGCACACACCACCACACCTGGCTAATTTTTTGTGTATTTTTAGTAGAGACAGGGTTTCATTATGTTGGCCAGACTGTTGTTTTTTGTTTTATTTTGAGACGGAGTCTCACTCTGTCACCCAGGCTGGAGTGCAATGGCACAGCCTCAGCTCACTGCAACCTCCACCTCCCGGATTCAAGCAATTCTCCTGCCTTAGCTTCCCAAGTAGCTCGGATTACAGATGCCCACCACCACACCTGGCTAAGTTTTAGTATTTTAATAGAGATGGGGTTTCACCTTTTGGCCAGGCTGGTCTCGAACTCGTAACTTCAGGTGATCCACCCACCTCGGCCTCCCACAGTGCAGGGATTACAGGCGTGTGGCTCACCTGGCCATGCCACTGGTTCTTAATTCACAGATTGAACAATCAATTACTTAGTTACCTAAGTGGGCCACTTTTAGAGTAAATGGGGCAGTGTTATTATGGTGTAATGATACACCAGGACTAGAATGAGTCGCCAAACTGCTAACGTTTGGGTTTCAGAAGCCAGAAGTGACCTCTCTTTTACTTAGAGTGCAGCCTTCTATTAATGAAGTGATTCTTAAGCCTCCAACATTAGTATGTCTTAGAGTCATCTGGAGAGATTGTTAAAAAGGAAATTCTCCGCTGGGCACAGTGGCTCATGCCTGTAATCCCAGCACTTTGGGAGGCCGAAGTGGGCAGATCACCTGAGGTCGGGAGTTCAAGGCCAGCCTGACCAACATGGGGAAACCCTGTCTCTACTAAAAATACAGAATTAGTCAGGCATGGTGATGCATGCCTGTAATCCCAGCTACTCAGGAGGCTGAGGCAGGAGAATTGCTTGATCACTTGAACCCAGGAGGCAGAGGTTGCGGTGAGCCGAGATGGCACCATTGCACTCCAGCCTGGGCAACAAGAGTGAAACTCTGTCTCAAAAAAAAAGGAAATTCTCACCCAGGTGATGCCGATGCAGTTGGTCAAAGACCACACTTACAGGAAATACTGCTTTAACTTGCCCGGCTCTCCTGAGAGAGACATTTCTTCTGCTGAATATTGACATCGCTAACATTGATGCATAGATTGAGATGCCATGCGCCTAAAAAACATTTGATCATGATCACCACTATTTGATATTGATCTGCCTACAGTGTTGAAAAAATGGATCTTACCTAATGCCAAGTTGAGATCAATGCCTGTCTATCCTACAGGATCTATCCTATGGGATTCATTGGGGTACTGTTCCCAAACATTCACTCATATGGCTCTTTCCCTCTTGGCAGGATCTCCCAGCCATCCAGCCCCGGCTAGTGGCGGTCAGCAAAACCAAACCTGCAGACATGGTGATCGAGGCCTATGGACATGGGCAGCGCACTTTTGGCGAGAACTACGTAAGAGCCCTTTCCTGAAGCCCTTTGGAAGCATCATGATTGCCAGGCTTCTGACTTGTTCTGTTTTGACCTTTTAGGTTCAGGAACTGCTAGAAAAAGCATCAAATCCCAAAGTAAGTAGATAGCTGAATTCTTTAATTTGTATCTAAATCTTGGCTCTTTAGTTGAAAATTAGACCCATCCTGGTGGTTGAGTTGTACAGCAGTTTTAGGGTGGTTGACTTTAGATTGGGCCAGGGATAGAAATGTCAGCTTCCTCCTTGAGCCCCAAGTAATTCTCAGCTAGATTTTTCTCTTTGTTCAGACTGTCGTTTTCTCATTGGTGGCTGTTTGGAAATGGTGGTTTCAGGAGCTTGCTGTAATCTTGGATCTTTTCAAGATTTGAAAGCTTAAATCAGTTCATCCTAGATGGGCAATATCTGAAAGATGGAGGGAATTGATGGGAACAAGGAAGGAAAACAGAACAGAAGCCTTAGATTTTTCTCTATCCTTTTACCTCATTAGGAGGCCGGGTGAAGATTGTGATAGTTTATTACATTTAAGGAACAGAGAGTGGATGTGAAAGGTGACAGGGAGTGCACGAGGCGTTTGAGCCAGCAAGGCCTCTATAAAATCTGAATTACACATGGTTACCTTTTTCCCCTCAGATTCTGTCTTTGTGTCCTGAGATCAAATGGCACTTCATTGGCCACCTACAGAAACAAAATGTCAACAAATTGATGGGTAAGATAAAATTAAATATGAAAACAAAATTGTTCTGTCATTGTATTGCTTCTACTACCCTTTGTGGAAGAGAGAGCAACTTTTAGAATAGCCCCAATTCACCATTTGTTTTTGGAATTTCTTTAGGAAAGTCTGAGTTCTTAATAAAAAGAGAAAACATCATGCCAAGAACAGAATGAATTCACCATTTTCTGGGTTATATATACTTGGAAACCTACCCAACCTCATGTTTATTATTATTTGGTGGTCTTTCAGAAAAATTATAAAGAATTGTAGCCCATAAATTTTTTTAACTAGCAAAAGAGACATTTCTGTTCTTTTTCCTTTAAATAAAAGGCTACAGTAAATAAAATACAATACAGTAAAGTAAGTATAGTAAAGTAAAATTAAGAATTATAGTAAAGTAGGCCAGGCGCGGTGGCTGACACCTATAATCCCAGCACCATGGGAGGCCGAGGCAGGCGGATCACCTGAGGTCAGGAGTTCAAGACCAGCCTGGCCAACATGGTGAAACCCCAACTCTATTAAAAATGCAAAAAAATAGCTGAGCGTGGTGGTGCATGCCTGTCAAGTCCCAGCTACACAGGAGGCTGACGCAGGAGAATCGCATGAACCCGGGAGGCAGAGGTTGCAGTGATCCAAGATCACGCCACTGCACTCCAGACTAGGTAACAGAGCAAGACTTCATCCCAAAAAAAAAAAAAAAAAAAAAAACAAGAATCATAGTAAAATAAAATTAAGAAAGACATGGAGATCTTGAGTAACTGAACTTATTTCCCTTAAGGTATAAAAATTTAAATAACCTGTATATATTTTGTAACAGCTTTATTAGGGAGGTAAGTGACTTACAATACATTGCACATATTTAAAGTATAGAATTCGACGAGTTTTGATGTATGTTTGCACCTGTGAAACCATCACAACAAACAGTGAGCATATCTATCACCCCTAAAAGTTTCCTCCTGTCCCTTGGTAATCCCTCTCTTACCTGTCCCACTTCTCTTCCTCAAGAACCACTTACCTGCTTTTGTCACTGTTAATGTACGTGAGTTTACATTTTTTAGAGTTTTATCCAAAGGGAATCATGAAGTATGTACTCTTTTTTGTCTGACTTCTTTCATTCAGTGTAGTGATTCATCATGTTCATACCTGTATCAAAGGTTCAATTCTTTTTATCATTCAGTAGTATTCCATTGTATAAGTATATTACAATTTGTTTATCCATTCACCTGTTGATGAATGTTGGGTTGCTTCTGATTTTTGACTGTTGCAAATAAGTTGCTATGAATATTTGTGTACGAGCCTTTGTATGGATATATTTCCCTTTTTCTTGGAATAAATATATAGGAATAGAATGGCTGAATCACAAGTTAAGTGTTATGTTTAACTTTTTATAACTGCAATAAAACAAACATAAAATTTACTGTCTTGATCTTTTATTTACTTTTTTTTTTTTTTTTTTTTTTTTGAGATGGAGTCTCGCTCTGTCGCCCAAGCTGGAGTGCAGTGGCGTGATCCCGGCTCACTGCAACCTCCACCGCCCGAGTTCAAGCGATTCTCCTGCCTCAGCCTTCCGAGTAGCTAGGATTACAGGCACATGCCACCACACCTGGCTAATTTTTTACGTTTTTAGTAGAGACAAGGTTTCATCATATTGGCCAGGCTGGTCTCGAACTCCTGACCTTGTGATCCACCCGCCTCAGCCTCCGAAAGTGCTAGGATTGCAGGCATGAGCCACCATGCCCGGCCTATTGATTTTCAAATGTTAAACCAACCCTGCACTCCTAGGATAAATCCTACTTGAAGGCTGGGTCTCTATTAATCTTATTATATGTCATATAAACAAAATAACTGTGTTATGGGATTTATAACTATGTAAAAGCAAAATGCATGACAACAATAACAGAAGGGGATAAACAGAAGTACACTATTGTAAAGTTCTTAAACTGTGTGAAGTAGTGTAACACACCTTGAAGGTGGACTGTTGTAAGTTAAACCCCAAAGCAACCAATAAAATAACACAATAAAGAGTTATAGCTTATAAGTCAACAAAGGAGATATATTGGACTCAAAAAATGTGAAATGGTATCTCCTTACAGTTTTGATTTTCTTTTTTTTTTTTTTTTTTTTTTTTTGAGACGGATTCTCACTCTGTTGCCCGGGCTGGAGTGCAGTGGTGCGATCTCAGCTTTCTGCAACCTCCGCTTCCCAGGTTCAAGCAATTCTTCTGCCTCAGCCTCCCGAGTAGCTGGGACTACAGGCGCCCACCACCACGCCCAGCTAATGTTTTTGTATTTTTAGTAGAGATGCGGTTTCACCATCTTGGCTAGGCTGGTCTCAAACTCCAGACCTCATGATCCGCCTGCCTTGGCCTCCCAAAGTGCTGGGATTACAGGCGTGAGCCACCACGCCCGGCGGTTTTGATTTTCATTAATAACGAATGATGTTGAGCATCTCTTCATGGGCTTATTGGCCATTTTTATGTCTTCTTTGGAAAAATGTCTAGTCAGTCCTCTGCATGTTTTTTAAATTGAGTTGTCTTTTCATTATTGAGTTGTAAATTCCAGCTAGATTAAATAATCTAACTTGAAAATAAAAGCTATAAAAGTATTAGAATAAAATGCAGGAAAATATTTTTATTTTCTTGGGCTTTTCTAAGCAAGACATAAAATCTGGAAACCATAAAAAAAACAACTAGGCCAGGCACAGTGGCTCACACCTGTAAATCTAGCACTTTGGGAGGCCAAGGCAGGTGGATCACTTGAGCCCAAGAGTTTAAGACCAGCCTGGGTAACATGGCAAAACCCTGTCTCCACTAAAAATACAAAAAATTAGCTGGGCGTAGTGGTGTGTGTCTGTGGTCCCAGCTACCTGGGAGGCTGAGGTAGGACGATCACCTGAGTCCAAAAGGTTAAGCCTGCAGTGAGCTGTGATTGTGCCACTGCACTCCAGCCTGGATGACAGAGGAGACCCTATCTAATAATAATAATAATATTAATAATAATAAATTTTAAAAGAACAACTAGCAGATTTGATCACACAAAAATTAAAGCTTTCTGCATGTCAAAGCAAAAGGGAGGCACAGAGTGGAAGAAAAATAATATTTTTGAAGAGGGAAGAGATTCATATCCAGAATACATAAAGAGCTACAAATCTTTTTGTTTATAGGGAAAAAAAATAGGCAAAAACTGGGGCAATTTATAAGGGGTAAAAATACAAAAGGCCAGTAATCAAATGAAAAATATTCATCCTCAGAGAAATACAAAATCACTAATCAGATTTGTAAAAAATCAAAAAGACTGCTAAGATCCAGTGTTTTGAGGGAGTGAGTAAATGAGTACTCCTTCGTCTTACCAGGAGATTCTAAAACCGTAGAGTCTTGGAAAAACATAAAGATTCCACCAAAAAACTATTATAACTGAAAAACAACTTCAGTAACATTGCAGGATACAAAATAAATATACAAAAATCAGTAGCATTTCTATATGCCAACAGTGAATGATCTGGAAAAGAAATCAGGAAAGTAATCCCATTTACAATAGCTACAAATGAAATACCTAAGAATAAACTTCACCAAAGAAGTGAAAGATTTCTGCAATGAAAACTGTAAAACACTGATGCAAGAATTTGAAGAGGACATGAAAAAATGGAAAGATATTCCATGCTCATGAATTGGAAAAATCAGTATTGTCAAAATGTCCTTATTGCCCAAAGCAATCTACAGATCCAGTGCAGTCCCTATCAGAATACTAGTGACATTCTTCACAGAAATAGAAAAACACAGTCCTGAAATTTATATGGAACCACAAAAGACCCATAATAGCCAAAGCCATCCTGAGCAAAAAACAAAGCTGGAGGAATCACATTACCTGACTTCAAATTATACTGTAGAGCTATAGTAACCAAAACTAGCATAAAAACAGACACATAGACCAATGGAACAGAATAGAGAACTCAGAAATAAATTTGTACATCTACAGAGAATTTATTTTTAACAGAGGTGCCAAGAACATACATTGGGAAAAGGACAATCTCTTCAATAAGTGCTGCTGGGAAAACTAGATATCCATATGCAGAAGAATAAAACTAGACTCCTATCTCTCACCATGTACAAAAATCAAATCAAAATAGATTAAAGACTTAAATCTAAATCCAAGACCTGAAACTACTAAAAGAAAACATTGGGGAAACTCTCCAAGACATTAGTCTGGACAAATTTTGTTTGTTTGTTTGTTTGTTTTGAGACAGGGTCTCACTCTGCACCCAGACTGGAATGCAGTGGCATGATCTCGGCTCACTGCAACCTCCATCTCCTGGGTTCAAGCGATTCTCCTGCCTCAGCCTCCCAAGTAGCTGGGATTACAGGCACGCCCCACCATGCTGGCTAATTTTTGTATTTTTGGTAAAGACGGGGTTTCACCATGTTGGCCAGGCTGGTCTCCAATTCCTGACCTCAGGTGATCCGCCCACCTCAGCCTCCCAAGGTGCTGGGATCGCAGGTGTGAGCCACTGCACCTAGCCATGTTAGAAATATGTAAAGGTGATGGGAGGAGGGAGCGGGGAAGGAGCCAGCAGGCATAGAAGGGGCAGGAAAACCTAACAGAACTGTTGTTTTAGTGCCATTTTCCCTTCTGGATGATCCGTTATACTCATTCAACCTCACAGCTCAATTCATTTCCATAAAGGCTTCTTGAGGCCAGATGCAGTGACTCACACCAGTAATCCCAACACTTTGGGAGGCCAAGGTGGGAGGATCACTTGAAGCCAAATACATATATGTATATTTCTTTCTTTTTTAGTCTTTCTAGTCTTGCTCTGTCACCCAGGCTGGAGTGCAGTGGCGTGATCCCGGCTCACTGCAACCTCTGCCTCCCAGATTGAAGGAATTCTCCTACCTCAGCCTCCCGAGTAGCTGGGATTACAGGCATGTGCCACCAGGCCTGGCTAATTTTTTTTGTATTTTTAATAGAGACAGGGTTTCACCATGTTGGCCAAATGGATCTCAAACTCCTGGCCTCAAGTGATTCGACCACCTCGGCCTCCCCAAGTGCTGGGATTACAGGCGTGAGCCACAATGCCTAGCCATCTCTGGCTAATTTTTTTATTTTTTGGTAGAGACAGGGTTTCACTGTGTTGGACAGGCTGGTCTTGAACTCCTGGCCTCAAGTGATCTGCCCTCCTCAGCCTCCCAAAGTGTGGGGATTACAGGTGTGAGCCACTGCACCTGACCTTGACAAAGATTGCTTGAGTAAATACTCCAAAAGCACAGGCAACCAAAGCAAAAATGGACAAATGGGATCACATCAAGTTAAAAAGCTCTTGCAGGCTGGGCACAGTGGCTCACGCCTGTAATCCCAGCACTTTGGGAGGCCAAGGCCAGCAGATCACGAGGTAAGGAGTTCAAGAACAGCCTGGCCAACATGGCAAAACCCCATCTCTACCAACAATACAAAAATTAGTGAGGTGTAGTGGTGGGTGCCTGTAATCTCAGCTACTTGGGAGGCTGAGGCAGAAGAATAGCTTGAACCCAGGAGGCAGAGGTTGCAGTGAGCCAAGATTGTGCCACTGCACTCTAGCCTGGGCGACAGAGCGAGACTCTGTCTCCAAAAGAAAACAAGCTCTTGCAGAGCAAAGGAAACAACAAAGTGAAGAGACAACTCAGAATGGGAGAAAATATTTGCAAACTGCCCATCTGAAATACTTGTACATAGCACCAAGTTCTATATCCAAGCTTTGTTTTTGTAATAAAAAATAAGAAACAATCTAATATCCATTAACGAGGAATAGTTATGTAAACTGTGATAATCTGTCCTGTGGATTGCTGCAGTTTTTTAGTAGAGATGGGGTTTCACCATGTTGGCCAGGCTGGTGTCAAACTCCTGACCTCAGGTGATCCACCCACCTGGTATTACACGTGTGAGCCACCACACCTGGCCAGTGTTAGGGTCATGGTGATGTCCTTGTTGGATAAGAATACCCTCATCCCAGAAAGTTGAAGAATTGTGGTGATATGCTAGGGAAGCATCTTGGCTTCCACTGGTCATCCTTTCTTCATTGTCATCCTGACCTGTTTCTCTCAGTTTGAACTGAGACATAGATCAAGCCTTTTACTAGGAATCTGTCCGTTACCAGCTTCTTGAAGCTTATGGATGTATATGCTGCCTGATCATGTATGTCAGCTTTTCCCTTATTTACCTTTGCTGATTAGCCAGGGATGGTCTGACATTTGAATTTGTATCTAGTAAAACTGTCACATTTGTCTTCTCAGAGGAACTGAGATTTAACTGTGTTTTTCTTTTCCTGGCATATTTTTTCCTCTAACAAGTCAGAGATTTGTTGCATGTTACTTGCTGCAATAGAGCAAATAAGGAATACTACTTTGCCTCTGTCTCATTACAGCTGTCCCCAATCTCTTCATGCTGGAAACAGTGGATTCTGTGAAGTTGGCAGACAAAGTGAACAGTTCCTGGCAGAGAAAAGGTTCTCCTGAAAGGTTAAAGGTTATGGTCCAGATTAACACCAGCGGAGAAGAGAGTAAGTAACCAGACCTGAATTGTAGATTTTTCTTCCTTTAGGATGGTTGAAGCTTAGGGAGAATGGGTGGGCCCAAGTGTCTGATGGATAAGGTTATAGAAACAAATCACAGGATCACAGGCCTCTAAGTTGGCTGTTTTATGTGTGATCTAGGTAGCATAATGGCATGCAAAGCAGTCTATGTATCATTCTTTACTACATCATGGTTCATTATATCTTAATTTTAGGGGAAGAAGAATGGATGGGGAGTTCAAGAAGGGGATTGTGACTTCGTTTTGTATTTTTGTTTTTTTTTTGAGATGGAGTCTTGCTATGTCGCCCAGGCTGGAGTGCAATGGTGCGATCTCGGCTCACTGCAACCTCCGCCTCCCGGGTTGAAGCAATTCTCCCACCTCAGCCTCCCAAGTAGCTGGGACTACAGGCGTGCACCACCACGCCTGGCTAATTTTTGTATTTGTAATAGCGATGGGGTTTCACCATATTGGCCAGACTGCTCTCGAGCTCATGACCTCTCAAGTGATCCACCCATCTCGGCCTCCCAAAGTGCTGGGATTACAGGCGTGAGCCACCACACTCAGCCTTTTTTTTTTTTTTTTTTGAGACAGAGCCTCACTCTGTCGCCAGGCTGGAGTGCAGTGGCACGATCTCAGCTCACTGCAACCTCCGCCTCCTGGGTTGAAGCGATTCTCCTGCCTCAGCCTCCCGAGTAGCTGGGATTACAGGCACGCGCTACCACGCCCAGCTAATATTTGTATTTTTAGTAGAGACGGAGTTTCGCCATATTGGTCAGGCTGGTCTTGAACTCTTGACCTCAGGTGATCCACCCACCTCAGCCTCCCAAAGTGCTGAGATTAAAGACATGAGCCACTGCACCCGGCCTGGGATTGTGTCTTTCATCTGGAAACCCCCAAAGGTCACCATCACTCCTACAAGGAGTATTTTAAATTTTTAAGACCTAAGATTATATAAATACTCTTAGATCTTAAAAAAATTACTTGATGTTGCATTGGGAGAGAATGGAAGATAATTACTGTGAGTGGGCCAGGTGCGGTGGCTTACACCTGTAATCCCAGCACTTGGGAAGGCTGAGGCAGGTGGATCACCTGAGGTCAGAAATTCGATACCAGCCTAGCCAACATGATGAAACTTCATCTCTACCATACATACAAAAATTAGCCAGGCATGATGGTGTGCACCCATAGCCCCAGCTGCTCGGGATGCTGAGGCAGGAGGATCCCTCGAACCCAGGAGGTGAATATTGCAGTGATCCGAGATCGCGCCACTGCACTCCAGCCTGGGCGACAGAGTTAGACTCCATCTCAAAAAAAAATAAATAAATAAAAAATTATGGTGAGCACCAGTCAATGAATATCTTTATGGGGCTTGGATTAACAGTGTAACATAGTGTGAATAGAAGCATGGGCTTTGAAATCAGACAGACCTTGGGTTTCAGCTACACTACTTTCCAGTATTGTAACCTTGGATAAGTTACCTAATCTCTCTGTACTTCAGTTTCCTTTTTTGGCAATGGTATCATGAGAATGCTTACTTCAGAGGGTGTGGTTAGGACTGAATATGATAATCCAGGCAACATTGTTAGCACAGAACCCTACACATGTTGTTAGCTATTCGTTAAGAATAAATGTATACAGATCAGGCATTTGATTGCAACCATCAAAGCACCAGTATTCACCAAATCTTAGTATGCAGGAACACAGTAGAGGCATCTGTTTTCTAGATAACGTCCTAGAGTCAGACTACCTGGGTTTAAATCCCAATTATCAATAGAAATCTGAAATCAACTATAGGTCAAGTCTTTATTGTATCATTTCTTGATAATTAGCTATAATATGCCCTATTTAAAGACTGAAGTAAATGTTACTAGTATCTCCGCCTAATAAATGGGGGCAAGACAATATCAATAGCTCTTATAACTGTATAACAAATAATTGCTTGCTGCAGATTTCTCTTCCAGTTGTTAATTAGAAAGTTCAGTTAAACTTTGCTAATATATAGCCAAAAATATTTAACATGTACTTTATACTAAATTTTTTGCAACTCCATTAAATTAATAAAACTATAAAAATTCTTGATTTAGAAAAGTAATTCTCAGGTTCATCTGGCATTTTGGCAATGCAAATCTTCCTGGTATCCCAAAAAAGCAAGATTTTTTCTTTTCCATGTCTCCTAGCTGTTTTCAGCTGAAATCCTGAGATGGAGGAAAGAGAATCCAACTGATAGTTCTTTTCTTGAGAAATTTAGAACCTGACCAGAAGCAGAGCAACATAGAAAACCCCAAGTATAAAGTTACTCTTTAGGACTTGAGGCTCTTTCAAGAGGTTCTCTTGTTGGGGGTCACCTCTTCTGTCGTAAGGAAGGGAGGAAAATGGAGCCTTCCTCTGGCCATTTACCCTTGCAGTATACCTGTTTTCTGTTTCTTTTCTTGAAGGTAAACATGGCCTTCCACCTTCAGAGACCATAGCCATCGTGGAGCACATAAACGCCAAGTGTCCTAACCTGGAGTTTGTGGGGCTGATGACCATAGGAAGCTTTGGGCATGATCTTAGTCAAGGACCAAATCCAGACTTCCAGGTACTGGGGGGTCGGGGAGATTGCTCGTGTGCTAAAGAAGCAGGGTGCTGGAGTGCTATTGCAGGGCTGGCTGCAGTGGGGATTGCAGAGTCATCCCAGACACTGCCTGTTGAGTGTTCTAGCCCTCTTTTGAACTCTTCTCAGAAGGAAAAGGGAAGAACAGGTTTCCAAAGCCCCACAAACCTTTTTCAACTCAACTTGAACTTGGCTAAAACATAGTCTTTAGAGAATATGAGATTTCTTCCTCTCCAGTGACTAATAGTTTTCTCGAAAGTGGGATAGTTTGCAAAAAACCCTTTCAGTAACGTCTGGCAATTTTGGCAGGCCTTGAAATCATAAGGAATACATAACCGTTGTCAGAGAAGTTCAGATTCAGACACTTTTGGGCATCGTTAGAGAAGGCAGGAGTAAAATAGGTGTCATCTCTTTCTGTCAGCTGTTATTGTCCCTCCGGGAGGAGCTGTGTAAAAAGCTGAACATCCCTGCTGACCAGGTTGAGCTGAGCATGGGCATGTCCGCGGATTTCCAGCATGCGGTGAGTGTCCTGCCAGTGCCCTGTCTGCCTCGAGGGGTGGGGGTAGGGGGTCTGAGAGGCTGACACAAGAGCAGATCTTTGCTGTAGAAGCCTTGGAAATGCCTTGGGATGGCAGTAAGGTACCCAGTGTCAGCTATTCCAGCATCTCCCATTCCCCATGCCCTTTCTTTTTTGAAAAGAGCCAGGTGCGGTGGCGCACGCCTGTAATCCCAGCACTTTGGGAGGCCGAGCCGGGCAGATCACGAGGTCAGGAGTTCGAGACCAGCCTGACCAACATGGTGAAACCCCGTCTCTCCTAAAAATACAAAAATTAGCTGGGCGTGGTGGCGCACGCCTGTAATCCCAGCTACTCAGGAGGCTGAGGCAGGAGAATCGCTTGAACCCAGGAGGCGGAGATTGCAGTGAGCCGAGGTCGCGCCACTGCACTCCAGCCTGGCTGGCAACAGAGCGAGACTCCATCTCAAAAAAAAAAAAAAAAAAAAAAAAACAAAAGAAAGAAAAGAAATGTATAGAAATTATAGCCTGACATCTGAACTTTTAAAACAAAATATAATTCCGTAAGTGTAATCTAAAGGAAATAAGAAATTAATTATAATTATAATTTCATAAATTATAAACATAATTCCATAAGTGTAGTCTAAAGGAAAATAAGAAATTAAGCTATAATTTTTGGAAAGGCATTTCATTACGTAAGTGCGTGGGCATGGCTGTATCACAGCAAATCACGATGAAGCAGCCTAAGGCTTCATGTTTGTTTGTTTTTTTTTGGAGACTGAGTCTCGCTCTATTGCCCAGGCCGGAGTGCAGTGGCGCGATCTCAGCTCACTGTAACCTCCACCTCCCAGGTTCAAGTGATTCTCCTGCTTCAGCCTCCCAAGTAGCTGGGATTACAGGCGCCTGCCACAATGCCCAGCTAATTTTTGAATTTTTAGTTAAGACAGGGTTTCACCGTATTGGCCAGGCTGGTCTCGAACTCCTGACCTCAGGTAATCCACCCACCTAGGCCTCCCAAAGTGATGGGATTACAGGCATGAGCCACTGCACCCGTCCGAGGCTTAATCTTATGTGTAGATTCACCAACAATCTTATATGTACATCAACAGCTGTAAATATCAACTGATACAGGTGTGCTAGATTGGCAACGCAAATACATGATTTTCTGAAATAGCAAATAACTTGATAAAGTTTCAAAAATCAAAATATAAACTTGCATTCCTGGAAAATTGTATTTCTTAAAACAGTGCAAAAATACATTGCATTGATAAGTAAAATGGAATTTGATCAGATAATTATAAGGATATTTTTTTCATCTACCTGACCGTGGCACATTGGAGAGGTAGGTGGGCTGTGCTGTGTGGCTGCGTCTCACACTGGACGTCTAATGTCCTTGACCCCCTCCGAGCTGAGTGCCAGCCACACTCTCCAACCACTGGAAATCCAGAGAAACCCAACTTGTTTCCTATATATGCCCTCAGAGGCAATTTTACCTCTGAGGAGAACAATCATCCTGAAGCCATCTTCAGCTGTGTTATTATTCATAGAAGGCTCTGTTTTTGTTTTTTTTTGTTTTTTTTGAGATGGAGTTTCGCTCTTGTTGCCCAGGCTGGAGTGCAATGGCGCAACCTCTGCTCACCGCAACCTCCACCTCCTGGGTTCAAGCAATTCTCCTGCTTCAGCCTCCCGAGTAGCTGGGATTACAGGCATGTGCCACTATGCCCGGCTAATTTTGTATTTTTAATAGAGACAGGGTTTCTCCATGTTGGTCAGGCTGGTCTCAAACCCCTGATCTCGTGATCTGCCCACCTCGGCCTCCCAAAATGCTGGGATTACAGGCGTGAGCCACCACGCCCCGTCCATAGAAGGCTCTTGAGAGCCAGAATGGGGGCACAGCTTCAGCACTGGCTCCATTTTATTATTTTAAACCTGGTCCTCGATACCTTCTCTTTTTTCCCACAGGTTGAAGTAGGATCTACAAATGTCCGAATAGGAAGCACGATTTTTGGAGAGCGGGATTACTCAAAGAAACCCACCCCGGACAAGTGCGCAGCAGACGTGAAGGCCCCGCTGGAGGTGGCACAGGAGCACTGAGCCAGGGAATACTGAGAGCACTAACTATGCACTAACCTAGATTTTCATTTCGATATTCCCTGTGTCCCAGCGCAGTCCTGCTCTCCTGTGACCTGTGGAGAGCACTAATGATCACGTGTGTTGATGGAAACCATCTGTGCTTAGTCTCTGACATAGGAAGCTTGCTTCAGGCAATGGCTTTGGATTGAGTTTGAGAAATTCAAACATTTCTGCAGAACAGATACCAAATCAATAGCTAGGAATCATGTTCAATATTGAATTCTGCCCAGGAGCATGAACTGATCCATGAATGCCTTTTCCAGGTTAAAATTTGGTCACTGATGCCTATAATCGTGGAAGTCAGAGGGATTCCCCTTTTTCATCTCATTTTAATAGGAAAATTCCTTATGGTTAACATCTCCCTACAAACTCCTACTACGTCGTCTAAATTGCTGCTCTGGAATAAGGTGATTTCTGCCCCCAGATTCTTCCCTAGCCGGTAGATACGTGAAGATATTCCCAACTGTGGAATGGCAGTGTAGGTAGCTTCAGGAAATGGCTCAGGTTAATTCTCAAAACACAAATTGTTGCTGGCCAGGCATGGTGACTCATGCCTGTAATCCCAGCAATTTGGGAGACAGAGGCGGAAGGATCACCTGAGCCTAGGAGTTCAAGACCAGCCTCAGCAACAGCAGGAGCCCCACCCCCCGTCTCTACAAAAAAATTTAAAAATTAACTGGGCATGGTGGCTGAGGTGGAAGAATGGAAGAATCACTTGAGCCCAGGAGTTTGAGGCTGCAGTGAGCTATGATTGCACCACTGTACTCCTGCCTTAAAAAAAAAAAAAAAATCCCAATAGTCCATGAAGGCTTTGATCTCTTGGGAAGTTCTTCATAGATGCTGTCACATTTCTTAAAGCAACCTTTTAATATGCAGATAATACCCCCCAACTTTTTTAGAGACAGCCTGTCTCTTAAAAAAAAAATTAATTTGGTAGTGAGAGCTTGTGTCACTGCCACTCTGTTTTATCCCTGAAATTAAAGGATAACATAAGGAGGACTTGGGCCTTTCTGACATCATCCTGAAGAGACAGGACTTTGCGTTTTTCCTCTGGGACCTACAGTGATGAGAATTTAATGATTATCTCCTCCACTATAATCCTCTTTAGGGTGATTTTTTAAATCAAAACCCAGTGAATCTCATTACTCCTAAGAAACGAAAGATTCCTTCAAAGCCTTTTCAGGCACATGGTTTCAACAAAGCCTGGCTTTGACATTCCTTGTCCTGAGGAGCACTTTCCAGGCATAGTTACAGCTTCCCCACTGTATTTACAAGCCAGAATTGTGCAACTCTTCTGGATCATTAATAAAGTAGCAAGATCCTCAAAAAACCCAAAAACACCATTCTCTAATAGTCATGACAAATGGCTTCAGTATGGCTTGTTTTTTATTTTCCAGATGGCTTTTTCTCTTATTTTTTGAAGCCCCAGTCTTTGATTTTACAGGTAACTTTCAAAACATCATGATGCTGCCAAATGTACTTTTGTAAACTTAAACATTATGATTCCTGTATTATTTCAGTGAGAGCTACAGTGTGATATTTCAGAGTCTATTAAATAAAAATGTGAGTTTGAATTACACCATCTGTGCCAATTACAAAGCAATTAAAAGATTTATTTTTTATGATCTGGTGTAGTGACTGAATATAACAGGTGGGGGCATTGGAACCGACGGGAAGCAGCTATGCTGGTGCCTTGGCATTGTGCCAGCCTGGCTTTGGAGGAGGGCTTCCCTGGGGTCACAGACGCAGCCAAAGCTACACCATGGGTGAGAGGGATTCTGAACTTCTAAGGGCAAGAAAAAGGACATTTCAAGAATTACAAAAATAGTTACCCCTCACTGCAAGAGACTTTTGAATTGCCTCTAGATGGCGACATTGGCTAACCTGAGGGACAAGCACTGGCTCTCCACTGTCAGTAGTTTACCTTATGAGGGACTCCTGGTTACTCAGTCTGGTGGAGGCCAGAGAGGACATGACGCTCTCAAGTGATAGTGTGACTTGCAGAGCCTCAGGGGTTCGATACCAGCTAGCCTGGGCAACACGGTGAAATCTTGTCTGTACCAAAAATACCCCGCCCAAAAATTAGCTGGGCATGGTGGCACATGCCTGTGGACCCAGCTACTCCAGAGGCTGAGGTGGGAGGATCGCTTGAGCCTGGGAGGAAGAAGTCACGGTGAGCTGAGATCGCACCACTGCACTGCAGCTTGGGTGACAAGGTGAGACCCCATCTCAAAACAAAACAAAAACAGCGAATAAGGAGGAAAGCCAGGGAAGGCTCAATCAGATCTAGATAAGGGAAGGACACCAAAGTGTGTCTAGGGTGTCCCCAGCAGGATGGGATATTTTGCAGAGAGAAAATTGAGCCAGGTTGTGAGTTTGTCTTTCGTTACGCATGATGGGTGGCAGGTTGGGTTTCTTCCAGATTTTCATGAAAGCCAGTTCCTGGAGTTTGGACGGCTTGCTCTCCTGGATTGGGCCCACCTGTGCAGCCTCACAGTCTCTGAAGGCGCTGGGCCCTTGTCTGCCCTGAAGCCAGCCTCAGAAGGCTTGAGACGCCACAAAACCTCCCAATAGTCCATCAAGACTTTGATCTCTTGGGGAGCTCCTCACAGATTCTATCACAGTTCTTAAAGCAACCTCTTAATACTCAAATGGTACCCCCCACCTTTTGTTTAACATTGATGGCATATGCAGCACTATTCTCTATATTCTCTCATTTCACCATCACAACAGCTGGTAGACTTGTGTAGGCTGATAGGCAATGTCCCTTTGTGGACGGGGCACTGGGGCCCAGAGAAGGTTCCGTGTTCTCCTTGTCTGAGGTCAGAGTGAGTTGTGGCAGGACGAGAAATAAACTCAGGACTTGACTTTCTGGCCCAGAACATGGTCACTACTCCACACTGGTATCTTCTATCTCTACCTTTAATAATTGATAAGTGGCATATTCTTAGATGTGCAGCTTTCATTTAAACGAGCCTTATTACCATAAAATAAGTGTGTGTGTTTCTATTCCAGTGGAACAGCTGAGAATTGACGCATCTTAATGCAGAACAAACTTTGAAACCACAGGCAGTGGGGGTGAGAAGGAAGGAGAGCATTAAACCCAGCCATGAGTGGGATTGGCCTCCCCTCTCGTCATCCCATCTCCCTCCCAAGCTCATTCCTCATGATTCAAGCTAATCTCACAGGCTGCAGGGCCCAGAGTGTGCAACCCTGTGCCTTCCCCCTGAAGCTGGACCAGCAGTGAATTCTGTTCCCCAAGGCTAGACACACAGGAATGAGGTCAGACAGGACATTCTTAAAATCCAGGACATCTTCATCCTTCAGAAAAGAAGTGGTCGTGTGCATCCCACCAAAGCTTTGAAGGAGGAAGTACTCGCTTACCAATTCCTGAAGGGCTGCAGTAGGAGTGGAATGTCACCAGTGGTGCAAGGGGAAAGGATTTCTCTGGGAACTGTGACTGTCTTTACCATGAAATTAGTTGAATGCTATTACATCAGCCTCATGACTAAGGACAAAAGAATCCAGACTGTCTACCAAAATGTTTTACTAATCTGTCCTCCCCTCAAGGAACACATAGGTAAAGAAAAGGGCTTCCTTTTCCACCCAGTTTGCACCAACGTGTGTAAACTATGGCTCTGTGTGGTTAAGCAGCTACTTGCAAGGTAAGGGTCCTTAAACTTAAGTTCCTCTTCTATAATCACGTTGAAGCCTCAAGGGACCGCAGAGCTAACACTTTTTTTTTTCCTTTAAAGTGCAGCACAGAGCAGCTGAAACGGCACACAGTGGGGACAGCAGGAGGGGCTTTTGGCACTTTTCTTGTATTTAGAATAAATTTTACAAGCCCACACTCCTGAGCCTTGAGATCACAGGGAGCAGAGGCCACTCTGAGTGCCGGAGTGCCTTCTCGAATGGTCCCATCTGCACCAGCTGCCTGGAGACACCGCCTGCTACCTCCATGCTATTCCAGGCTAGCGTCTCCAGCACCCGCCCTCCTAGCAGCCTTACCGCTCTCCAGCCTCAGAGCTAAGCCTGACCCGGCTGCCAATCTCCAAAATAAAATCAATGTGTGACCTTATTCACCAGATGTACGGAAGAAACAAGCACAAACGAAGGCCAACTTTGAAGCCAAAAAGGGAAGATGAGAAGTGGGAGAGAGAGAGAAAGAGGAGGGGAAAAGAAACTTGGCTAGACATGAAAGGTGTCTTGTCTGTCTGTTCCCTATTAGGCGCAATTCTCTTGCAATCTGCAGCCTCCACATAATTCTCTTGACCAGAAACTCTCTGGAGAGATAGTGTCAGAGGAAAAACAAACAGAATAGCATCTTCTGACAGCAAAGTCACTTAAAAACCTATTTGGGAGGGAAGAAGAGAGATGTGAGCACCTCAGGGGAGGGCACTCCTTCATAGCAGGCCACATGTGGAGTTACATTTGCCCTGGGATTGGACAAGGACAGGCAGGGGCCCAGGAAAGGGTTGATGTGCGAGGGCAAGGCAGTCCCAGGAAGCAAAAGCCCAAGGCCTCTACCCTCCCAGCCCCTCTGATGCCCAAGATCTACCTCTCTGTGGACGGCACACTAAATCCCACAGTGTGGGGCTTTCTACAGCCCCATGGCACACTCAGAGGAATTCAGAAGAACTGCCTTAGAGAAAAGTGGTTCCTTGGCCAGACGTGGTGGCCCCACGCCTGTAATCCCAGCATTTTGGGAGGCTGAGGCAGTAGGATTGCTTGAGGCCAGGAGTTCAAGACCAGCCTGGGAAACGTAGCAAGACCCTGTCTCTAAAAACAATTTAAAAATTAGCTGGGTATGGTGGTGCACACCTGTAGTCCCAGTGACTCAGGAGGCTGAGGAGGGAGGATCGCTTGAGCACAGGAGAGTGAGGCTGCAGTGGCTGTGATCACACCATCACACCAGCTGTGATGCACTCTAGCCTGCGTGACAGAGGGAGACTGTCTTTTAAAAAAAAAAAAAAAAAAAAAAAAAAAAAAAAAAGAGAGAGAGAAAGGAAGGAAGAAAAAGAAAAAAAAGGTGGGGGGATTCCACTTTGTCAAAACTCCGCCTTCCCACTGCTGCCGGCCACCAGCCAGAGGCTTAGAAGTCAGCTATTGCTGTAAGCCTGTGAGCCAGCAGCCAACTCCCCAGGCAGCAAAGGCCTCTTCTCCCCAGCCCCTTTGACCCGCCTTTGAGCTAAAGCAGTCTAGTCCTGGGGAAGCCAGGCCCCAACCCCCACCCAACAGGAGCCCAGTGGGGAAGGTTCTGGAGGAGTGAGGGAAGCAGGGCAGGAGAGGGCAGCCTTCTGTGCTCAAGTTTCTGGGGCAGGCATCCTGTTATAGGAGAAATTTTTTTTTTAAAGGAAGAAAAACTAATCAGAAGAAAGAAGCAAGCAAGAGCTTTTCCCTGCCTTTCGGACTTGTTTATTACCAAGATATCTGATTTCAGCAAAGGAAACCGGCACTGGAGCAAGGTTTTTATTGGCCATGAGCAAGAGGAATTCAGGGTTTGCCTTTGATTTAGGCTTCCCTAGTACATGAGGCACTGAGGGGTGCTCGCTGCTTTGATGGAGCAACCCAGGACTTTGGGGCCCCTCAAATTCCCTGTTTTCTGCAGCATTGACTCAAAGTCCGGTTGGAAACTGAGGGTGGAGCAAGCGGCAAGAGTGGAAGGTGACCTCAAAAACGTTTCAGAGGGATCAAAATAGAGGACAGTAGTTGCAAAGTTCTGAAACTAGAGCCTGAGCAAGGGCCCTGGCCCGCCCCCCTTCCCCAGGAGTGAGGGGCTGGAGGAGGCTAGGTCTGGTTTTCATGAAAGCGCCATGTTCCAGACTTGTCTCTGACCCACGGAGCTAGGCAAGCTGCAGTCGCAGGGCCGAGGCCTGATGGCTTCAATGTGTGGGGAGGATAAAGCCAGACATTTGCAGGAGCGGCCTCTGACAGCAGCGCTCCTCAGCTGGGAGGGGCAAGGGCTCTAGGGAGGGGTGAGCAGCTGGGCCACCAGCTCACAGAACTGCAGCTGATCCTCCAGGGTCCCCAGACACCATCGTGCAGAGAGAGCCGCTGTGCAGGGCCTGGAACCCCGGCCAGCCCATCTCTCCCTTGGCTGTGTGGCTGCCTTCCTCTACTGGTTTCCCCGGGAGCATCTCCTGCATGGAGGAAAAGGGAAGGTGCCCTCCTATTTGGGATGCCTTGGGTGAGCCTCTCTCTCTTGTTCTCTTTTTTTTCCTCTTTGTATCCTGTCTCTATCTACTTTCCCTCTTATCACCCTTCTCATCCATCTCCCACAAACCACTGGTGACAGGAAGATCCCCAAACCAAAGGGCTCTAGGTGGCCCTGCCTCGCTTTACTGCTCTGGCCAACCAGGTGTGTGAGGCAGGAGCTGCCTGCACCCCAGGGCGGCCAGGACAAGGGGCTGGGACTTTGGGGCCTGCGCCATCGTAGAGGGCAGCCCCTTGGCAGAACCCTCTGGTGGGGGATGGTGCGGCCTGCGTACAGGTCCCGTCCTGCTCCACGTTGGTGAGTGGGAGGCCAGGCCTGAAGGAGACACCTCTTCCCCTCCCAGGGTGTAGGGCTTCGCAGGCGGCTCTGTGTGCCCCCTTGTGACCGGTCACAGGCCTGTCTCCAAGACTGCTCACAGGCCCCAGCAGCGGAGTGTGCTGTCCCCAGCAGGGCTGGGCTCAGCCGTGAGGCCCAGGCCCACGCTGGCAGCCAGGGTGCTGGTTGGGCCTCTGAGTGGAGGCCCAGGGCCTGGGGCAGGGGTGGGGATGGGGAACAGGGCTCTCACTGTGTCCGTGTTAAGGAACCAGTCATCAAAAGGGCTTTATGCAGTCGCTTGGAGAACACATTTGCAAGGGTAAGGGCTGCAGGAATAAGGAGGTAGCCTGTGAGGGGTGTGGGGAGCTGCTACACACACACACACACAGATATACACACATACAGATACACACACACAGATACAAAGATCCAGATACACACACACAGATACACAGATACAAGTACACACACAGATACAGATACACAGATACAGATACACACACAGATACAGATACACAGATCCAGCTACACACACAGAGGTACACACACAGATACACAGATACAGATACACACACACAGATACAAAGATCCAGATACACAGAGATACACACACACAGATACAGATACACACACACAGATACACAGAGATACACAGATCCGGATACATGATACACAGATACACACACAGACACACACAGATATACACACACATACACAGATACAGATACACACACAGATACAAGCACACAGACACACACAGATATACACACACAGATACAGATATACACAGAGACACATATATACACACAAAAACATGCACACATACACAGACACACATACACATACCTACACATACACACACATATGCACATACACACACATACTCAAATATACACACAGAGACAAACACACCTACACACACAGACACCCATATACACACTTAGACACACATACACACACTTACACAAATACACATACACATACAGCCACACACATACACAAATATACACACATATACACACATACACATGTAGGCACACATATACACACACAGAGACACATACAGCCACACACATACAGGCACACATATACACATACATGCAAACATATACACACATGCACACACATATCCGCACGCACAGACACACACAGACACAGTAGTTGCTCTAAGACTCTGGCACTGGTTTGTCCGGCTTTGAATCTCAAATCTGTTCTTTATCAGACAAATTATCTTAGGCCAAGTACTTAGCCCCTTTTGTGCCTCAGTTTCCTCCTTTGTGAATGGGAGTGATCTTAAGGGTAACTACTCATGGCATTGCTGTGAAGATTAAATGTGGCCATACATGGAAAGTGCCTCACACAAAGCCTGGCGCTGGTGAAAGTTCAGGTCGGCTGTTCTGCTGGCCCCAGCTGTGTTGGGCTTTGCAGTCAGCTTGAACCTCCCTGGAGAAATGGGGTGGAGCTCTGATGGCCCAAACAGATAAGGACTGTCAGAAACACTGCCAGGCCTTCAGACATGAAACCTGATCTTCTAAGACTGGGGAGGAAGGAGGACCCTCCACAAGGCAACTGAAACTCCAAGTCCTCAAGCAAGCTCCCTTCATGGCACTCACAGAGCCCCGCTGATATAACCAGCCTGGATGTGGAGAGGGGGAAAGGCCCCGCTTCCCCTTGATGCTGCCCAAACATGGACATCCAAGCCTTCCCGAGTGTTCCCTAGCTTTCAACTAAAGACCTAACTAAAGACTGAGGCCTAAAAACAGCAAAATTAGCCCAGAGTGAAACCAAAACCAAATACTCTGGCTCACACGCCCTGGGCATCCAGACTCCAGCACACACCCAAACTCCTCAAAGTGCAGGCACAGGACAGGGGCCTGGACAGAGGGACTCCTCTTCCCACATCTCTCCCGACCTCAACCCAGGCCTTGCAGGGCCACAGGGCAGCTGACAGGGCTTAGGAAATAGAGCCCACAACTACCTGCACAGAAGCCTGGCCTTCTCCTTCTGGGTGAAGACCCAGGGCCCCCTGAGGCCAGAGAGAGAGAGAGAGAGAGTGTGTGTGTGTGTGTGTGTGTGTGTGTGTGTGAGAGAGAGAGAGAGCAGGAGAGGAAAGGAGGAAGGAAAGCACCGAGCAAGGTGGAGGAGCCGGGCGTGGTGTCTCATGCCTGTAATCCCAGCACCTTGGGAGGCTGTGGTGGGCGGATCACCTGAGGTCAGGAGTTCGACAACAGCCTGGCCAACATGGTGAAATCTTGTTTCTACTAAAAATACAAAAAATTAGCCGGGCACGGTAGTGGGCACCTGTAATCCCAGCTACTGGGGAGGCCAAGGCAGGAGAATTGCTTGAACCCAGGAGGTGGAGGTTGCAGTGAGCCTAGATAGCACCACTGCACTCCAGCCCGGGTGACACAGCGAGACTGTCTCAAAAAGAAAAAAAAAAGGTGGAGGAGAAAGGGAGAGAGCAGGGGGAGATGACAAGAGAGACACACACAAAAGGACCAGCGTGTCCCACACAGTGGCTTACACCTGTCATTCCAGTGTTTGGGAGGCCGAGGCAGGAGGATTGCTTGAGCCGAGGAGTTCAAGACCAGGCTGGGCAACATAGCAAGACCCCTGTCTCTACACAAATTTAAAAATTAGCCAGGGTCGGTGGCACATGCCTGTAATCCCAGCTACTCTAGAGGCTAAGGCAGGAGGATCGCTTGAATCCAGGAATTGGAGGCTGCAGTGAGCTATGATGGCACCACTGCACTACAGACTAGGTGACAGAATGAGAACCCGTCCCTAAAAAAAACAAAAAAAAAAGGTCAGCCCCAGCAAGCCATCAAGAGTCCAGCTGCTGCTACGAATTGAGGTTCTGTGCATGGATGGACTTTTCCAGCAAATTAAAAATCCAAGCTGCCATCAGCCTGAGCTGTGTGCTAATGAGGGCACTTCTCAGGCTACAGCATGACGGGGGTTGGGGTCCAAGTGCTCCGGGGTGGGTGGAGTGGTCTGTGGGAAGAAGGCAACAGTGACTCTGAGAAGCTGGTGGGAAATCTGCGGAGAGCCACAGCTCTGAAAACCGGGAGGCCTGGTGGGCAGCTCCTAAATGCTGGATTGGAAAACCCATCCTCAAACAGGGTCGATCTCTCGGGGCGCTAAGCCCGTTCCATGACTGCTTCAACAAAGAGCAGAAAACTCAAAGCAGAAACTGTCCAACTCCACCGCCTCTGGGGAGCAGGACTGGGAGGGCCCGCGGCCTTTTCATCACAAGCTCTTCCAGGCTAGTCCACATCTTAGCCACATGTGTGTGTTGCTTCGATAAAAATGAGTTTCTTAAACAGTGGTGAGAGCTGCAGGCAGGCACACTTTTGAGGTTGGCCTCAACCTCAGGCTCCCCGCCACAGGCCCGGCAGAGGGGGTTCCCACCCCTCACTCGCACCAGCCCCCACCTGGCCCAGTGCCCTGGGGATGACCCCAAACGCTCCAAGCTGCCCGGGGTGTTCCCTACCCCTCCTCCTGCCTGGAAGAACGCCTGCGACTTTCTCCACCAGCCGGCTCTGCGCTCCTCTCCGGTTCCCTTCCATGGCGGTTCAGGCCTCCTGCGGGGCATGGGGGTGCAGATGGGTCAGCGGAGCAGAGATCCGCACCTGCCAACACTCACCCACCGCAGGGCACCGCAGCAGGGAGCATGAGCAGGGTCATCAGGGAGCAGCAGCCATCGGGGAGCCCAGGCTCACCCCAGCTTCTCCATCAAGTGACCCCATTCCATCACAGAAAGAAGCGAGACCAAATGAAGCCCCCACCCTGACACATGTGCACGCACGCAGGCACACACGCACATACCCTCTCTCCCCACCCCAACACGTGCATGCACGCATGCACACACACATGCACACACCCTCTCTCCGCATGCACACACCCTCTCTCCCCACCCCAACATGTGCATGCACGCACACACACACACATGCACACATCCTCTCTGAGTGCCTCATCTGTGAAAGGCAGTAGCCACATATGGCATGGTGTGAGGGTTAAACCAGACACTGCACGTGACGGGCCTTACTGCCTCCCCCTCATCCTCTATATTTTATTTTCTACAGCGTGAAAGCCACACATCCACACACCCATACAAAAATGCTGGCCTCGTAACCCCTTCTTGCCCCTCTGTCGCCCCCTCTCCCTAGCCCACCCCCCATGCTCACACACACCCTTCTCTTGGCTAGAGCTGCCTCCACCTTTCTGAGACCTGAATGTCTAACACCATGGGGCTCAGGGAAAGGGGTGCTGGCCTGCGGCAGGGACTCATCATCTTGGCTGCCTCTGGGGAAAAAAGGCTGGTGATGGAGCAGCCCCTTGCATGGGCCTGGAACAGGTTACAGACCATGCCCCCAGGAGCCCTGAAACCAGATGGGAAGCCAGGCCTGGATGGGCACAGCCTCCTCAATCCCCCGAAAGGACCCTCCCTGTTATGGCCGGGTAAGGCTGCAGATAGGAAAGCCTCCTCATTCCTGATCCATCCATAAGACCCTGGGCAAGAGAGAGCCACACTTTCCCCTGAGCTCCAAGGAGCCTGGGAGCTACCAGGGGAGGAACAGGAGGAGGAAGGGAGGGTGGAGGCCGGGCCTGTAGCCCTTACCGGCTCTCTCCCTCCTTCTCCCCTGTACTCCCTCCAGCAAGGCAGATCTGTCTAAGGTGCCAACCTCTTCCCTGCCCAGAGTTTGGGAAGGCTCCCTGCTGCCCTCTTTACCCGGCTAACACCTGTTGATACTTCAGGTCAGCTTAGCCATTACATCCACAGAGAGGCCTTTCCTGATCCTCATGGAAACAGGGCTTCTGCCCCAATCCTCTCTAATGCCCCCTTTCCCTTCACAGCACTGACACAATGTCGAATTATAGTCACATGTGTTAGTGTTTGCTCAATAACTGCCTCTCAGGGCCAGGCGCGGTGGCTCATGCCTGTAATGCCAACACTCTGGAAGGCCGAGGTGGGAGGATTGCTTGAGGCCAGGAGTTTAAGACCAGCCTGGGCAACATAGCGAGACCCCATTTCCACACACAAAATTTTTGTAATTAACCGGGTGCGGTAGGGTGTGCTTATACTCCGAACTGCTTAGGAGGCTGAGGCAGGAGGATCACTTGAGCCCAGGAGTTTGAGGTAACAATGAGCCATGATCACACCACTGCACTCTAGCCTGTGAGACAGAGCAAGACCCTGTCTCTAAAAAAGAATAATAAAATAGCTGCCTCTCCTGGACTGTCAACTCCACGAGGGCAGTGACTGTGTCTTTCTTGTTTACCATGAAATCCGCAGCACCTAGCAGAGCAACAAGTCAAACTCTTTGATTTCCTCCCCAAACCTTACCCTTCCCGAGTCTTCTCCAGCTTAGGAAATGGTCATTCCATTCTTCTCATGGCTCATGCCAAACACCCAAGAGGACGTTCTTGACCAATGCTTCTGACACCCCTCTTCCCATGTGTTGGAAAATCCTGTGGGACTCCACCTGCAGACTACATCGGGATCCAGCCCCTTTTCACCTCCTTCCCCATCCCCTTTGTCCAAGAGGCCTCCACTGGCCTGTGGGCCTGGCCTCCTCACTGTCTCCTGTTCCCCCACTGGTCCCACCACTCTTGATCCTCCACAGAGACAGCACAGAGGACATTTATTTATGTATTTATTTGAGGCAGACTTTTGCTCTGCCGCCCAGGCTGGAATGCAACAGCACAATCTCCGCTCACCACAGTCTCCACCTTCTGGGTTCAAGCGGTTCTCCTGCCTCAGCCTCTTAGCCGCTGTGGTCATCGTGCAGGAAGTAGTCCTCATCTGCAGGACTGTGAGTAGATTTCATTTAAAGGATAAATTGGACTTTAATAGAGACAGAGATTATGACCCTTTCCTGCAGGAATGTCTGAATTATGCTGAGGTACCTGGTATGTGGTGGAATCAGATCACCAAAGAGAAGCCCTTACAGGCCTAAATATTTATATGCATAGCATCCAACTCTGATTCATTCCTTCATGAGCTTTTCTCCCTCATGAACACCCAGCAAGGTGTTCATGCTGCTCCAATAGGACCAGCAGCTCAGCCGTCCCCACAGGGAGGTGCAGGACAGGGACAGAGCTCAGAGGAAGCCCCGGGGAGCCATCTTGTGAGGGAGGTGGGGGCAGGGAGTCACCTTGTCATTCTGAGCTAATGGAATCCTGGAGAAATGCCACGTTTGCATTCTGGAGCCAATTATGGGCCATTATCTCAACCACTGTTGACCTGAGTCTGATTGTTAAAATCTGAAAAACAACAAGGCACAGAAGGAAATTAGAAAACCTTAGCATTAAAAGGTAAGGCCAGGCATAGTGGCTCACACCTGCAATCCCAGCACTTTGGGAGGCCAAGGTGGAAGGACTGCCGGAGCGCAGGAGTTCAGGGCTGATGTGACCTATGGTCACAGCACAGCACTCCAGCCTGAGTGACAGAGCAAGACTCTGTCTCAAAAAAAAAAAAATGGTGAACAGCCTGGGTGGGGCCCTCTGACACACCACAGAAGAGAAGAGGGCCTGGTGCTGGAAGCTTGTTAGCTGTTGCTACCCCCAGCACCTCTGCATGCTTACGGTCTGTATATTCTTCTTCTTTTTTTTTTTTTTTTTTTTTTTTTTTTGAGACAGAGTTTCACTCTTGTTGCCCAGGCTGGAGTGTAATGGCACGATCTCAGCTCCACCTCCTGGGTTCAAGCGATTCTCCTGCCTCAGCCTTCCAAGTAGTTGCGATTACAGGTGCGCACCACCACACCGGCTAATTTTTTTTTTTTTTTTTTTTTGAGATGGAGTCTTGCTCTGTTGCGAGGCTAGAGTGCTGTGGCGCAATCTCAGCTCACTGCAACCTCCAACTCCCTGGTTCAAGGGATTCTCCTGCCTCCGCCTCCCAAGTAGCTAGGATTACAGGCATGTGCCACCACGCCCATCTAATTTTTGTATTTTTAGTAGAGATGGGGGGTGGGTTTCACCATGTTGGCCAGGATGGTCTCGATCTCCTGACCTCGTGATCCACTCGCCTCGGCCTCCCAAAGTGCTGGGATTACAGGCATGAGCCACCATGCCCGGCAGTCTGTGTGTATTCTTTATCCACCCATTACTTTCTCCTAGCTTAGTAGTGAAGTTCCTTCAGGAAGTTTCTCCATTCCCGGACTCTATTAGGGAAAAAGCCAAGTGTGTCTTGGTTCTACTACCAGCTATGGGTTAAGAGTGGACATCTCTAAAGGTTTCGCTCAGAGAAGGCCAGAGAATCAAAGTTAAAAAAAAAACCACAAAGGGTGCCAGGCGTGGTGGCTCACACCTGTAATCCCAGCACTTTGGGAGGCTGAGGCAGGTGGATCACCTGAGGTCAGGAGTTGGAGACCAGCCTAGCCAACGAGGTGAAACCCCGTCTCTACTAAAGATACAAAAAATTAGCCATGCATGGTGGCGTGCGCCTGTAATCCCAGCTACTCGGAAGGCTGAGGCAGGAGAATGCTTGAACCCGGGAGGTGGAGGTTGCAGTGAGCCGAGATCATGCCATTGCATTCCAGCCTGGGTAACACAGCAAGACTCCGTCAAAAAAAAAAAAAAAAAAAAAACACATACACACACACAAGGGGAAGTGAAACTCTTGGGAGAATTTTTGTGAGCTCTTCTCCTCCCTAGAAATGACAGAGTACAGCAGTTAAAAATTTGGTCTCTAGGCCAGGCATCATGGCTCATGCTTGTAATCCCAGTACTTAGGGGGCCTGAGGCAGGAGGATCACTTGAGGCTGGGAGTTTGAGACCAGCCTGGGCAACATAGCGAGACCCCGTCTCTACAAAAAATTAAAAATTTAGTCGGGCATGCTGGCACATGCCTGTGGTCCCAGTTACTCAGAAGGCTAAGGTGGGAGGACTGCTTGAGCCTGGGAGTTCAAGGCTGCAGTGAGCTATGATTGTACCATTGCATTCCAGCCTGGGCAACAGAGAGAGACCCTGTCTCAAAAAATTTTTCGACTTTGGTTCCAGGAGTCCACATCTTGGTTCCATTACTTACTAGCTATATATTCTTGGGTGAGGTACTCTTTGGGTTCCCTGTCTGTTAAAAAAATTGTCCTAACCGCTAGGCGCGGTGGCTCACGCCTGTGATCCCAACACTTTGGGAGGCTGAGGCGGGCAGATCACTTGAGGTCAGGAGTTCGAGACCAGCCTGGCCAACATGGTGAACCCCGTCTCTACTAAAAATACAAAAAAAAAATTAGCTGGACATGGTGGCGGGCAGCTAGTTGGGAGGCTGAGGCAGGAGAATTGAACCTTGAACCCAGGAGGCGGAGGTTCCAGTGAGCCAAGACCATGCCATTGCACTCCAGCCCGGGCAACAAGAGCAAAACTCTGACTCAAAAAAAAAATAAAAATAAAAATAAAGGTCCTCACTCTGTTTTGAGAACTAAATGAGCTAATTCTTTTTTTTTTTTTTTTTTTTGAGATGGAGTCTCACTCTGTCCCCCAGGCTGGAGTGCAGTGGTGCAATCTCGACTCACTGCAGCCTCCGCCTCCAAGGTTCAAGCGATTCTCCTGCCTCAGCTTCCCAAGTAGCTGGGATTACAGGCGCCCGCCACCACACCCGGCTAATTTTTGTATTTTTAGTAGAGATGAGGTTTTGCCCTGTTGGCCAGGCTGGTCTTGAACTCCTGGCCTCAGGTGATCTGCCCGCCTCAGCCTCCCAAAGTGCTGGGATTACAAGCATGAGTCACCGTGCCTGGCTAAATGAGCTAATTCTTACGAAATGTACTCAACAAGCGCTTGGCACATAATAAGCACTCAGTGGCTGTCCACTTTCCTTATGTGACTCCCACGGTAGTTCCAATCTGCTCAGTCTCAGAGAGATCAGCTAGCAGCTAGCTCCCAGCAAAGGCAAACTTCTTTCAAGAGGGAGACGGCAGATATGAGCCCCTAGACTCTTAGGGGAATAAGGTCTCATAGAGTCCGGTAGATTATATTCTTGCCCAGATTAAACAGACTCTTTCGGAAAGTCCCCTCTCCCTTGCTCTGGTCGGAATTAATTCAGTCTTGTCTCTGTGATCGCCACTGAAGAGCTTATCACCTCTGATCAAGGTGTGTTTAATTGGTCAGGCTCCCTAGCAGATTTTTTGAGGTCTGGAACTAAATTCGAGTCATTCTCCTATCTCAAACAAACCTCAAAACAAAAAGATTTTGATGTGGGCAATTCATTCACTCCTCACTGCACCTCTGAGGAGAGGTCTGCAGGAAGCTTCCCAGGGGAAAGTCTCCCTGTGGCTCAGAGAAGAAAGCACTTAAAAAGGAACCATGGCCGGGCACGGTATACTAGAAATAAGAAGAAAAAAGGATTAAAACATGCTCATGGCAGGTTGCGGTGGCTCACTCCTATAATCCCAGAACTTTGGGAGGCCAAGGCGAGTGGATCACCTGAGGTCAGGAGTTTGAGACCAGCCTGGCCAATATGGTGAAACCCTGTCTCTCCTAAAAATACAAAAATTAGCCAGGCATGGTGGCAGGCGCCTGTAATCCCAGCTACTTGGGAGGCTGTGACAGGAGAATCACTTGAACCCAGGAGGTAGAGGTTGCAGTGAGCTGAGATTGTGCCACTGCACTCCAGCATGGGTGACAGAGCTAGACTCCATCACAAACAAACAAACAAACAAACAGACAAACATGCTCATGGCCAGGCATGGTGGCTCACACCTGTAATCCCAGCACTTTGGGAGGCCAAGTCAGGCAGATTGCTGGAGTCCAGGAGTTTGAGACCAGCCTGGGCAACATGGCGAGATCCCCATCTCTACAAAACATTAAAAAAAATTAGTTGCATGCAATAACAAACCTGTAGTTCCAGCTACTTGGGAGGCGGAGGTGGGAGGATTGAACCCAGGAGATCGAGGCTGCCGTGTTCCTGCCACTGCACTCCAGCCTGGGTGACAGAGAGAGACCTTGTCTCACACATACACAAAAAAAGGAATCAGAAAGTAAGTTCCTACCCTTGGACTCTAGTCTCAGTGACTCAGTTTCTTCATCCATACTTGCAAAATAAGAAAGTAACCTCCACTTCATCACCTCCCTGGGTGGGTAAGAAGTCAAATGTGGTGACCCTCAGGACAGTCCAGTGTTTTGTAGATGTCTCCATCAGACATTTCATTCCTAGTGGTGGGGAAGCCTCGCCTCATTAAATGTCCTTTGGCCTCTGTTCAGCCTCCAGGAGTGGGTGTTCCAGTAGAATTCTTCTTTAGACTTTGAGTGTCTTCATTTAGCCAAAGGAAATCACAGAAAAGCTATATGACCCAGGCCAGAGATCTCAGAGTCTTCCTTGCCTGTGAGCAGGAGGGCTGCACAGCCCTGCCTATGGGCTGTGGCTCTGCTGTCAGCTCTTTCCTGAGGAATGCAGCCTGGGCCACCGCCTGTGAGGGCTCCTGCTGGGGGAGTCCATTCCCCTTCTCCCTTCCTCCATTTGCAATCACTATTTATTTATCTTTGGAAGTTCAAGGAACCAGAGAGCCTGCAACTGGGGGAGATCTGTGGAGCCAGGGAGGGAAAGTGAAGAAGCCAACATCTAGGCCCCTGCCTGCCGCCAACGCCAACGGGCAAGAGAAGAAAGCCATTCCCTGCATAGTCAGGGTAGACTTGGCTGACAGGCACAGGGGCCCTAGAAAAGGCACCACCGCACATCAGCAGGGCTAAGCTCACTAAAGAATGTGGCATTCACCTTGGGGACCGCTTGGGTGGTAGAGTGAAGGAGGGGGAACGGGAGTCCTGCCCCATCCCGGCAGCTCTATTAAGCAACAGAAAGGTGAGCTTCTGTGGGGAAACAGAGGAAGCAGACCCCTGGGCTGCACTTCTTACTGCCTGTCCCCAGCCCTGGTTCCGGTGTACTGCAGGCTGTTTTTTTTTTAATTAATTTATTTATTTATTGAGACGGAGTCTCACTTTGTCACCAGGCTGCAGTGCAGTGGCACGCTCTCAGCTCACTGCAACCTCCGCCTCCTGGGTTCAAGCAATTCTCGTGCCTCAGCCTCCCAAGTAGCTGGGATTACAGGCGCCCACCACGACGCCCGGATAATTTTTGTATATTTAGTACAGACAGGGTTTCATCATTTTGGCCAGGTGGATCTCAAACTCCTCACCTCAAGTGATCCGCCCGCCTCGGCCTCGAAAAGTGCTGGGATTACAGGTGTCAGCCACCGCGCCCGGCCTGCAGGCAGCTTTATACCCACCACTAGTTGTCAAGGTCACCCCTGCCACCACCAGTCCTCTGCCTTTGGAAACCATGTGCCCCTCCCCCCCACCACACTCTCTTATTCTAATGCCACGATTTACTGGGCATCTAATGCCACTCTATAAACTGGGGAGCAGGCAGAGCCCCATTTCAACCCCAGAGATCTGCTACCCCAGCAAGCTAGGGGCTGTGTCCAAGGTCAGACAGTAATGAGAGGCAGAGCCGAGTCTGGAATAGGGGTCTCCAGACTCACTGCGCAGTGCTCTTTCCACACCCTGCTGCAAAGCCCTGCTCCTTCTCATCTACTTTTCCCTTGTCCCACTCACTGTCCCCGAAACACACACACACACACACACACACACACACACAGCGTTGTGGAAAATGTAGGAGGCCCAGTCTAGCCTCTAGCCTTGTCTGCCTTGGCCTTTGACCTCTCCTTGGCCGAATGACATGCACCCCCCGCTGAGCGAGGTCACCGCAGCGGAGGAGGGTCTGCTGCCTCCTTGTCTCGGCTGCCATCCTCCTGCGGCTGCCTCCACCGGAGCTGGAAGGAGAGTGAGAGCCGACTTCCAGACTGATCATCGTGTCAGGGGCCAAAGGAAACCTCGGAGCCTTCCACCAAGTTCAACCCAAAACAGGGCGCCCCAGACGTCTCTGTCCAAGCCCGCGGGTCCAGGAGGGCCCCAGCAGCCTGGAGACGCAAGCTGCACCGGCACGGACGAGGGAAATTTTGTGGAAGGTGGTGGTGGTCGGCTCAGAGGTCTGAGATGGGTTGCGGAAAGGAAGGGTCCTGGCCCGGGGCGCGGGGACAAGCGGGAGAGGAGTGTTGGTGCAGGGCGGGCGCGGGGACGCAGGGTCCTCGAACCAGCTGGCCCGCCCCCACTCGGCAGAGGGTCTAGGCCTGGCCGCGTGTCGGTCGGCGCTAGGGCCCCGCGGAAGGCCCGGGCGGGCGGGGACCGGCGGCGGGAGCGGCGCGGCGCGGAGCTGCCTCCATCCATGGCACGGAGCGGCGGCGGCGGCGGCAGCAGGAGCCCGGCGCGATCCGCTAGGTCCCAGCCCAGCGCCCAGCGAGCAGGCGACGCGGAGGGGCCGGGCCTCCAGTGTCCCGAGGGCCGGGCGCTGAGACTCCGGCCGCGCAGCTGGGAGCTGCCCGCGCTGCGCTGACAGCCGCGCCGACGTCCTCCCCGCCGGGGCGCTCGCAGGACATGCCCCCGGGGCGCGGCGGCGGGGACCCCGGGGCTCGCCTCCGCCCAGGGCCCCCCTCCACGCCCTCGGGAGCCCCGGGCCCCCGCTGAGCACTCCTCCCGCACGCCTGGGTCCCTCCGGCCGGCGCGCAGCCCGGCCCCAGCGCTGTGGGTCCCCGCGGGGCGATGGGTTGATGGGCGCCGGGGGACGCAGGATGCGGGGGGCGCCCGCGCGCCTGCTGCTGCCGCTGCTGCCGTGGCTCCTGCTGCTCCTGGCGCCCGAGGCTCGGGGCGCGCCCGGCTGCCCGCTATCCATCCGCAGCTGCAAGTGCTCGGGGGAGCGGCCCAAGGGGCTGAGCGGCGGCGTCCCTGGCCCGGCTCGGCGGAGGGTGGTGTGCAGCGGCGGGGACCTCCCGGAGCCTCCCGAGCCCGGCCTTCTGCCTAACGGCACCGTTACCCTGTGAGTACCCTACCAGGCCAGTTCCGTCCGAGCCGGGACTGGGGACGAAGGGAGGCGAGACGGGAGGGGTGGGAGCAGGGGGAAGGGGGCTATCCCCCCACTTCAGAGATTTCTGGACAGGCCTGGGTTCAGGCCCCCAGAGGGGAAGATTGGAGGAGCAGGGGAGAGACTGGGGCTCCAGGAGCGTGGAGGCGGGAAGGGGCTGCGGGGGACAGGCGCACCCCAGAGAAAGGCACCGCAGGCGCCCACTCACCTGCACAGGTGAAGTGGAGAGCACGCCTGCAGGGCACCCACGCCCCGGATTTCCAGCCTGGACTAGGGTTGCGGACTTTGGGGACCTGAGAAGGGTGAGAGCGGGGAATGCTCAGGAAAGATCGACGCTCGTGGCCCAGGAGGGGGCTGTGGTCCTAACCACTACGGTCGCGTCCCGGACTGGGCTGGAGGAGTCTCCGGATTTACCTGGCTGGCCTTGTCCCTTCAATTGGGGTCATCCCATCCTTGCCCCCTGGCCTGCCAGCGCCGCTTCCAGCCGGTCTCCTTAGGGCAAGGGGAGGCTGGGCTCAGAAAAGTCGGCCCTTGGAATACCGGCGCTCCTGGGCTGCAGGAGACCCTGGCGTCCCCATCCCTCTAGAGGCCCCTCTCCCACGGCGCCGTTTGTGCAGTGAGCTCTGTGCTGGGTCCCGCGTCCTTGCCTCTCCTTTGCCTCTCCTGGAAGTAACTCGAGCTTTGGCTGTTTCTCCATTGACTTCGCGCAAAGATTGCGAAGAAAGAAACGCGGCTGGGGAAGCGGGGTTCCCTCACCGCAGCCCACCCGGGCCTCCTTCCGCGACTTCCCTCTTAGTCAGGGCCTCAGTACGCCTTTGCTTTGCTGGCAGCGAGCGCTGCAGCGCCGCAGCCCGACCCCAAGCCTCCTACAAGGGGGTCGCAAGTCCCAGCAGCCGCGCGAGCATTGGCGACCCCTCCCCACCGCAGAGATTTCCTGCGCCGACCACGTGCTCGCAGCTCCACGCACGCCGTGGATTTGAGGGTCGGGCCCCCGCGGCCGCCGCTTCCTTTCCTGTCCCAAATCCAGCCTAAGAGCCGCTTCCCTTTCCCTGTCCTCCTGACCCCAGTGGCAACCGTTTCTCCACCGCCCCTTGCCCGCAGTCGGGGCTGGCCCAGTCTTTTCGATTGTGTCCAGAACAATACAGTAACGCCTCTGGTTGGGTGAGTTCAGAGGCTGCCCGCTTCCTGACAGGACACAACTGGTCAGCCTCTGACGCTGGCCGCCCGGCCTGCATTTTCCCCGGCCCGGGTGTGTGTGTGCATGTGTGTGCCTTAAGGGTGGAGGCGGTGTGTCTGCTCGCTGCCGCCTCCCTGCTGCTCAGGGTAAGGCTGTGGCCAGGGAAGGCACCTGTGGCTGTTCAGGGCAGCTCTCTCTGACTGTCCGCTGGGGTTTGAGGGTCCAGGCAGGCCTGGGCATTCCCCAGCTCACTTAGTTCTGGAGGAGAAAAATGCTTGCTCTGCGGAACAGTCGGTAGCGTCTGCGTGAGTCCCAGCTGCATAAGAATTCAGAGCTGAGGCCGGGTGCGGTGGCTCAGGCCTGTAATCCCAGCACTTTGAGAGGCAGAGGCGGGTGGATCACGAGGTCAGGAGTTCGAGACCAGCCTGACCAACATAGTGAAACCCCGTCTCTACTAAAAATACAAAAATTAGCCAGGCGTGGTAGCGCGCGCCTGTAATCCCAGCTACTCAGGAGGCTGAGGCAGGAGAATCGCTTGAACCCGGGAGGCGGAGGTTGCAGTGAGCCGCGATCACGCCATTGCACTCCAGCCTGGGCGACAGAGCGAGACTCCGTATAAAAAAAAAAAAAAAAAGAATTCAGAGCTGAGAGCTGTGCGTGCATGTGTGCACACTCTTGTGTCTGCTCATGCACATATGTGGGATGTGTGTTCTCTGCGTGTCTCTGTGTCAGGGTTAGGGAATCCTAACATATCAAAGGCAGAAGGAAGTGGGGGAGGCGGTAGATAGAAAGGCAGTTTTGCAGTACATCTTAGAATGATCAGGCCATGGTTAATTCCTATCCACGCCACTCCACAGAGAGAGCTGGGCCAGCTCTTGGTAAGAATACATTAGAACCGGCTGGCAGCAAAGGTGACCCCTAGCTCACCCTCCAATCCCAAATCCTCCCAGGCCACTGAGCCATCAGGCTTAGGATAGGATACCCTTTAAGGAGCAGCCCCAGAGCCTGGCTCTGGACTTCCCCACAGGGACACAAACAGGGCAGGCCAGGGACACCCTGGAGAGCCCACGGGTCCTTCAGCCTGGAGGGTAATGGAATCCCCAGCCACAGACTTACTGCTTAGCTCTCCCACCAGACTTCGCATAATCCTCATCCTCATGGCACCCCCCAATCCCCACCAGCTGGCTTCGGAAAGAAAAAGAACCCAGGCTCTCCTTCAGCAGAAGCTGGGCAAAGGTTCCTTCCTCTGAGGCTCAGTCCCTCCAGCACCCCCACACCCACCCCAGGATGCATCTTGAGGGAGGGAGCAGGAGAAAGTCTGTGTAGGGGCTGAAAGGGGATGATCTGTCTCCTCCCCATCAGGAAGGGTTACAGCCAACAGCCCTCTAACAACAACAAAAACCCCAGGTTAACAAGAGAAAAGCATAACTCACGTATTACTGTTACGCACACATGTGTGCACAGGAGTCAGTAAGGCTGAAATGCTCTCTCCACAGAGGAGAGATGTATGGACCGGGAGGTGGGAGGTGGCTGGCAGTTGATGGGACTCCGGAGAAGGTGAGCTGCACAGAAGCAAAGGTGGTTTTATTATGCGGATTTATGCGGATCACACCTCTCAGGTGATCTCTCAGAGCTCTCCGAGTAGATGAGAAGTCTGGGTGCGGTGACAACTCCCAGACTCTTCTCCCGCTCTATCTTGGTTATTTGCTGAGATCTCTAGGGAGGAGGTATTAAGACCATTGCCTTTATTTCGAGGAGAAGTTTTCTCCATCAGGTAAGGGAATTCCAGGGAGAGTGCCCCATCCCTGCGCTGGGGGAACAGGGGACAAGATAAGTTAGGAGGATCTTGGTTCTGAACTCCAAGTTTTGAGGCCCCTAAGGTCTCTCAGTGTGTCAAAGTGCCTGGTCTTTGAGGTATCGCTCTCTGAGCCCCTGCATCTGGGAAGGAGGGAGCTGCCGCTTCTTTTGCCCAGCAGCAAAGCCAGAGGACAAGAGCTGAGAGCCGCCCCACACAAATGGCCAGACTCATTTCCAAACTCCTCCTTCGTACTTTATTTATTTATTTTTTCCTGCCACGAACATTTTCCTTTTCACCTTTTAGCTTGTCACCTGGTGCAAATAAAACTGGAGCCATTCATTTTTGCATTTTGGCTTTATCCTCCCTCCCCATCTCCCCCACATTCCCATGGAAGACCCTTTTTTTCCTCCAAGATGGGGCCCCGGGGCACTCAGGATTGATCCTTGGGGAGTCTGAGTGCTGGGGGCTGTTCAGGCATGAAGGTGGGGTCCCTGTCTGCGGAGAGCCTCCTCCTGCACTCTGAGAAAGCCTTCCTGCAGTCAGAGGCGACCCCGTTCACAGTCCCATTTACCGCATGGAAAGCCCTCCCGCCACCTCCACCCATTATCTCAACTCTGCCTTCTGTTTTTGCATCCCCTGTCTCCCCCATCCTTTGCATATTTTTCTCTAGTGGATTTTCATTCGCAGTTTTCCAGGAAAGCTGAGCTCTTGGCTTCCTTCCTGATCCCTCTGTCCCACCCCACCCCCCAGGCTCCCAGCCCAGTCTGCAGGGCAGCTGTGGGCACCCGTGCTTCTGAACAGAGAGAGCAGGAGCCTTTGTGGGCCTCCCCCAGGGAAAAGGTCCCACGGGGGGTGGCTTATGACAGGGAGAACCTGGGTGTGGGAGGAAGGTGCAGACCACTGTGAGCCCCAGTATTACTCGGCAGCAGCTGAGGGCTGAGGTTCTCAGCTCTGGGAGTGAGTGAGGGGGAAGGGGGCTGAGGATAAGGAATTCCAGGAAAGGACTGTTTGTAGATAACTCCAGAAGGAAATCTATAAAGACCTCCTAGGACATCTGAGCAGGCACTCCGAGGATACCAGCCAGTGTCATAAATTCCCAGACGGCCTGGGCTCCAAAGGATCTTAGCGATAAGGAAGCCCAGTCCCACATCTTACAGCTGAGCAAACTGAGGCCAGGAGAAGAAGGGTGCCTTGCTGACAGTCACACAGTCGGCTGGGGCTGGCGCCGGGATGGGCATTGCATTCCTGCCAGGTGAGGGCCTCGCTGCTCACCTGGCTGAACTTGGGACCCATTAGACACAAAAGACACTTTAAAAAACCCGGTTCCTTCCCAGCAGGATCTGAGCCCTTTTGACCTGGGAACATTCCAGGCTGGGCAAGGAGAGGTCACTTTGAATTTCCCCAGAACAGGCAAACCCTCAACCTGCTCGGCCTCCCATTCAGGGAAGCGGGGGTGCCCACCACGCAGGCTGCCCACCTAGGGGAGAAGAGGCTGTCTGCCGCAGGTGTGCCTAGCACGGGCTGGGTTCTTCTGCTGGGATTTCAGTGGTCTTTGTAGGGGAAGTTGAGGAAGATGGGCCTCAGGGAAGTGGTTCTTGAGCACAGGTCTCCCTCTGGACCTCCAGCTGCTGGCTGGGACTCACTTCAGGGCCCCTCGTTACAGCCACCAGGATCCAGTTAGGGGAATTTGGGCAAAGTGTGCCAAGCGTCGTGCACATGGCCCGAGGGCAGGACAAGGATGCTGGTGGAGGGGCGGGCCCAGGCCGGCGCCTCCACCCCCTTCTCTTCCACCAGCTTTCCCCCATATGGTTCTCATAAGGTCTGGGCGCAGAGACAGCAGCCAGAGGAAGTGGCTGTGTACAGAGAGCTTTTGTGAGAGAAGAGGGGGAGGGGGAAAGAGCAAAGAAAAAGAAGGAAAGAAGAGAGGGAAGAGGCCAGAGACAGAGAAGGCCAGAGCAAGCCCAGAGACTCCAGCACCCACTCCCCTCCCCACCCAGGGGTGCAGGTCTTAGCTGCGGCACCCCCACCCGGGCTCCGGGACCTCGCCTGTTCAAAGGCAGGGGCCCAGCAGAAACCTCAGTCTCTCCTGGACTCTTCCCCACCACCCACTGGAGAAGCTGGAGGTCGCTAGCTCAGGATACAGGAATTCCACCCATCCATCCTCTGGGGCCTGGAAGCCCCTCCCCTGAGAGCTCCCTCTGCTGCAGGATGTTAGAGTCAGGGTCCCATCCTAGGGAGAGCCCTGGGCAGAGCTCAGAGCTCTCTGGGGCTCACTGGTTGAATGAAGAAAACTGCAGAGGCCATCGTGCTGGCTCCTAAGGGGGCACTTGTGACTCCGCCCCCAGTGGGTCCAAGATCCCAAATGTGTTATTTGGCCGGAGTTACTCCTGCATGTGCATGAACCCAACCACTCCTGAAGCCACCGAAGTCCCTGCCTGCTGGCTACCACGGCTCTCCCCTCTGTGATTAGGGAGGGGGAGTGGCAACCCCTCGTCCTGGGGGGAGTGTGAGAATTTCCCCCAAAGGCACAGGCAAACCAGTGTAATTTGAACCTAACCATAAATTGACCCTTCAATGCGGGTCATGTTTTTAAAGAAAGAGAGTGTTTCTAAGTTTATCCCACATGGGAGTCATTGGGAGAAGAACCCTTTCCTGATGGAGAATAAGTTCCAGCCACCTCTGAGTTGATCGCTGTCCTTCCACTCCGTGGAGGCACCGGCTGCTCCCCTCAGCAAAGTCCAGAGAGGGGAGGAGAGTTCCCGGACAGCCTGGACCCAGACACTGCTATCTTCCCCATCACCCCAGAGGTAGAGGCTGCCCCAGCCTCCCTGGGAGCAGCCAGAGAGCAGGGGCGGGGAGAGGAGGGAAATGGCCCGGGACTGGGGGACCAGAAGGAAGATCCGCTAACCGCTAGGAAGGGCTGCTCAGAGGGGCTGTTTATTTTCATTCCCCCAGCCCAGCCGCTCTGTTCTATTTACAGCTCAGACACTGACAGGACGAAGCTGCCTCCTCCCCTTCCTCCCTCCTCCAGGGGCCCCCATCCTTCCCAAACTCCAGAACATTCCTTTGCTTTCAGGACTGGGTTATGGGGGGAGGGGGCAGAGAAGCCGTGGAGTGTAGGTCACTCCAGCAGCCTCCCAGGACACTCTCAGCTCTCCCAGCCCTTTCCTGGGAGCCAGGGATGTGTGCAGGATGGATGGGGCCAGGTGAGGCACGGGAGCCCCATCTGTCACAGAGGAGCAGGCAATGGACAGGGTGGGAGAGCGAGTCCTGGGGAGGGAGTTCCAGCCTCAACCAAGGGGCCAGACATCTCCCAGCTGGGAAGGGAAGAGAAGGTCTCAGGGCCCCCTCTACCGCCTCTGTTCCTCCCTCTCCTCCTCCCTTCCCCTGCCAGGGCTCCTAGCCTTGCTGGGAATTGTGTATCAAGGCAGAAACTATGACTTCAGGCTTCAGGAGACTCAGCATCCAGGATGGGAAAGACCATCAAAGATAAGATGTGGGGTCTCCAGTCTACCCCCAGGGAGGGGCCAGCCTGCCCACGGTGAGACACACACACACACACACACACACACACACACACACACACACACACACACACGGCTCTTAGCCAGGCAGCTCTAACTAGACCCCAGGGCTCCTGCCTCCCATCCCCTCTGCTGTTAGTCTGTGCAGGTGGGAACCTAGAGACAAAGCCACCAAGGGCAGCCACATCTCCAGGAGAAAGGAAGAGGAAGCAAGACAGAGAGATCTGGAGACTGTGAAGCTTCTCAGACCTCTTGAAAGCTTCACCACCCTCAGTCTCAAACAGTGACACTGCCCCAGGCAGCAGGGGCCCTGGAGGCCACACCTGCCCACTCTGCTGATGGCAAGGGTGTTTTCTGATGAAAATGCAGGCACGTGGGACTGGGAGTTTAAGCGGCCTGACCCCAAAAATAGTACTTCCTGACTTCACTTGAGGAGGGTTGCCGAGATACAGAATAGGTTAGCAAACAGGAGGTCAAAATACAGGTTTATTGTTGATAAAAACTGTTGGAACACCTAGCTTAGAGGTTCAGCAGCCATGAGTTTAGTCAGAGCTGCCCACCCAGGGGACATCCGAGTCCCACTCCCAGCCCCTCTGAAGGAGAGCCCCCACATTAAACAGCTCTGCAGGCAGGAAGGTCTGGGGCCTCTTTGCACACTGACCAATCAGAGGAGCCATCCCTGGAGATGGGACAGAGCAGATGCCCTAATCCGTTTTCCTCCACATGGATACATGAGCCAGGGAAAAGGGGCTCCCCCGACCCCATAATGGCCTAACAAGTACAAGCGTACTCACGGGGTCCCTGTACATAAGCACTGCATGGAGTATTTGAAATCAGTCTGACCCAGGAAATGTGCAACCCATGGTCTCTAAAACGCCCTTCCAACTGTTTCCTCTTCCTCTCTGGCACCACCTCGGGTAGCTTCAGACAATGTGACCCCTATGGGTGTGGCATCCCAGAAAGGCTGTACCGTGGAGCCCGGCTCACTCAGAGAAGGATGGATGCTATCTCCTAGGTGTTGGGGAGAGAGAGGGAATTGGAGGTAGAAAGAAACTGCCGTTTGGCTTGGGGAAACCCAGGGCTCAGCAGTGAACTCTCTGTTGACCAAACATCCCCTCCATCCTGGAGCTCTGCCCCTGTCACTCAGCCAATGCCTACAGTGTATCTTCACCCCATGGGAGGAGGCAAAAGACCCAGGCTCTGCCCTTCTGTCCTTACAGTCTCCTGGAGACAGGTACCAGCTTACAACGCCGGACAGGATCAGGGTAGCAAATATAGCTTCTATGGAGGAAAGGTCAAAGATGAGTATCTGCGTAGGTAGAAAACATTGATAACTTCCATCCTTTTGGGTCTGTTTGTATTTTAAAAGAGGTCTGCGCCGCGTGTGTTGGCCCTTCCCTGTAATCTCAGCTACTCTGCAGGCTGAGGCAGGGGGATCACTTGAGGCCAGGGGTTCAAAACCATTCTGGGCACATAGAGATCCGTGTCTAAATTTTTTTTTTCTTTTTTGGCCAGTCACGGTGGCTCACGCCTGTAATTCCAACACTTTGGGAGGCCGAGGTGGGTGGATCACGAGGTCAGGAGTTCGAGACCATCCTGGCTAACACAGTGAAACCCCGTCTCTACTAAAAATACAAAAAATTAGCCGGGTGTAGTGGTGCGCGCCTGTAATCCCAGCTACTCATGAGGCTGAGGCAGGCGAGTTACTTGGACCCGGGAGGTGGAGGTTGCAGTGAGCCGAGATCGTACCACTGCACTCTAGCCTGGGCGACAGAGTGAGACTCCTTCTCAAACAAAAACAAACAAACAAACAAACAAACACTTTTTTTTGTTAGCTGGGCATGGTGGCATACTAGCTAGTCCAGAGGCTGAGGCAAGAGGAGTTCAAGACCAACCTGGGCAACATAGTGAGACCTCCATCACCACCTACCCCTCAAAGAGGTCTGCTTTCTTCACTCAAAAGTTTGGCTCCCCCCGGGGGGCTTTTAGGTTGTGCATGGAGGAAATGTTTAAGGTCAGTTGGGGGTAATTTCCCAGCCTCCACAAATCAGGGGGACACAGACACACACATAGATGAACATTCCATCCTGTTGGACACATCTCCCTCCACCTCCTATGAATGGAAGTTTGCAGATATGTGATGTATGATTTATGTTTGTAGGACTAGCCTGTTACACAAGGCTGAGTGCACAGTGGCTGTTAGGTAGCTCTGAGCAATGAATGAATGAATGGATGAATGAATGAATACCTAACTGTGGATGATTACAGCAGACTATGTTCCTTGTGCTCAAGCCAGGATGCTGTGACCCCCAAATCCCCATCAAGGTATACTGATTACCCCCAACTGTTTCCTCTTCCTCTCTGGCACCACCTCGGGTAGCTTCAGACAATGTGACCCCTATGGGTGTGGCATTTTCTTTTTCTTTTTCTTTTTCTTTTTTCTTTTTCTTTTTTTTTTTTTTTTGAGACAGAGTCGAGTCTCACTCTGTCACCCAGGCTGGAGTGCAGTGGCACGATCTTGGCTCTCTGCAACCTCTGCCTCCTGGGTTCAAGCAATTCTCCTGCCTCAGCCTCCCTAGTAGCTGGGACTACAGATGCATGCTACCTTGTCCAGCTAATTTTTGTATTTTTAATAGAGACGGGGTTTCACCATGTTGGCCAGGCTGGTCTCGAACTCCTGACCTCAAGTGATCCATCCACCTTGTCCTCCCAAAGTGCTGAGATTACAGATGTGAGCCACTGCGCCCGGCATGTAGCCCATTTTCTTAGGCTTCTGTCTCCAGATTCTGTCCCAAAGCCACAGATTCCCTTCCCATCCAAGCCCCAGTTTCTTGGTTCCCCCTGCTCACCACCAAGTTGGGGTGCCCTTGTAGAGAGGGTAGGTTAGAGAAAGGAGACTAGACCTATGAGAGAAGGCAGGGTGGAGCAGGACTCACTGCAGGTCTGTTTTCTCTCATGGCCTGGGCCTCCAGCCCTGCCTGGACAGCCCAGCTTCCAGGCTGGGTTCAGGGGCAGTCTCAGGACCCAACCCCCTAAAGCCCCTCCCTAGGCCTCCTTCTATTGCCAGTCGGTGTTCAGGGCTGACCTGACAAGCGTCCAGCCCAGGGAAGGGTGGCAGGGAAGTGCAGGAGCGGGCAGAACACCTTACATGTCCTCACCAACATTTATGTCCCTTGCAGTCAGGCTAAATGCATGTGAAGGCAGCCACGGAGGGACGGGAAGCCACAGGCCAGCCTTTCGCTTGAGGTTGTGTGTTGAAACAGGGCCTGTGCACGGCGAGCATCCTCACTTTTGGAGGTCTTACTGTCGTATCAACCATACTAAAATGTACCCACATCCGTCATCGAACATAATAATTATTGCTAATGACATAGTATGACATTGGGTAATTATGTCATTAAGCATTGGTTAATTTCCGTCTTTGCAGCATCTATATTTTAGAGGCAATGCTTCTTTTTTAGGTTTTAGGCATCTCTTTGAGCCCTGGAAATGCTCAAAGGCACAGCGGCTGCAGGGGAGGCTGAGAGCTCTGATTTCGGTGGGTGTTCGAGCCCCAGGGCTTTTTGGCATCAGCAAGCAGACTGCCCCCTACCAGTTCTGTGATGGTTTCCCTAAGACACGGCCAAGCTGCCAGTGGCAGGTGTTGGAGACAGGGCCTCCCAGACTCTGGGAACCTTTAGGAACCTAGTGATGGCCTGAACCGATGGAGGCTCCAGGATCAGACTCCCTAGGGAGTATGGATATCCCAAGTCCAGAGAGGAGCTCATTGGGTCTGAGTGGTTGGCAGGGGGCTGACATGCATGACTCTTCCCGCACATGTGAGAAACATTTAGTTCAGGCATGTGCTATGTGCCCACGTGACTCCTGCAGGGTCATCTTTGATGTTGGGGTGGTATCTGGTACGTTCCTGCGGCTGCCCAGAGCCCACAGAGCCTCTCTGTAGACGCCAGCCGCTTGCTCCCTTGGCCTCCAGCCTCATTAGTGGGAACTCTGCTTGCTTCTCTCCCACAAAATGGGACCCCAGCCGGGAGAGAGTTCTGGAATGGACTCGGTGTGCCCCCTCTCTCTGGCCAGATTTCAAACTCTGAAGTAGAGAACAGGAGACTCCAGGGACTGGCCCTCCTTCCTGTGAAAAGCTTGACATTAGGAGTGGGAGAAGGGCGTGGGAGGGAGGGAAGAAAGAAGCCGAAGATGCCTGGCCAGGCCAGCCAGGGCTCTGGGGCAGAGCTAGTGTGTGGTTGGGCAGGACATCTACCTGGCTGGCCCCCGTGAGGTTTTAGGGTCAGAGGACGGAGCAGGTTGAGGAGGCGTCTGTCTTGTGGGGGTTGAAGAGGGCCGAGGCTGACCCTATGTCTGTGTTGGATGGAGCTGTGGGTCCAAGGCTCCCTCCTTCCCTGCCCAATTGTGGCCACTTTGCCTGCTTTCCTCCCAGGGGACAGCCTAGAATGGTGGGAACATTTTTCTGCCCATTGGATGAAGCTGTGTGTGTGTGTGTGTGTGTGTGTGTGTGCATGGGCCTGCGTGCATGTTCATCCCCATCAGCAGTGCTGTAACACCCAGCTTTCTACCTGCCCATAAAAATGCCAGACCCAGCCAGGCACAGTGGCTCATCCCTATAATCCCAGCACTTTGGGAGGCTGAGGCAAGTCGATTTCTTTAGTTTAGAAGTTCAAGACTAGCCTGGGTAACATAGTGAGATCCTCACCTCTAGAAAAACTTTTTTCTTTCTTTATTTATTTTTATTTTTAATTTTTGTTTTTGAGACAGAGTCTTGCTCTGCTGCCCAGGCTGGAGTACAGTGGCATGATTTATCTTGGCTTACTGCAACCTCCACCTCCCAGGTTCAAGCGATTCTCCTGCCTCAGCCTCCAGAGTAGCTGGGATTACAGGTGCGTGCCACCACACCTGGCTAATTTTTGTTTTTAGTAGAGATGGGATTTCACCATGTTGGCTAGGCTGGTCTTGAACTCCTGGCCTCAAGTGATCCACCCACCTTGGCCTCCCAAAAAGCTGGGATTATAGGCATGAGCCACCGCATCTAGCCTCTACAAAAACATTTTTTTTTTAATTAGCTGGTCATGGTGGCGCATGCCTGTAGTCCTAGCTCCTGGGGAGGCCAAGGTGAGAGGATTGCTTGAGCTCAAGAGGTGGAGGCTGCAGTGATTTGTGATCATGCCACTGTACTCCAGCCTGGGCAATAGAGCGAAACTTGTCTCTCTTAAAAAAAAAAAAAAAGACCAGACCCCTGCACTATCTGTCTAAAACTGCCTGCCCTCCTCTCCCCAGATAGACCCACCACAAGGCACCCTCTGGAGAATAGAACCAGCAACTCAATGTCAATGGAGGCCCCTCTCTGGATAATCTAGGTCTAGAGTAAACTTCCTCAGACCTCTCCAGGTTGTTAAGGCCAAAAGATCCAACCCTGGGTATCTGAGGACTCGAATCACACAGCAATCTGCCTGAGGTCTTTCCAAGAGCTAGAAATTTGGCAAGAAGGGGGCCCCTTGGAGGAGAAGGATGAAAAGGCCTTTGCCTGGTGCCTGCATCTGCGAGTGGGTCAGAGGGTGGGGCATCAGGACCATGTTCTCTGCAGCAAGAAAATATCTCATTTCAAGACTTTCAGGGCTGGAGTTGGTGCTGGGCTAGCCAAACCGGAAGCGTGGGCTGCAGCTGCCCCCCACTCAACTCAGCCCTTGCCTCCCAGCACACACAGAGGCTGCCTCAGAGAGAGAGGGGTGGGTGGAGGGAAGAGAGAGAGAGGCCGAGACCGGGACTGCATGAAGTCTGGGCTCAGGGCAGCCTGGGGAGGGATGGGAGCCGGTCCCAGAGATAAGCTATTCTGGGCCAGAGGCTTGTCCTTGCCCTCCTCTGGGGTAGGTCCCCGATCTGTCGCTCTGCTGCCGCCCTGCACACTGACACCAGTGCCCGCAGCTGGTCTGAATTTAGGTGTGTTGGCAGAGAATAGAGTAGTAGGACATTCCAGAGTCCTAAGACTTTCTACCAAAATCAAAATGAAAGTATCTCATTAATAATTTTATATTGATTACATATAAAAATAACATTTTGGATACATTGAGTTAGATCATATATATATAAAAATATATATATATACACACACACACATATATTTTTAGAAACAGGGTCTCGCTAGGCTGGGTGAGGTGGCTCACGCCTGTAATCCCAGCACTTTAGGAAGATGAGGCGGGCGGATCATGAGATCAAGAGATCGAGACCATCCTGGCCAACATGGTGAAACCCCGTTTCTACTAAAAATACAAAAATTAGCTGGGTGTGGTGGCATGCACCTGTAGTCCCAGCTACTTGGGAGGCGGCAGTAGGAGAATCGCTTGAACCCAGGAGGCGGAGGTTGCAGTGAGCTGAGAGCATGCCACTGCACTCCAGCCTGGCAACAGAGCAAGGCTCTCTCTCTCAAAAAAAAAGAAAAGAAACAGGGTCTCGCTCAGGCTGGAGTGCAGTGGTGCAATCACAGCTCACTGCAGCCTCAAACTCCTGGGCTCAAGTGATCCTCTTGCCTCGTCCTCCCAAGTAGCTAGGACTACAGGCAGGCCACCACGTCTGGCTACTTTTTAAAAAATGTTTTATAGAGACAGGGTCTTGCTATGTTGCCCAGACTGGTCTTGAACTCCTGGCTTCAAGCAATTCTCCTGACTCAGCTTTCCAAAGCACTGGGATTGCAGGCATGAGCCACTGCACCAGGCCTAAATAACATATGTTCTCAAAATGAACTTTTAGGCTGGGCGCGGTGGCCGTATCATGCCTGTAATCCCAGCACTTTGGGAGGCCGAGGCGAGTGGATCATGAGGTCAGGAGATCAAGACCATCCTGGCTAACATAGTGAAACCCCGTCTCTACTAAAAAAAAAATACAAAAAAATTAGGGTGGCGGGTGCCTGTAGTCCCGGCTACTCAAAAGGCTGAGGCAGGAGAATGGCGTGAAGCCGGGAGGCGGAGCTTGCAGTGAGCCGAGATCACGCCACTGCACTGCAGACTGGGCAACAGAGCAAGACTCTGTCTCAAAAACAAAAAAAAAAAAAAAAAAAAAGAACTTTTATACTGTGTGTGTGTGTGTGTTTTTTTTTTTTTTTTTTGAGACGGAGTTTCACTCTTGTCACCCAGGCTGGAGTGCAATAGCGCGTTCTCGGCTCACTGCAACCTCCGCCTCTTGGGTTCAAGAGATTCTCCTGCCTCAGCCTCCCAAGTGGCTGGGATTACAGGCGCCTGCCACCACGCCTGGCTAATTTTTTTGTATTTTTAGTAGAGATGGAGTTTCACCATGTTGGCCAGGCTGGTCTCCAACTCCTGACCTCAGGTGATCTGCCTGCCTCAGCCTCTCAAAGTGCTGGGATTACAGATGTAAACCACTGCACCCAGCCAACTTTTTTTTTTTTTTTTTTGGCAACAGAGTTTTTCTCTTGTTGCCCAGGCTGGAGTGCAATGGTGCAATCTCGGCTCACTGGAACCTCCGCCTCCCAGGTTCAAGTGATTCTCCTGCCTCAGCCCTCCAAGTAGCTGGGATTACAGGCATGCACCACCACGCCTGGCTAATTTTGTATTTTTGGTAGAGACGGGGTTTCGCCATGTTTGCCAGGCTGGTCTCAAACTCCTGACCACAGGTGATCTGCCCGCCTCAGCCTCCCAGAGTTCTGGGATTATAGGTGTGAGCCACCGCACCTGGCCCAACTTTTAAACTTTTTAAATGTGGCTACTAGGAAATTTAAAATGGGCTGGGTGCGGTAGTTTACACCTATAATCCCAGCACTCTGGGAGGCCGAGGCAGGCGGATCACCTGAAGTCAGGAGTTTGAGACCAACCTGGCCAACATGGTGAAACCCCGCCTCTACTAAAAAGATAAAAATTAGCCATGCATGGTGACGGGCACCTGTAATCCAGCTACTCTGGAGGCTGAGGCAGGAGAATCACTTGAACCCGAGAGGCGGAGGTTGCAGTGAGCCGACATCGTGCCATTGCACTCCAGTCTGGGCCACAGAATGAGACTCTCTTTCAGAAAAAAAAAGAAAAGAAAAGAAAATTTAAAATGACATGCACTTGCAATGGTGTTGTTGTTGTTGTTGTTGTTGTTGTTGTTGTTGTTGTCAGCTCTCTGTTAAAGAATTTGGGGTATTTGAAGTGGGTTAAAGGCTAAAGAGTTGGGAAAATGTGAGGAATCACCCCCACCAACACTACCTCTGCCCCACGCTGGGCAGAGCTCTCAAACTGAGATCTCAGGTTTTAATATTGAGGATTTGTGGCTGGGCGCGGTGGCTCACGCCTGTAATCCCAGCACTTTGGGAGCCCGAGGCGGGTGGATCACGAAGTCAGGAGATCGAGACCATCCTGGCTAACACGGTGAAACCCCGTCTCCACTAAAAATACAAAAAATTAGCCGGGCGTGGTGGCGGGCACCTGTAGTCCCAGCTACTCTGGAGGCTGAGGCAGGAGAATGGCGTGAGCCCGGGAGGCAGAGCTTGCAGTGGGCGGAGATTGCACCACTGCACTCCAGCCTGGGCAACAGAGCGAGACTCCGTCTCAAAAAAATAAAAATAAAAATATTGAGGATTTGGGAGTTGCAGAATTTTTTTTTTTTTTGAGACTAGGTCTCACTCTTGCCCAGGGTGGAGTGCAATGGTGCCATCATAGCTCACTGCAGCCTCGAACTCCTGGGCTCAAGTGATACAATCCTCCTCCCTCAGGCTCCTGAGTAGCTGGGACTATAGGTACCATGCCACCAGGCCCAGCTAATTTTTTATTTTTATTTATTTATTTATTTATTTCGTAGAGACAGAGTTTCACTATGTTGCCCAGCTGGTCTTGAACTCCTGGCCTCAAGTGATCTGCCCGTCCCAGCCTCCCAAAGTGCTAGGTTACAGATGTGAGCCACCACACCCAGCCCCTTGTCCAACATTTAATGTAAACTCTGGGGTATAGGAAGGGCATGAACTGGGGGTGGAGTGAGGCAGGCTTTGACTTTAAAGTCAGAGCCTGTCACCTGCCAGGCATGATGGCTCGTGCCTATAGTCCCAGCCACTCAGGCAGAGGCAGGAGGATCCCTTGAGCCCAGGAGTGAGGCTGCAGTGAGCTCTAACTGTGCCACTGCACTGTAGCCTGGGTGACAGAGCAAGACCTCATCTCTAAAAAAATTTTTTTTAATTTCTTTTAAAGAGCCTGTCACCACTCAGAGGCCACCCCAGGCCCACCAGGGCCTGATGAGACCTTTAGAGGCCTCTAGAGGCCCTAAGAATGGCCAAGATTATGATTCATCACCAACACCCCATGTATGAAGTGAAATAAAACTATCCTAACTCATAAAATGAGAATAATAAATAAAATAATAACGTGAGTTCATAGAAGATCTAATATCCCATATAACGACTACTGTGATGTACTTTTTGACATATCAACATTGTGCGTGTGTGTGTGTTTGTGTGTGTGTAAGCATTTTGGAAACTCAGCCAACCTACCCCCCTACCCATCACTTCCCACCAGGAAATGTCACCACTGGGGGGACCATTAGGCAGGGACTGGACGGGTGGGAGGGATCTATGGAGTGGGGAGAAGGAAGGAAGGAGATGAGGTCTCCACCCCTCCCTCCTCCACCCCTCGCCCTAGAAAGCCCCTTCAACTCTTTTCCATGCTTCCCTCCATCCTGGCCACTGTCTTCTCCACGAGCCAATGGAAGACAGAGCAGCTGGAATGTCAGCCGTCGGGGGTCTCCCCACTGCCCCTGGTCTGTTCACCCACCACTTCCAGGAAGCTTCGAGGCTCATCTCTTTGCCAGCTCTTCTTAGGGCTTGTTCCTTCCCACTTCCCCCTCCCTTCCAGTCCAGCCTGGAGGCCGCTCCCTCAAGGAAAGGCCCAGGGCCTGCACCTCTGGCCTTCCCACATCAGTTCTCTACCCTTGAGACCAAAGAAGGGAGACCCTTTGCCTCAGCCCAGGGCAGGCAAGAGTTTGGGCGGAGAGGCTCATTAAAGCTTTCTAATAAGCAATTAACTGGGGGATGAGCCCTTTGGCTGGCCTGGATCTCCCTCCTCCCAGCAGGGAGCTTGGCAGAGAAAGGCTGAGTGGGTGGGCGGAGATGAGACACTCGGTCTCTCTCAGTCACTTGGGGCCCCTTTCCTCCTCCCCTAAATACAAACGAATAAATAAACAGAACCCCGAGGCGCAGAGGCTGAGGCTGAGGCCTGGCTTCCCCTACACTCGGGGCTCCATTGGCTTTCTGCCAAGGCTTCAGAAGGCTTAGGAGGCCAGGATGCGGCCACTGTGCACTCAGGCCCTCTGAGATGGGGGCCTGTGAGGTCCTTCGCTCACAGGTGAGAGTGTGCGAGCCTCCGAGGAAGGGCAGCTCCCGCCTGCCTCCAGACCTTCTGGGCATCCTGGCCCCGTTCAAGCCATTCTCCCCACCACTCTCTTCGGGATATTGGGTGAAGGGCTTGAGCAAGGATGGAACTGTGAAGGGCATCATGAGGGGGCACTGAGGGTCAGCCCTGTGGTTCCAGAGTGGAAACGGGGCATCACAGGGTCACCCCCACCTGCTCAGCCCACCTCCCACCTGCACACAGAGCCCCACGTCAGAGCCAGGCTTGGAGGAGACTCAGGGCAGGAAGGTCTGACGTGGGGCTGGGTGGACCGTTGGCCAGCTTCTCCCTGTAATCTCCGGAAGTAGAGGGTGGGGGCTGCTGCCTCGCACAACTCCAGGGGGCGCCATTGACAAAGATGCAAGCTGGCCCCACCAGTGGTGAAAGCGGATGCCCAGCACATAACAGCACCTTGTCCTGTCTGTGTCCTCTCTGTCTCTTCAGGCTCTTGAGCAATAACAAGATCACGGGGCTCCGCAATGGCTCCTTCCTGGGACTGTCACTGCTGGAGAAGCTGTAAGTGCTGGGGAAGGTGAGGTGGAGGAGGGGGGTGGCCGTGATGGCAAGAGGTCACCCCGGGGAGGAGGAGGAACGCTGGTCGCTGAGTGACTCCAGAACCTGCCGGCCGAGCAGGGCCCGGAGTTAGACCCACTGGGACCCTGCCCAGGGCTTGACCAACAAGGAGAAGCCACAGAGGCGCTGGTATGGAACGAGAGACCAGCTCCTCTGCCAGCCACGGCGAGAGAAGTGGGGAGCGGGTTCTGAGAAGCTCATTAACGCTCTTTAATGAGCAATTAGCTGTGAGGGCCGAGCTCTCGACTGGCCTCCCCCTCGCAGCTGGGGGCCCAGCATAAAAGGGCGGAGGGCAGCTTAAAGCGACTGACTGCGGCCCTTTTCCGCCTTTCCTACAAACAAATCAACAAACAAAGCCCCAAGGGGGCTGAGGGTGGGGAAGTCCGATCATTTCCAAGCCTCTCCCCCACTCCAGCCCACCCCACCCTGGTTCAGAGCCGCCTGGGCAGTGGCAGCCTTCAGGCTGGCCTTGGCCCTGAGGCTGCCAGCCAGGTCTGGGCGTTCCCCGCTAGCCGGCTGGAACCTCATTCCCAGAGCTGGGGCCCCTGCATCTGGTGGGGCCAGTGTGGGGAAGAGGGTTATCGAGGAGGAGCTGGTGGCTGTGAGTTGTTAGGGAAATGGGGGGATGCAGAAGCCCTGCCCTCTCCTCATGGGGAGAGTGTTCACGGGGCTCATGGAGAGGTAGGGTAAGCCCTGGGTGGGAGACCTCACTCAGCCACTTGGGCCAGTCACTGAAGCTGCCAGACTCAGGAATGTAATCACCCTCTAAGTCACCTGCTCCGTCGGTACAATCCAGGGACCACAGCCTGGACCACAATTCTGGGTCCTTGCCCCTCCACAGAGGAAGCCTGGGCCTCCCACCTCTCCTAGAGCCTGACTCTTGCTTTCTCTCTCACGCCCCCATCCCGTCTCCCATCTCTGCTCTCATCCTGCTAGGCGTTCCTAGTTCCTCCGACAGGGAGGGCCCTTGGCCCCTCTAGCGCCATTTTGCCCAAATGGGTCAGCGCAATGGGAGACACAAAAGAATAAGGTGTGACTCTCCTGCTCAAAAACAGCCCAGGCAATTGCAGTCCAGGGGAGACCACAAACAATGCCATGTATACTAGAATTAAGTATATTGGGGTCTGGGCGTGGTGGTTCTGTAAATCCCAGCACTCTGGGAGGCCGAGGCTGGAGGACGGCTTGAGCCCAGGAGTTCAAGGCTGCAGTGAGCTATGATTGTGCCACTGCACTCCAGCCTGTGTAACAGAGTAAGGCCCTGTCTCTTAAAAACACACACACACTTAGGCCGGGCGCGGTGGCTCACACCTATATTCCCAGCACTTTGGGAGGCCGAGGCGGGTGGATCACTTGAGGTCAGGAGTTCGAGACTAACCTGGCCAACATGGTAAAACCCCACCTCTACTAAAAATACAAAAATTAGCTGGGCATGGTGCTGCATGCCTGTAATCCCAGCTACTCGGGGGCTGAGGCACCAGAATCTCTTGAACCTGGGAAGCCAAGGTTGCAGTAAGCTGAGATTGCGCCACTGCACTCCAGCCTGTGTGACAGAGCGAGACTCCGTCTCAAACACACACACACACACACACACACACACACACACACACACACGGCTGGGTGCAGTGGCTCGTGCCCATAATCCCAGTACTTTGGGAGGCCAAAGTGGGTGGATCACGAGGTCAGGAGTTCGAGACCAGCCTGGCCAACATGGTAAAACCCCATCTCTACTAAAAATACAAAAATTAGCTGGGCATGGTGGCATGCGCCTGTAGTCCCAGCTGCTCAGGAGGCTGAGGCAGGAGGATTGCTTGAACCCGGGAGGTGGAGGCTGCAGTGAGCTGAGATTGCACCACTGCACTCCAGCCTGGGCGACAGAGCAAGACTGTCTCAAAAAGAAAGCAAAACACACACACACACACACACACACACACACACACACACACACACACACATAGATTAGGGCTCCTGTCAAGTTCAAAGGAGGTGTCAGCAAAGTCCAAAGAAGTGTTCACAGGTAATGGAGACACAGTATGGATGTGACATGGTGTTGAGATCTCTCATCATGACAGCAGCCTCGTGAGGGAGCCTCCATGACACCCATTCCACCGTGGAAGGGAAAGCCTCTGGCCCCAAGCCCCCGAAGCTGGGAGGAAAGAGTGATGGCCTGGCTGGGTTCCTGGGAGTGGGAAGGCACAAATCCCATATTTGGGCAGAAAGGTAGAGCAGGCTGTCTACCAATCTGGGACAAGCTGGAGTAGCAGGGCGACCCGGGATGGTGACAGTGACATTTGCACGCGGCTCCGTGACTAGGTCCCTCTAACCGTCTGCTCTGTGGCTCACAGACAGAGTGGTCCTGATGCACAGGAAGGGCTGCCACCAAGCTGCTATCTAAAAGTCTCCTTGGTGCCAGGCATGGTGGCTCACGCCAGTAATTCCAAAGCTTTGGGAGGCAGGCAGATTGCTTGAGCTCAGGAGCTCAAGACCAGTCTGGGCAACATAATGAGACCCTGTCTCTAGAAAAAATATTTTTTTTAATTAGCCAGGCACAGTGGTATGCACCCATAGTTCCAGCTACTCAGGAGGCTGAGGTGGGAATCGCTTGAGCTGGGGAAGTTGAGGCTGCAGTGAGCCATAATTGTGCCACTGCACTCCAGCTTGGGCAAAAGAGTGAGACCCTGTCTCTCTAAATAAATAAATAAATAAATAAATAGGCCAGGCATGGTGGCTCACGCCTGTAATTCCAGCACTTTGGGAGGCCATGGCTGGCGGATCACCTGAGGTTAGGAGTTCGAGACCAGCCTGGCCAACATGGTGAAACCCTGTCTCTACTAAAAATACAAAAATTAGCCGGGTGTGGTGGTGGGTGCCTGTAATCTCAGCTACTTGGGAGGCTGAGGCAGGGAGAATTGCTTGAACCCGGGAGGCATAGGTTGCAGCTGAGATCACGCCATTGTACTCATTGTACTCCAGCCTGGGCAACAGAGCAAGACTCCGTCTCTAAATAAATAAATAAATAGAAATAAAAGTCCTCTTGGGTGCCAACAAAGAGGGAAAGCAGCTAAGCATTCGAGAGCTCTGTGTCCTCTGCTCAGCCCAGGCTTGGTCTTGGAGGAAGTCTTGGAGTCGCAGGAAACCAGATGTCCTTCCAGGGGTCTTTGGAGGAAGGCAAGCCGCAGTGGTCTCTTCAGCCCCTGCCCTGCCCCTCTCAGGCTGGCACCTCCCACAATGGCTCTTCCTCCTCCTCCTTAGCACACACAAGTGAGAAGGTACTGCACAGAGCCCCTGGTGGCCTCACTGACCTCTCCCCTACTTCAGCCTTGCCCCTGTCTCCTCATCCTTCAGTCTCATGAGAGCACATTTTTCTGATGAAGATGAAAAGACGGCCTGTCCTTCTCCAGCACCAAGGCTCTGGAGGCTGCATAGCAAGTGCACCCTGAGCATGGCAGGCAATCAGAAGAACCAGGGCGGCAGCAGCTCACAAGAGGCAGCATCTGGCTTGATGCCGAGTCGTGCGATGTAGGAGCAGTACTAGAGTGGGAATTCTAAACGCTGAGTCCCAGCTCCTGCTCTGTGCTGGTCACCCCATCCATTCATTCTGTAGGTGCTCACTGAGCCCTTCTATGTGCCAGGCTCTGTTCTAGGCTTTGGGAGTGAGCACAGGAGATCAGGTGCCTGCCCTCCCGGCCCTTACCTCTACTGATAGGACCCAGAAAATAGCAAATAGGTGTGTGGTGTGTCTGGAGGCCTAAGTGCAGCAGAGAAAAACAAGGCAGGGTAAGGAGGTGAGAAAGCAAGAGGGCCAGGGGTGCTATTTTATGTAGTGAGGTCAGGAAGGCCTTGCTGATGACATGCCTGGGCCTGAGACCTGAAGGGACGAGGAAGGAAGCCTGGAGCTCTCAGGAAGGATGAAGAGAGCAGGCATTGCCAAGGCCCCTGGGTTCAGGGAATGCCTGGGGAGTCTGAGAAATAGAAGGGCAGTGTGAGCTGGCAAAGCGAGCCAGGGGGAGGTGGCAGGAGACAGGTAGGATGTGATGCCGGGGTGGCTACTGGGGTGGCCTTCGATTCCTCATTGTCAGAAGAGCTAGGGTAGATGGGGTGATTTGGGAGGTGCATTATGGATCTAAAATTCTATGATCCTTGGATGTGTGTGGGACACCCACAGCGCCCATAAGGAGAAGATAATCACAGGACCCAGTGACAGGGCCAGGCTTTCCAGAGGAGGGGCCATCTGGGCAGAAGGGTGTGCCGTGGGCAGCAGGACAGGGATGGTGCTTGTTCAGGGCTGGAGGAGCTCAGGGTCTCCAACGTGGTCACTGATCACTGCTGTATTTATATATGCAAATACTTACTATTATTATTATTATTTGAGATGGAGTCTCGCTCTGTCACCAGGCTAAAGTGCAGTGGCACGATCTCCAGTGCAACCTCTGCCTCCTGGGTTTTAAGCGATTCTCCTGCCTCAGCTTCCCAAGTAACTGGGATTACAGGCACACGCCACCATGCCCAGCTAATTTTTGTATTTTTAGTAGAGACGGTGTTTCATGTTGCCCAGGATGAGGATGGTCTCGATCTCTTCACCTTGTGATCCGCCCTCCTTGGCCTTCCAAAGTGCTGGGATTACAGGCATGAGCCATCGCACCCGGCCTTTTTCTTTTTTCTTTTTTGAGACAGAGTCTCACTCTGTCACCCAGTCTGGAGTGCAGTGGCACAATCTTGGCTCACTGCAACCTCCACCTCCCAGGTTCAAGTGATTCTCCTGCCTCAGACTCCTGAATAGCTGGGATTACAGGTACGTGCCACCACACCTGGCTAATTTTTGTATTTTTAGTAGAGATGGGGTTTCAGCATGTTGGCCAGGCTGGTCTCGAACTCCTGACCTCAAGTGATCTGCCCACCTCAGCCTCCCAAAGTGCTGGGATTACAGGCATGAGCCACCACGTCTGGCCATGAAGACATTTTTTAAAAAAGGAATTGACATGATTGTGGGGGCTGGCAGACCCCAAATCTGTAGGGCAGGCCAGCAGTCTGAGAAGTCAGACAGGAGCAGACGCTGCAGTCTTGGGGCAGAATTTCTTCTCTAGGAAGCCTCAGTGTCTGCTTTTAAGGCCTTCAGCTGATTGGATGAGGCCCACCCACATCATACAGGAGCATCTCCTTCACATGAGGTCAGCTAATGGCAGATGTCAACCACATCTACAAAATACCTGCACAGCGACATCTAGATTCATGTGTGATTAAACCACTGGGTACTATAGCCTTTGTCAAGCTGACACAAAACTAACCATCACAACCACTATCCCCCCAGAAGGAGAGGGCCCTTGGGTAATACAGATGCTGGGCCTCCCTCCTGGAGATTCTAATTCATCTGTCCCATGGGGCCTGGGAATTTTTTACATGCTATGCAGGCAATTCTCATGCTCATCCAGGGTTAGGTGCCAGTGGGCAAGATGACCCCTAGACTGAGGGCCTATTCATCAGGAATAAGACTCCATGGGCTGGCATGTAGTTGGTGCTCAGGAAACACTGATCCCTCTGTCCTGTCAAACTCAGATGTCTAGGCTTGGGCGGCTGAGGCCATGGCAACTTAACATCCCACAGTCTATGAGCAGCACGTCCAGTGGGAGGGTTGAGGCCCAGTCTGTTAACTGAAACGGAAGCTCCAGGCTGTTGCAGAATGTGTTTGCATGGCCTCCTTGGCTGAGAGCCCCTTGAGCCTTTGCAAATGGGCTGTGTGTACGTGAGGGGGTCGCCTTGTTGTACAGGAGCTGGGAGTAGATCTGCGTGGTATCTGTTTTGCAATGCAGGGTCCTGAGGCCAGCATGGGCAGGATGGGCAAGGAAGGGGCCACAGAGCGGATGCCCAGTGGGAATGTGTCAGAGATGATCATCCAGAGAGGTTGGGGGTAGGGGTGGAGATGGGGGGGCACACACCTTTATCAGCCAGATAGGATAGACAGGAAGACCTGAAACAGAGCCCTGCAGAAACACCTCCTGGGCCGCCCAGGGAGTGTACAGAAGACCCACCTTGCACGTCTGTGCCCTCTCTCTCTCCCACCACCCTCCAGCATGGCCAAGACTGTTTCTTGCCCAAAGGAAAGACTTTTGGGGCAGAGAGAAGCTGATGAAAGAGCGCTGGACTCCATTTGGTGTGAAAAGCAGCCTGGAGTGGAATCATCCCTCCTTCTTTTACCTTCCAGTGCCTCTCCCAGCCCTGGGTTACTCACCTGGAAAATAGGGCTATGAGGAATTGTTACAGGAACAGAGGAAGAGTTCCTTACACAGAACGCATGGCAGCACAGGCTTCCAGTATATGGCAGGCAGTTCCCTTCCCCTCTGAAGATTTCCCAGTTGCTAGATGTTACCCTGGCCGCCTGTCATTTGCATAGATTTGCCTACAGTTCCCAGCCTTGGGCAGGCAACTGTGTAGCTGAAATATACATGCTCCAAGTACAGCTGGTGATTCATTCCCCGGGATCCCCTGCCAAGCACATGCAATGGGGACTAGGCCACAGGAAGACTTTTCTGGGGGGCTCTGAGGGTGTCAGTCACAGTAAGATGCCTCTAGACCAGGGACCAAGCCGGCCAGGGCAGACAGCCCCAAGAGAGGCCAAGGGAGCGAGACTGCGTGCCTGCCAGCACATGGGTCTGTGTGGACACTGGCCCCCAGAGGCTCGTGCACGGCTAAAGGAAAGAGTCTGGGAAGGGGAGCCCGGTCAGCCCCGGGATGATTTGTCATTACTTAATGAGATTAATGAGCCCCGGGGGCTGGTATGCAGGGGTGCTGAGGCGCTCATTAGAAGCAGATGCTCATGGGAACGAACGAAAGTGGCGGCCTGGGGGTGGAGTGAGGCTTGCCCAACGCCAGGTGGCTTCCATTAGTCTGTGGGTGGGGCCGAGGGTGAGGCTGCTGGGCTCTGTCCCTCCTCCCCTCCCCGTCCCCAACAACACTGGGGAGGAATGCCGCAGACAAGCTGCCTGGACTCCTGCACCACTGAGGCCCAGGAGGGAAGGCTGATGTGTTCAGGGACAGCCCTCTTGTTTGCCATGGTAGCCCCCATGCCTGGCATGGGGTACATGCTCAATAAATAACCTGTGGATTGTTATCAGAGACAAGAGGCACCTGGAGGATGGGACTAGAACCTCTCCCTTCCTCCCCTAGACACTTCTATACCTGCAGGGTGTCCTGGCCCACTTCTCAGCCAGCCCCCACTTTCTAGTGAACCCTGGAAGTCTTGTAGGCCCAGGGAAGGCTGCTTTGTGGCCTCCGAACCTATAATTTGGTTTTCAAACCCACAAGCAGGGAGGTCTGTGGGGCCAGAGGGAGCTGACTCTCTGCGGCCCCACCCTGCCTGTATGTGGGTACACACACACACACACACACACACAGTCACATGCTCTTTAACTCACATGCTCTTTAACGGCTCTAGTGAGATATAATTTACGTGCCATAAAAGTTCACCCGTTTAAAAAAAAGTGTGCAATCCAATGGTTTCTAGTATATTTTACAGAATTGTGTAATCACCATAATCTAATTTTAGAACATTTTCATCATCCGCAAAAGAAACCTTGAATCATTAACAGTCACTCCTCATTCCTCCACCCCCTCTTCCCCAGGCCCAAGCAACCACTAATCTGCTTTCTGTCTATAGATCTATAAATCTGCCTGTTCTGGACATTTTATATAAATGAAATCATGCAATAGGTAATCTTTCATAACTCGATTCTTTCAGCATGGTACTTTCAGGGTTCACCCATGTTATAGCACGTATCAGCACTTCATTCCTTTTAATGGCCAGATAATATTCCATTGTATGACTACACCACATTTTGTTTATCCCTTCATCTCTTGAATATTTGGGTGGATACTACTTTTTTTTTTTTTTTTTGAGATGGAGTCTCACTCTGTTGCCCAGTCTGGAGTGCAGTGGTGCGATCTCGGCTTGCTACAACCTCCTCCTCCCGAGTTCAAGCGATTCTCCTGCCTCAGCCTCCTGAGTACCTGGGATTACAGGCGCGCACTACCACACCCGGCTAATTTTTGTATTTTTAAGTAGTGACGGGGTTTCACCATGTTGGTCAGGCTGGTCTCGAACTCCTGACCTTGTGATCTGCCTGCCTTGGCCTCCCAGAGTGCTGGGATTACAGGTGTGAACCACCATGCCCAACCTTTTTTTTTTTTTTTTTTTGACAGACAGGGTCTCACTCTGGCGCCAGGCTAGAGTGCTAGAGTGCAGTGGCATGATCACGGCTCACTGCAGCCTTGACTTCCTGGGCTCAAGCAATTCTCCTGTCTCAGCCTCCTGAATAGCTGGGACTTACAGGCACGCACCACCATGCCTGGCCAATTTTCTTTTTTGGTAGAGATAGGGGTCTCACTGTGTTGCTCAGGCTGGTCTTGAACTCCTGGTCTCAAGTGAGCCTCCTACTTCAGCCTCCCAAAGTGTTGGGATTACAGGCTTGAGCTACCACACGTGGCCAGTTTCTACTTTTTGCTACTATGCACAATGCTGCTGTGAACATTCAGCTATGGGTTCTTGTGTGGATGTATCTGTATTTCTCTTGGATATATACCTAGGAGTGGAATTTCTGGGTCATATGGTAACCCGAACTGTGAAACTGTTTTCCAAAGTGTCTGCACCATTTTACATTCCCACCAGTAATGTGTAAGGGTTCCAGTTCTCCACATCGTCATCAACACTTGCTGGAGTCTCTCTTTTTTATTACAGCTGTCTTAGTAGGTGTCAAGTGGCTTTGATTTGCATTTCCCTTACTGCTGGTGATGTTGAGCATCTTTGTATGGGCTTATTGGCCATTTGTGTGTCTTCTTGGATAAAATGTCTATTCAGATCCTTTGCCCATTTTTTTCAACTGGGTTATTTGTCTTTCTGCTATTGAGTTGTAAGAGTCCTGTATATATTCTAGATAGACATCCCTTATCAGATCTGATTTGCAAATATTTTCTCTCATTCTGTGGTTCTCTTTCACTTTCTTGATGATATCCTTTAAGATGCAATTTTTTTTTTTCGAGATGGAGTTTCACTCTTGCTGCCCAAGCTGGAGTGCAATGGCATGGTCTCAGCTCACTGCAATCTCCGCCTCCTGGGTTCAAGTGATTCTCCTGCCTCTGCTTCCTGAATAGCTGGGATTACAGGCATGCGCCACCACGCCCAGCTAATTTTTGTATTTTTAGTAGAGATGGGTTTCACCATGTTAGTCAGGCTGGTCTCGAACTCCTGACCTCGTGATCTGCCCGCCTTGGCCACCCAGAGTGCTGGGATTACATGCATGAGCCATCATGCCCAGCCTGCCCATTTTTTTCAACTGGATTATTTGTCTTTTTGCTATTGAGTTGTAAGAGTTCTGTGTATATTCTAGATAGACATCCCTTATCAGATCTGATTTGCAAATATTTTCTCTCATTTTGTGGTTCTCTTTCACTTTCTTGATGGTATCCTCTAAGGTGCAATTTTTTTTTTTTTTTTTTTTTGAGACTGAGTTTTGCTCTTGTTGCCCAGGCTGGAGTGCAATGGTGTGATCTCAGCTCACTGCAACCTCCACCTCCCGGGTTCAAGCGATTCTCCTGCCTCAGCCTCCTGAATAGCTGAGATTACAAGGCTCCCGCCACCACACACGGCTAATTTTTTGTATTTTTAGTAGAGACAAGGTTTCAACATGTTAGCCAGGCTGGTCTCGAACTCCTGACCTTAGGTGATCCACCTGCCTCAGCCTCCCAAAGTGCTGGGATTATAGGCATGAGCCACTCACCTGGCCAAAGGTGTAAAATTTTTAAGTTGTTATTAAATTCAACTTAACAATCTGCTTTGTTTCCTATTTCACCCCGTTTTGCTTTTTCTGAACTTTTATTCATCCGTTACTCCCTCCTCCTTTCATTGCTTCTGCTCACAAACTCACTCTTACACACTCAGCTCCCAAAGCCTCTGTTTTCCCAACAACGGCATAGGGCATGATTTGCTCCCAGGAATCCTCCCTCCACATCTGGCTTAGGGGAATCCTCCTGCATATTGACAGAGATACAGGGAGGGGGTGGCCTGGAGTCAAGGGGCAATGGGTAGCAGGGAGGGGAAGTGCCTTCAACACCCTGCGTCTTTCCCAGGTTCCAAGGACAGGGCTCTGTGGAAGCATATCTGCGCGTGCTTCCACAAGCTACTCTAGCTTCACCTGAGAAACGGAGGGATCAGATCAGACCATCCAGCAAAGGACTTCTGTCATTTTTTTTTTAAGAGTCTCACTCTGTCGTCCAGGCTGGCGTGCAGCAGTGGCGAAATCTCAGCTCACTGCAACCTCCACCTCCCAGGTTCAGGTGATTCTCCTGCCTCAGCCTCCCATGTAGCTGGAATTACAGGCGCCCACCCCCACATTGGCTAAATTTTTTTTTTTTTTTTTTAGTAGAGACGGGGTTTCACCATGTTGGCCAGGCTGGTCTCGAACTCCTGACCTCAGGTGATCTGCCTACCTCGGCCTCCCAAAGTGCAGGGATTACAGGTGTGAGCCACCGCACCCGGCCGGGGCTTCTTAACTTGGGCTCTATGCCCCTCTGGAAATTGTATGCATAGTGATGGGTGTAGTGAGTTTTTCTCGGGCAGAAGTTCATGGCCTTCGTAGATCTTCAAAAGGATGTGCTAAGAAAAAAAAGGCTCAAAACAACCAATCTATAGGAGACCTGCAGGTCCCAAAAATGTCCAAGTCTTATGGTAGCATTTCTCCCGCCCCGAGGGAGGACACAGCTTCTTACCCAGAGGGACCAGGCAGCATCGGCTTCCCATGGGTCCTTCAGGCTCTCAGAGCTCAGCCCAGGGAGCCGAGACAGGCCAGCTCCCAAGGGCACTCGTGGGGGCTGCCTTGGTCACCCCGAGGCTCCTCCCCAGGCGGGCTTGAGGCAAGGGAGAAGGCATGCCCACCCTCCGTGGAGGTGGAGGTGCCCTCTCCAAGGCCCCAGCATGGCTGGGCTGCAGGAAATCGAGGGCAGGAAGAGGGGCTGGGGCCTGGACGCCGCCTCGCTCCCATCTGCAGAGCATCAGTGGGGCAGGCGGGTGGGGGCTTTTGAGGGGGCCCGGGGAGGAAATGAGAATAAACACAAGTGAGCGGGGAGGGAAGGGGGGCTGCGCCTAAGCCCCTTGGCAGCCCATGAAGGGAAGTGACACAATGAGGAATGTGTTTCCCTCTGCCCGTCCCCCACGTGGGGGTGGGAGGCTGAGCCCTGAGAATGGCCAGACCCCAACAGGGGCCAGGGGGCACATGCTGGGACAGTCCCAGAGGGGCAGGCAGTGAGGATGGGGTCTGGCGGCAAAACGGTGGGGGCTGGGCCAGAGGGGCACCCCTGGCAGCCAGGATACTTATCCTGCATCCCTCTCCCTCGGCCAGGGGCCTAGGATCAGTGTCCTGGCACGGTCCCTGTGTGCGCCTCACTGGGGGGCACCTCCCAGCACACCCCAGCATGGAAGCCATCCCTCCTCTAGGGAACTGGCCCCTTCTGGTGGCCCCTTCCCTTCCTTCTCCAGGGACTTGGGGTCATGGAGGCCGGCTGAGTCCTTCGAGTCCTTCCTATGGGAAGGAGCTGAGGGTGAGGGCTCCCCTGGCCGTGGGAAGGGCTGTGCACAGTGTTTCTGTCCCCAAGCGGGACTGTGCACAAACAGGCCCCCTGGTGGGACAGTACCTCCCCGTCCTGAACACCCATTTCCTCTCCTCCCAGCGGGCAGCCGGCTTGGTTAACCCCCTCCTGCCCAGTAATCCAGAGACGTTGATGAGGTTGTGGTGGGCAGGGCCAAGAGCCTCCTCAGCCCCCCACCCCTGACCTCCTCCTCCATCTGGGCTGAGGGGTGGCAGGGCCAAGAGTCCCCTCAGCCCCCAACCCTGACCCCCTCCTCCATCTGGGCTGAGGGGTGGTAAGGCCTGGGAAAGCAAGTGGGCCCCAGAAATCTCTGTGGATCTCCTGTCTTCCCGCCACAGCCCCTTCAGACAGGGGGCCCCCACCCTTGCCTGCTCCAGGGGTCCACCCACCCTTGCCTGCTGCCTCACAATCTCCTGCCAGTGGGTGGGAGCCAAGAGGCCACTGCCTCCATCTCAGACCCAGCACAGGGAGGCCCACTGGGCTGTGAGGCCCATGAGCTCTATGGAGCCTGAAGCCTGTCCTGGTTTAGCTCAGGAAAGAGCCAGCTGGCCTTTGAGTAGGTGGGCAACTGGCCCCACCCACTCTGCCTTCTAGGCATCTGTCCCTGGCTGTGCAGGGCACAGAGGACAGGGTGAGGGAGAAGGCCAGTGAGCAGGCACCCACCTTGGTCTTCTGTGGTCCTGCCTGCCCCAAGAGCCCAGGGGGCTGCCCTGGCAGGTGTGGGGTTAGGGCAGGCAGATACCCAGCAGGTCGCCTGTGGGTGGGCACTGTCTCCTCAGCACTGTCCCTGCAGCCCCAGGGGCAGGTGAGGAAGGGGGCAGAGAGTTGTGCCTAGGCCATGATTGAATTTGAGCCACAGACTCAGGGCTGGAAGGCTGCGGACTTACCTGCCGCTCACTCCTCCAGGCCAGGCTTGGCCCCTGGGATCCCTGGGGGGTCACAGCCCCCTTCTGTCCTGTCTCCCGACACTGCGGGCTCCTGCGGAGACCCATGGAGAAGACAGGACTGAGGACCTTGAACAAGCTGTCACTTCCCTGGCTTCCTCATCTGAAGGAGGAGGCTGGACAGGACTTACACCCCTGCCCTGGAGAGGAGCCAGGCAGAGTCCACCTGGGCCTCGGCCAGCCGCCTGACCTGTTTCCTCGCCTGTCAGACAGAGAGGGGCACAGGGATAAAACAGCCATAAAAATACCCTCCTTGGCCAAGCGCGGTGGCTCACACCTGTAACCCCAGCACTTTGGGAGGCCCAGGAGGGAGGATCACTTGAGCCCAGGAGTTCAAGACCAGCCTGGGCAACATAGTGGGACCCTGTCTCTACCAAAAAAAATTTTTTTTTTTAAATTAGCGGGTGTGGTGGCGCACACCTGTGGTGCCAGTTGCTTGGGAGGCAGAGGTTGGAGGATGGCTTGGGCCCAGGAATTTGAGGTTACAATGAGCCATGATCACACCACTGCACTCCAGCCTGGATGACAGAGAGACCCAGCCTCAAAAACAAAACAAAACAAAACAACTACCCCTCCCATGCGTCCCCTCCCCTGCCCACAAAGGCCAGGCTCAAGAAGCTTCTACCTTTGCATAGCAATTTACAAAACACCATGACACCTATTTTCAAATGCTTCCCAGGGCAACCCCAGCGACCTGCAGGGCAGTCCGGAGGTGGGGCAGGGTGGGAAAGGAGGCCTCCTAACTTCCAATCCAGGACGCTCTCCATGTTGTCTGAGGCCCTTGTGATCCCATCTCTTGGCTTCTTCGTCTCCTCTCTCTGTTCTGACCAGTGCCCGCTGATGGTAGCCAGGGAGGCGGAGGAGGCCTGTCCGAGGGGGTGGTTCTTTTTTTTTTTTTTTTTTTTTTTGAGATGGAGTCTCGCTCTGTCGCCCAGGCTGGAGTGCAGTGGCGCGATCTTGGCTCCCTGCAGCCTCCGCCTCCCGGGTTCAAGCAATTCTCCTGCCTAGCTGGGGCTACAGGTGCACACTGCCACACCTGGCTAATTTTTTTTTTTTTTTTTTGTATTTTTAGTAGAGACGGGGTTTCACCATGTTGGCCAGGATGGCCTTGATCAGGGGTGGTTCTTTAATCCCACCTCCCACCCGGTGCTGAGGAGAGCAGAGGTTTAGCAGGAAGTCAAGTCCCTGAGAAACCCAGCAACAACACCGTGGTGACAGTGAGGACCCCTCCCGGGGAGCAGGGCGGCTCCAGCGGGGAGAGGTGTGAGGGCCTCTGCACTTGCCTCTGCAGGGACCTGAGGAACAACATCATCAGCACAGTGCAGCCGGGCGCCTTCCTGGGCCTGGGGGAGCTGAAGCGTTTGTGAGTGGCACGCCCTCCCCTGACCCCACCCCTCCCCTCCCGAGGGAGAAAGTCACCCCTCCTGCTCCATGCCCACCCCCTTCCTCTCACCCCCCCACACCTGCCCCTCCTTTCCGCTTGGGTGCCTTGGCTGGGGTCAAAGGAGCTGGCATTTCCAGTCCAGCTGCGGCCTGGCCCCAACCTCATCTCCTTTTTCATCCCACCCCCCAACACAAGCCCTGGCCCCACCCATGTGTTCCTCACAAGTGGACCCACGTGCTGCCACGTGGCCAACATGCTGAGGTTGCCTGTGTCTCTCTAGAGATCTCTCCAACAACCGGATTGGCTGTCTCACCTCCGAGACCTTCCAGGGCCTCCCCAGGCTTCTCCGACTGTAAGTGATGGGGTGAGAAGTGGGGAGGGGAGGAGAGGGAAGAAGTGCATAGGAAGCAAAATGTGGCCCCCAACCCTTCCACATCCCACCTGCTCTCCTCCGCCGGCCCATGGACACCCTAAGACCCCATCTCAGTTGTCCCCTGTTCCCTGCAGAAACATATCTGGAAACATCTTCTCCAGTCTGCAACCTGGGGTCTTTGATGAGCTGCCAGCCCTTAAGGTTGTGTGAGTATCTCTTCCTAGCTCAAGGACCCAGACCCCTGTCCCTTTCTCTGCCCAGGAGAGATGTATAAGTATCATGACCACCAGGACTGGTCTCACGAGTGGCCACAGCAGACAGTGCCTGAAATGCCCCCATGATCACCTTCCCGCGATGGCCCGGGGCAGAGATGGTGCACATAGACCCGATTTTGCCCCTCCTACCCTCTCCAGCTTCATCCCTCCCTGGGGCCCCAGGCCACCCATGAGCCCACACTCCCTCTGCTCTGCTCCGTGACCCCTCTGCCCACCCTGCAGGGACTTGGGCACCGAGTTCCTGACCTGTGACTGCCACCTGCGCTGGCTGCTGCCCTGGGCCCAGAATCGCTCCCTGCAGCTGTCGGAACACACGCTCTGTGCTTACCCCAGTGCCCTGCATGCTCAGGCCCTGGGCAGCCTCCAGGAGGCCCAGCTCTGCTGCGGTGAGCAAGTCCCCCCAGCTACACATCTCCCAGGGACCCTGCCTCTCCACCAACCCAGGGCCCAGACACGAGCCTCCCCTCAGACCCACAGGTTTTTACCTTTGTATTGCAATTTGCAAAAGACCACGACACTGAGTCCTGCTCTTGCATTTAGGGAGACCTTATCTTTATGTATAAATCACCATCTGAGAAGTGCTGCCCAGCACAAAAAGGCTTTTCTGTGCTGTCTTTCATTACAGGTTTGCAACAGCTCTCCCACAAAAAGAATCACATTTACTATCCCAGCGACCCTCCCTGTGAGGCGGGGCCAGTGTTATTCTCCCTACTCCGCCTATGACTGTGTGCTGGGCGTGTCCTCCAGGGCATCCCCTTTCCCTCGGTGTCCCGGGGTCAGTCCTCCATCAGCTTTTCTAAGCCCCCTTGGGACTGCTTGTTTATGTTTTCATCTGGCCCCACCTCTTGGGGTAACACGTGTGCTGAGAAAGGAGTACTTTTCTTTGTCCAAAAACCGCCTGTCCCTCCCCTTTACCCTTACCCCTAGAGACTTTCTCTTGACCCCTTTTCCTTCCCAGCTGGAGCAGGCTGCAGGCCGAGGGCCCCGCCCCGCCCCACCCCATCCTGCTGGACTCTCGCTCACACGTGCAGCCTCACATGCGTGTGCACTCGGGCCTCACGCCTGGTGTCTCCTCCCACAGAGGGGGCCCTGGAGCTGCACACACACCACCTCATCCCGTCCCTACGCCAAGTGGTGTTCCAGGGGGATCGGCTGCCCTTCCAGTGCTCTGCCAGCTACCTGGGCAACGACACCCGCATCCGCTGGTACCACAACCGAGCCCCTGTGGAGGGTGATGAGCAGGCGGGCATCCTCCTGGCCGAGAGCCTCATCCACGACTGCACCTTCATCACCAGGTATGAGCCCCGCTGCCCCTCCTCAGGCCTCAGCATGGGGTTAGGGGACCTACCCTACCCGTCACCACCCCGCAAAAGAGCTGCCCCCAGATGTGTTCCCGGGAGACTGTGCTTGTATATTTATGGAAAGACTGGACTAAGTTATCAATGGTCTAGATAGAGGCTAGAAATAAATATCTGATAGAACAAAATGATGATACTTCACATCTCTTTAGTGTTCTTACATTGTATAGAGTGGCTCCTATCTATGGCACCAGATTTAATCTCTACAGTAGACCTGCAAGAGAGATATTATTGGCTCCATGATAAGGATGGGGAAATTGAAGCTCAAAAAAACAGTATCATAAGGCCAATCAGAATAAAAGGAGTGCATACTTGCATCCCTTGTTTCATTAAAGAAAAAAGGACCTGCAGCTAGTGTTGTAGGACGGTGCTGAGGGAGGGCAACGTGGCTGGGCCCAAGGGTGACTCACGAGCCAGCTCCACCTGCCACCCGCAGTGAGCTGACGCTGTCTCACATCGGCGTGTGGGCCTCAGGCGAGTGGGAGTGCACCGTGTCCATGGCCCAAGGCAACGCCAGCAAGAAGGTGGAGATCGTGGTGCTGGAGACCTCTGCCTCCTACTGCCCCGCCGAGCGTGTTGCCAACAACCGCGGGGACTTCAGGTTTGGCCCACTCCACCCTGTAGAGGGCTGCCCAGCCCCCAACCCCACCCTTGCACCTGACATCACAGGTGGCCAGAGTTTCCCCATCCGCTGTCTCTGTTGGGTCCTAAAGATGGAGAAGACACTTCCTTTTGTCATTCAGCCTGAAGCCTTGCTATCGAATAGATAGACTTTATGTATAAACTTACCATCTGAGGCCGGGTGCAGTGGCTCACGCCTACAATCCCAGCACTTTGGAAGGCCAAGGCAGGCTGATCATCTGAGGTCAGGAGATCAGCCTGGCCAACATGGCAAAACCCCATCTCTACCAAAAAGCACAAAAATCAGCCAGGCATGGTGGTGCGTGCCTGTAATCCCAACTACTCAGGAGGCTGAGGCAGGAGAATCGCTTGAACCCAGGAGGCGGAGGTTGCAGTGAGCCAAGATCACACCATTGCACTCCAGCCTCAGCCTAGGAGACAAGAGCAAGACTCCATCTCAAAAACAAACAAACAAACAAAATTACCATCTGAGATGTGCTGCAGAAAAAGACTTTTTTTTTTTTGAGAGAGAGTCTCACTCTGGAGTGCAATGGCATGATCTTGTTGCCTCAGCCTCCCCGGTAGCTGGCCTGTGCCACCATGCCCAGCTAATTTTTGTATTTTCAGTAGAGATAGGGTTTCACCATGTTGGCCAGGCTGGTCTCGAACTCCTGGCCTCAAGTGATCCACCCGCCTTGGCCTCCCGAAGTGCCAGGATTACAGGCTTGAGCCACTGCGACTTTTTTTTAGACAGGGTCTTGCTCTTTCATCCAGGCTCCAGTGCAGTGGCACAATCATACCTCACTGCAGTCTCGAATTCCTGGGCTCAAGCAATCCTCCCACCTCCGCCTCCCAAGGAGCTGGGACTACAGGCGCAGACACTATGCCTAGCTTATTGTGTTATCTTCTGTAGAGACAGGGTCTCACTTTGTTGCCCAGGCTGGTCTCAAACCCCTGGGCTCAAGCACTGTGCCTGGCCACAAAAAGGCTTTTATTTGCTTCCTTATATTCATAGTTTGCAAAAGCTCACCCACAAAGAGTATCACCTTTTAAGATCCCAGTGACCCTCTCTGTTATGCAGGGAAGCTATTATTCTCCCCACTGTACAGCTGAGAATACTGAGGCCGAGAAAGGATAAATACCTTGCCTTAAGCCATAGCAAATAAGTGGCAGAACTTGAATTTAAACTCAGAACTCTGAAGTCCAGCCCCCTATCGCCTGTGATAGCCCGGTCAGAACAAAGAGAGTGGAACTTGGGAACCCCTGGAAGGCTGGTCTGAACCCCGCTCCTGGATCCCTCCCCAAGGCCCCAAGGAGTCCGGCCTCACCGTTCTAAAGTCGGGAGAAGGGCTGTTGTTCTGAGAAGCCCGGTTCATCGGCAACTTCCTGCCTCTCCCCCCAGGTGGCCCCGAACTCTGGCTGGCATCACAGCCTACCAGTCCTGCCTGCAGTATCCCTTCACCTCAGTGCCCCTGGGCGGGGGTGCCCCGGGCACCCGAGCCTCCCGCCGGTGTGACCGTGCCGGCCGCTGGGAGCCAGGGGACTACTCCCACTGTCTCTACACCAACGACATCACCAGGGTGCTGTACACCTTCGTGCTGGTGAGGAGAGGCTAGGGCACCCCACCAGCTCTGCTTCGGGGGCACAGGGAAGGGAGAAGCCAACCTAACGGGCAAGGGGAGCCCTATCTCCGGGCCGCTGGGCTGTGCCTCCTGTTCCTGCCTGTGCAGAGCCAGGAGCCGGCTCCTCTCCTCCAGCCGCCCTCTGCTATTCAGACCCACTGAGGCCACAGTGGGGAAGGGCACCAGTCCTCTGTCCCCATCTGGCCACCTCACGCCCCTTTACTCACCAACGCCAAAAGCAGAGTCCCACTGTCCTTACACCAGGGGTGCTGGCAGTGGTGGCCTTGGGCTGTGATGGTCTCAGCCTCCTCTGCCCTCCTAGCTTGATGAGACCCAGAAGGTAGGCTGGACTCCTGTCCCCAGGCACTGAGCACTGGCACAGAGCAGAGGGTCCCCAGGGGCAGTTCGGGGGCAGAAGGAACAGGCGAGATGATCCTCTCTCTTCCCCCAATCCCCAGATGCCCATCAATGCCTCCAATGCGCTGACCCTGGCTCACCAGCTGCGCGTGTACACAGCCGAGGCCGCTAGCTTTTCAGACATGATGGATGTAGTCTATGTGGCTCAGATGATCCAGAAATTTTTGGGTTATGTCGACCAGATCAAAGAGGTGAGACTCAGCTGGAACTCAGGAGCTCGGAAAACGCCCCCATCCCTCATTTGCTCAAGCCTCTCTCTCACTCCAGCTCCTGGGTCCCAAACCCCGCCCCTGCCCTCAGCAACTTCCCTGTCCCCCCAGCTGGTAGAGGTGATGGTGGACATGGCCAGCAACCTGATGCTGGTGGACGAGCACCTGCTGTGGCTGGCCCAGCGCGAGGACAAGGCCTGCAGCCGCATCGTGGGTGCCCTGGAGCGCATTGGGGGGGCCGCCCTCAGCCCCCATGCCCAGCACATCTCAGTGGTAATGGGGGTCAGCAGAGGGGGTGGCCCTGGCATGCAGAGGAGGGAGGCGCTCCCTCTCAGGCGTGCACCTGCCGTGCCCCAGCTAGCAAGAGCAGCAGACGTGACAAAGTTCTGAGCCATGGGGTTCACTTCCAAGTTGTCAGGGGCAGTGCTAAGGAGAGGTGGCCGGTGACCCTGGAGAAGTGATGCCAGACTCCGTGGTGGGGAACTGAGCCAAAGGGCCAGCCTGATGGGAATAAGCAGGAGGAAGAGTGAAAGGAGTAGAAGGGATGGGAGGAAGGCTTGGTGGCAGGGCAGACAGCACTCGGGATTGAGTGAAGAGTAATGGAAGTTCCCTGAGAGAAGGTGAGTGCTCCAATCTGATAACAACCACAGTACAGCATCGTGTATGTTCAAGATATTGTGCTAGGCCCTTGGGGCGATGCAAAGGGGTGAGACATGGAGCCTGCTCTACAGCTGAGTCGGGCAACAGAACTGGCATACTTAAGAGGTGAGCAAGAAGCCTGTAATCCCAGCACGTTGGGAGGCCGATACAGGAGGATCTCCCAAGGCCAGGAGTTGGAGACCAGCCTGGGCAACAGAGAGACCTGGTCTCCACAAAAAATACAAAAATTACCCAGGAGTGTTGGCATGCGCCTGTGGTCCCAGCTACTCGGGAGGCCAAGGTGGGAGGATCACTTGAGGCCTGGAATTTGAGACTAGCCTGGGCAACATGGTGAAACCCCATCTCTAAAAAAAAGTTTTTAATTAGATGGGCATGGTAGCATGCCTGTAGTCCCAGATACTCAGGAGGCTGAGGTGGGAGGATTACTTGAGCCCAGGATTTGTAGGCTGCAGTGAGCTGGTTGTGATGCTGCACTCCAGCCTGGGTGACATAGCAAGAATCTGTTCCTCTAAAAAAAAAAAGAGAGAGAGGTGGCTTTGAAAAAACTGAGGATTGAAGGGGAGGACTACAGCCTGAGCAGGCCCATTGAGAGAGATGTGCAGTCCCAAGCAGAAGGCCACCATCTCAAATGGTGGGATGACAAGGTCCCTGTCCCCAGAATGCGAGGAACGTGGCATTGGAGGCCTACCTCATCAAGCCGCACAGCTACGTGGGCCTGACCTGCACAGCCTTCCAGAGGAGGGAGGGAGGGGTGCCGGGCACACGGCCAGGAAGCCCTGGCCAGAACCCCCCACCTGAGCCCGAGCCCCCAGCTGACCAGCAGCTCCGCTTCCGCTGCACCACCGGGAGGCCCAATGTTTCTCTGTCGTCCTTCCACATCAAGGTGGGCGCTGGGGGAGGGAGAGGGGGTGGGAGAAGGGAGGCACTCAGATGCAGGTGCCTGGTGGGGGCAGTGAGAGGAGGTGGGAGGAGGGGGCTGCAAGACATCAGTGCTCTAGGGGGTCCTGGTGTCTCTGAGGAGCTCCTATGTCCCCCCAGAACAGCGTGGCCCTGGCCTCCATCCAGCTGCCCCCGAGTCTATTCTCATCCCTTCCGGCTGCCCTGGCTCCCCCGGTGCCCCCAGACTGCACCCTGCAACTGCTCGTCTTCCGAAATGGCCGCCTCTTCCACAGCCACAGCAACACCTCCCGCCCTGGAGCTGCTGGGCCTGGCAAGAGGCGTGGCGTGGCCACCCCCGTCATCTTCGCAGGAACCAGTAAGGGACTGAATTCCCCGCCCCGCCCAGGGTGCCTCTCGTGTGTCCGCCCTGTTCCCCTTTATCCTGCCCTTCCCTGGCCCACAGCCCCCCAGTGCCGTAGTGGAACTGACACAGGATGTTGGGTCTCTCACCTTTTCCCAACAGGGCAGAGGGTAGAGATACCCCATAAAGAAAGGGTCTGGAGGAGAAAAGCCTCAGGAAGACATTGCCTTCTATATCCCAGATTTGTTCAATTTCAAGAGGGCTATGAGCATAGCCCCCTCCAACACACACACACACACACACACACACACACACACACACACACACACACACACACACACACCCCACAGGCCCAATGCAGACAAGTAATGCTGAATAGGTGCCTGCTAGAAACAGCACTGTCACTGGTGCTGGAAGGAATAAAAACATCTAGGCCATAGTCCCTGCTCCCAGAGGCTACCTAAGCAGTAGAGGGTGAAGTAACCTCCCAGGGCAGCCACAGGAGAGGTTCCAGGCAGCTGCTGCACAGGCAGCCCAGGTGAGAAGCATCCTGAAAAGGCAACATGGCTCCAGCTGTCATGGCGGAGGTGGGACTGACACAGATGGGCCTTGAGGGATGATCAGGACTTTCAGAGACACCAAGGAAGGGCGGAGACCAGGGCAGAGGAATAACAACATGAGCAGAGGTGTGGTGGGTGGGAGACACCGAGTGTCTGACTCGCCACCCACCTGGGGGCCTGGCACCCAGAAAGCAGATGGATCACCTGCAGTCCCCCTTTTGTCGTTCCATCTCTCCCCCGGGACCAGCGACCCCACACCTGCCTTCTTTCTGCCAGTGATTCCACTGTTACTCCCACCATCCACGCTGACACCAGCCCATCTCTGGCCCCCACACCTCCACCTTCAGTCCATCCCTCATGCCGTCACCAGATTCACCTTCTGCAAACTGCACTTTGCACGTCAGAGAGCCCCTTCAAAGTCTTGGGTTGTTTCCCATCATCAGGACGTCTGCCTCCCTCCATGAGCCCTCTAGGGTCCTAGCGATGTGGCTGTACCCCCTTTGCCCAGCCAGAAGGCACTGCCACCCCACCGTGGGTTCCATCCTGTTCCTAGCACAGACTCTTGCTGTCAGGTCTTGCATTCTGGCCAGGGACACTCACTGAGTATCTGGTATGTGCCAGACTGTGCCTGAGCTGGGACACACCTGTGCACAGACAGTTACGGCTGTGTCCTTGAGGAACACACCCTTCAGCAGAGAGGACAGGCAGTGGACAAGTCGTTGTAAGTGCAGCTCGTTGTAAGTGAGCAGCAGTGAAGAGCAGCTCGTTGTAAGTGAGAAGCAGTGAAGTGTTTTGGAGGGCACAGGGATGAGGGACCACCCAACCTAGCTGGAGGCCAGCGAGGCCTTTCCCGAAAACCACTAAGACTTAAAGGACAAGTAAGGTGGCCTGAGGAAGGTGAAAGCCCTGTGTCCGCAACCGCGTGGGCTGTGGGAGTGTGTGGGTTGAGGCGGGTGGGTGAGGGGTCTGTGGAGCCCAGGGCCTGCTCCGGGAGCCCCTCTCCCACTGGGAACGCCTCCTCCTAGTCCTCTCTCCATCCCGCCCGCCTCCCTCCTCCCTCCTCCCTTCGCCTGGCTTCTGTTCCCTCCATCTGCATTTCTGTGTTCTTGTCCCTGAGCCCCCGCCAGCCTGAGTCCTCACCATGGAGCATGACATCACTGCTCATCCAGCACTCAGGGTGGGCCACCACAGAGGGCTCACATTTTCCACCATCATCCGCACCCACCCCCTCCAGGGTCCCCCATTAGACTGAGGCTGTCCTTGGCATCTCACCGCATGCCCCCAGCCCAGCACTGTGCCCTGCCTGGCAGGTGCCTAGTACACACCCTGTCACTGCTGCTGCTGCTGAGTCCCGGCTGAGCCCACCTCCCTGACACCCTGTGTGTGTCTGTGTGGACGTCCCTCTCCCGCTGTAGGTGGCTGTGGCGTGGGAAACCTGACAGAGCCAGTGGCCGTTTCGCTGCGGCACTGGGCTGAGGGAGCCGAACCTGTGGCCGCTTGGTGGAGCCAGGAGGGGCCCGGGGAGGCTGGGGGCTGGACCTCGGAGGGCTGCCAGCTCCGCTCCAGCCAGCCCAATGTCAGCGCCCTGCACTGCCAGCACTTGGGCAATGTGGCCGTGCTCATGGTGGGTGTGAGGAGGGGTGACAAGTCGGGGGGGCAGGGACACGGGCTGGGTGGAAAATGGGGGTGGGTGTACTCTGACCATTTGGGACCATGGAGAAATACAGAAAGGACTGCAGCCCTAATTGGGCCCCATGAGTGGTGGGATGTGGGGAAATGGCCCTTTGGCCTCTCCTACCTCTCCATCTTTCAGGAGACAGGGAGGTCCGGCCTCCATGCCTATATCCAGATAGTTGGATCTGATGGATCTGGAACTCCCGATGGATCTGGAACTCCCTAGCCTGGCCTTCACATCCTGCACTTTCTGAGACCAGATTTTTTTTTTTTTTTTTTTTTAGACGGAGTCTGGCTTTGTCACCAGGCTGGAGTGCAGTGGCATGATCTCGGCTCACTGCAACCTCCGCCTCCTAGGTCCAAGTGATTCTCCTGAGTCAGCCTCCCAAGTAGCTGGGATTACAGGCGTGTGCCACCATGCCCGGCTAATTTTTTGTATTTTTAGTAGAGACAGGGTTTTGCCATGTTGGCCAGGCTGATCTCAAACTCCTGACCTCAAATGATCCGCCCGCCTCAGCCTCCCAAAGTGCTGGGATTATAGGCATGAGTCACCGTGCCCAGCCGAGACTAGATTCTTACAAAGAAGAAAAAAATAATCTGGGAACCCTTCTCCTTCCTGGTCACCCCCTCCCTCGTGGCACGTGGTACTGCCACTCTCCAGTCCTGCAGGCCTGCTGCTGGTCACAGGCAGCACCTGCTCCCTTTCTCCTCATCTCTGGTTTTTCAGGCTGAGGGTGTGAAGAGTCCTCAGCAAAGCAGGACTGGAGGCAGGGAAGGGGCTGCAGTAGCTGGCTCCATAGGGCTGGCTTCCTAAGAGTGGACAGCCCGAAGCTTTCCTCCCTGCCCAGATGAACTAAGCACCAAAGTGCAGGACCAAGGCTGACGGGGCCTGGGAAGAGGAAAGCTGGCCTGGGGGCCTGGCGAGGTGTCCACATTCCTCACGTCCTCCTTCCTGCCCTTTCCCAGGAGCTGAGCGCCTTTCCCAGGGAGGTGGGGGGCGCCGGGGCAGGGCTGCACCCCGTGGTATACCCCTGCACGGCCTTGCTGCTGCTCTGCCTCTTCGCCACCATCATCACCTACATCCTCAACCACAGGTGGGTGCTCCTGCAGGAGGGAGGGCGTGGTGGGCAGGCATGGAAGGGGCCCCTACCCTGTCCACTTCCCGTCCTATGCTCCGGTACATACTTTCAATTCCAGCTTTGCAATGGGGGAGGGACTCCGAGGCAGGTGTAGGAAACCTCCCAGCATGGGTGCAGGGTGGACTCACTGAGGACTTGGCAGGGGTTTTTTCCCCAGGTGGGTCCACATGACTTTCTCAGCCTCTCACCCATTGGGGTTGGAATCACTTTGAGGGGTTAAGGACTCCCTACCCTATGGCCTCTGTCACATTCCCAACCATTCACACACGCAGATATGTGCCTGCCCCCCGTGGCTCTCCCAGTGGCCTTGAGACCCCATGGGCCTGACCTTGGGTTGGACGGCCATTAATTCGAGACTGTTTCCGGGCAGCTCCATCCGTGTGTCCCGGAAAGGCTGGCACATGCTGCTGAACTTGTGCTTCCACATAGCCATGACCTCTGCTGTCTTTGCGGGGGGCATCACACTCACCAACTACCAGATGGTCTGCCAGGCGGTAAGCAGGAGAAGGGGCTCTGGGGGTGGTGCTCCGAGATGAGTGCTGGCACCTAGGCATAGAGTGGGGTGATGCGCTGGAAGAAAAAGGCTGGTGCTCATAGGCCGTGGCTCCATGGCTTCCTCTGTGGCAGCCTTGGAAGGCAGGGATGGTGGGTCGTGGAGAGTGAAAGTAGGGGGTGGTAAGAACCAGATCAGAGAGAATGGGAGATGGGCTTCAAAGTGGAAATGGAGACGTGCAGTGGTGGGGAGGTGGGGGATCAGCCAGATAGCCATATCAGGGTCATGGGAAGCCCTGCAATGGGAGAGAACCCTGGGGTGAAGGCAGAGGGTGGCAGTAGGGATGGAAGCTTGGCGAGTGTATGGGGAGTGGGCTGGGTAAAGTAAAAAAGCTGGGGGCCGGAGGCTGGAAGCCTGGGAGGACACCAGCAGGACTGAAGCTCTGGGAGGGTCCAGTCGTAGTCCCCAGGTCCCCAGCCTCCGTGCCTTGACCCCGCAGGTGGGCATCACCCTGCACTACTCCTCCCTATCCACGCTGCTCTGGATGGGCGTGAAGGCGCGAGTGCTCCATAAGGAGCTCACCTGGAGGGCACCCCCTCCGCAAGAAGGGGACCCCGCTCTGCCTACTCCCAGTCCTATGCTCCGGTACATACTTTCAATTCCAGCTTTGCAATTGGGGAGGGACTCCAACGCAGGCGTAGGAAACCTCCCAAGGTGGGTGAAGGGTGAGTCTAAGGTCCCTGGGAGATCACTCTCCAAAGACGGGGGAGGCTAGGCCCTAGACTCAGCAGGTCACACAAGACCATGCAGTGGGGGACATCTTGCGGGCTTCTGGGGCATGACAAAGCCAGGGAAGGAGATGACTCCAAATGCCATGGCAAGGATCCTGGGAACCTGAGTGGCACCCCTGACTTCTGCACTGTTTAGGGTGAGAGAGCAATTCTGGCCTCTGCCCCTTAGAACAGTCATGGCCAAGTCCAAGTAGTCCCTGCAGGGACCTTGCATCCCTGGCAAAAAATTCTGATAATTTAAAGGGGAAAGAGGATGGGACAGAAACATCAAGCAAAGGGCTCTAAGCACCCAGTTCTTCCCTTCCCTTTCCCCATCTCTGGGACCCCCAATCCCTCATTCCCTCCAGGTTCTATTTGATCGCTGGAGGGATTCCACTCATTATCTGTGGCATCACAGCTGCAGTCAACATCCACAACTACCGGGACCACAGCCCCTAGTGAGCACCCCTCCCTCCCGCCCCAAGCCTACCTACCTAACACCAGATGCCTTCCACTCCACTGGCAGGGCCATCTGCCAGGTCCACCCAGCCATAACCCAACCCAAGCCCATGCATGCTGACCAAGCCGTCCTTGTCTCCGTACTCACCATATCCTGTCTCCCCAACCACCCCGGCCCCCAGCCCCACCCCAGCCATGCCCCCTGTCCTCATCACTGCTTCTGTGTCTCCTACAGCTGCTGGCTGGTGTGGCGTCCAAGCCTTGGCGCCTTCTACATCCCTGTGGCTTTGATTCTGCTCATCACCTGGATCTATTTCCTGTGCGCCGGGCTACGCTTACGGGGTCCTCTGGCACAGAACCCCAAGGCGGGCAACAGCAGGGCCTCCCTGGAGGCAGGGGAGGAGCTGAGGGGTTCCACCAGGCTCAGGGGCAGCGGCCCCCTCCTGAGTGACTCAGGTTCCCTTCTTGCTACTGGGAGCGCGCGAGTGGGGACGCCCGGGCCCCCGGAGGATGGTGACAGCCTCTATTCTCCGGGAGTCCAGCTAGGGGCGCTGGTGACCACGCACTTCCTGTACTTGGCCATGTGGGCCTGCGGGGCTCTGGCAGTGTCCCAGCGCTGGCTGCCCCGGGTGGTGTGCAGCTGCTTGTACGGGGTGGCAGCCTCCGCCCTGGGCCTCTTCGTCTTCACTCACCACTGTGCCAGGCGGAGGGACGTGAGAGCCTCGTGGCGCGCCTGCTGCCCCCCTGCCTCTCCCGCGGCCCCCCATGCCCCGCCCCGGGCCCTGCCCGCCGCCGCAGAGGACGGTTCCCCGGTGTTCGGGGAGGGCCCCCCCTCCCTCAAGTCCTCCCCAAGCGGCAGCAGCGGCCATCCGCTGGCTCTGGGCCCCTGCAAGCTCACCAACCTGCAGCTGGCCCAGAGTCAGGTGTGCGAGGCGGGGGCGGCGGCCGGCGGGGAAGGAGAGCCGGAGCCGGCGGGCACCCGGGGAAACCTCGCCCACCGCCACCCCAACAACGTGCACCACGGGCGTCGGGCGCACAAGAGCCGGGCCAAGGGACACCGCGCGGGGGAGGCCTGCGGCAAGAACCGGCTCAAGGCCCTGCGCGGGGGCGCGGCGGGGGCGCTGGAGCTGCTGTCCAGCGAGAGCGGCAGTCTGCACAACAGCCCCACCGACAGCTACCTGGGCAGCAGCCGCAACAGCCCGGGCGCCGGCCTGCAGCTGGAAGGCGAGCCCATGCTCACGCCGTCCGAGGGCAGCGACACCAGCGCCGCGCCGCTTTCTGAGGCGGGCCGGGCAGGCCAGCGCCGCAGCGCCAGCCGCGACAGTCTCAAGGGCGGCGGCGCGCTGGAGAAGGAGAGCCATCGCCGCTCGTACCCGCTCAACGCCGCCAGCCTAAACGGCGCCCCCAAGGGGGGCAAGTACGACGACGTCACCCTGATGGGCGCGGAGGTAGCCAGCGGCGGCTGCATGAAGACCGGACTCTGGAAGAGCGAAACTACCGTCTAAGGTGGGGCGGGCGACGCGGTAGACGGGCTGGCCACGCGGCTCGTTCCCCCGCTCCTCGGGGCCCTCCAAGGTGTCTCCGTAGTCAGCAGGTTGGAGGCAGAGGAGCCGATGGCTGGAGGAAGCCCACAGGCGGATGTTCCCCACTTGCCTAGAGGGCATCCCTCTGGGGTAGCGACAGACAATCCCAGAAACACGCATAATACATTTCCGTCCAGCCCGGGGCAGTCTGACTGTCGGTGCCCTCCCAGGAACGGGGAAGGCCTCCGTCTGTGTGAAAGGGCACAGCACATCCCAGGTGCACCCTCCCCAAGTACTCCCACCCCGCCTACTGTCCATGCGGCCTCACTGGGGGCCATCAGCCTCACCAGCAAAGCAGAGATGAGAGCGTGGGAACTGTGTTCTTTCCTCCCTGCCCTCTACTGATTTCAGCCCAGCCCCTGCCTAGATCCTAGGTCCCTTTTCCTCCCGAGTTTGGCTGGCACGAGAGCTAGCCCAGCACATGAAGCAGGTGATGTTAAGTCACAAGGTGCTGCTTTTCAGATCCACTATGCAAGAGGGGAGGGTGGGGCCACGTGAAAGGCAGCTCTAGACATCAACCAGTCCTGGGGGAGGGGAGTGGGAACCGGGCACAACTAGGAACAATGCCACCATTCCCACAGGAGTGGTACTTAAACCAGACAGCAGGGTTCAGAGGTGGCACACCGGGACAAAGCTGAGGCCCTGCACCTCAACAGCTGACTGCCAGGTGCCTGTGGGTGAACTGAGGGGAGTAGAGGGAGAGGGCAGGTGGAACTGGGGCAGAATCTAGTCATGCCCTAAAGCTAGTCCTGTAAACAATGGTGCCCCAGAAAGCTGCAGGTGGTGTTTGGAGAAGCAGTTACTTTTCAGTTACAAGACCCATCTCCCTAGTCTCAGCCTTACAACACCACGGGACTAAGGAAGAGCACTTCCTTGCCTCCGTAAGGCCAGAGGAAGAACCATCCCAATCATTTGATCTCCAGCTCCACAGTAGAGAGAAACCTACAAAATGTCAAACCAGCTTCCCGACTCCCAGGAGCTCAAGCCAAGCCCAGAGGCAGTGGCTGGGGTCCCTGCAGGTCATGAGGGGCCTATGCCTTTACTCCTTTTAAACACCAGCACCCGTCTTTTCCCCAACCTAAAACCAACCACCAGCATTTCACTACAGGACCAAATGGAAACCGAGGGAACCCTGGGTCTTGGGAAGAACAACAGGAAACCAAGGTCTGACCTAGGGTTCCCTCCCAGTCTTCACATCACTCTGGCCTCATCACCAAGGTGACAGAGGACACAGGGGAGGGGGAAAACCCACACACACTCCTTGGAATGGGTCCTGTTATTTATGCTTGCTGCACAGACATATTAGAAGAAAAAAAAAAGCTTTGTATTATTCTTCCACATATGCTGGCTGCTGTTTACACACCCTGCCAATGCCTTAGCACTGGAGAGCTTTTTGCAATATGCTGGGGAAAGGGGAGGGAGGGAATGAAAGTGCCAAAGAAAACATGTTTTTAAGAACTCGGGTTTTATACAATAGAATGTTTTCTAGCAGATGCCTCTTGTTTTAATATATTAAAATTTTGCAAAGCCCTTTGAGCTACTGCCTTAGTCTACCCACTGTCCTTTTGTTATGAGGTAGAGGATCTCATGACACCATACACACAAACCCATCATTGCCTGTGAATGCACGTAGGGCCAGAATTCCCCAGTTCCCGCTCCTCTGAGGGTTGATACTGCTGGGAATGCCAACCACTCCACAAGCAGAGGGAAGCCCCCTCAGGCCTGCAGGAGGAGCCGCAGCAGTGTGTCCAATTCAAACCAGCAGCAAAGAGCCTGACATTTTCCCATCCATCTATGAGGAAAGCCATCTCACAGAACATGGACATAGGCAACTTGCTCTCCCACACCAAGGGATGGGAATCTCTCCTACCTATAGTCATCCCTGCACTCCTGACTTTACTCCAGGACCCAGGGTCCAACTAATGGCAGAGCCCCTCTTGGTTCCTTCAAACAAGAAAAGCAATACCTACGGACTGGTGTACACTTCCATCCTTGGTTATAACAGGAATGTTATCAAGCTGTCAGAACAGGATGAAGTGCTCCCAGTGGATATCCATCAGGGAGGGTTAGGGACACTCGTGGCAGCCTGTCTAGCAGCCTGGGCTCTCTGAAAGTCCCTAACTTCCTGAGGGGTACGCAAATACTGTTCTATTTCACTATCAGAAATGTTCTCATCTCCAGTGACAGTGGAGACAGGGGGTACAGGGCAGATCCGCTTCGGGGACTTCAACATGCAGGGTGGCAAGAGAAGGGCAGGACTGGCCGGCCGCTTCCCCTGGGGTAAACCTAAGGAATTATTTCCCACCTCCCCTTCTCCTTGCCCCTGTCCCCACCCCGGTGGCTCCTTCTCTCGGGTCTCCACTTCTGCTGTCCCATCCCGAAAGGCAGAGCGGACCAGTGACTGGCGGTGCTGGAGAAGGTCACCGATGTGCTTCACCACAGACCGTTTGTCAAGTCTCAGAACTCGTAACCAGGCCAGCTGCTCAGCCATCCGCAGCAGCACAGCCAGCAGCTCCTGCAGGCGGGAGGACGCCGGGTAGGGCAGGTCCACATTTGCCAATTTACAAAATCGGGCAAGGGAACATGAAAGCCGATCTGCAGGCTGCAGCGACTGCCAAGCCAGGAAAGTCGCAGCAGTGATGACGGGCAAGGGATGCCTCCCGGTCACCAGCCACGTCTCATTTGCCAGCTCCACCAACTGCATTGTTCGAGACAGCATCTTCTCTTTGTCTTCCACGTATTTGGCTGGCACAGAAGGTGAAGCTTGGAACAGTTTGAAGCTGAAATAACCAAAATGAGGGTTGGATCTTAATGATATAGGGGCTGCTCTCCCACAGTGAGGAAAGACAGCCCACTCAAGATGGGGAAGCTATTCTGCCCTCAGGAATACTCAAGCTCACTGGGCAGCAAGTTAATAAAGGTAGTGAGAGAAAACAGGGCGTCTTCCGCTTGTTAGGGGAAGGTGGAGGGATGGAGGAGAGCACGAACATTTATTGGGCGCCTCCCAATCACCATTATTCTGAGTGCTTTACAACGTTCTCATTTAATCTACGTGCACGTGCACCATCTTATGTGCATGTATAGTTAAAAAACTTTCCCATAGTCATCCAGCCAGGCAGTAACCAAGCTTCAAATACAAGGCTATTTGACACCAACAGCCTCTACTTTCAACGTTATTTATCAGAAAAAAGAAAAGAACATAGCTACTTCAAATGAGAAAAGAGCCAGGCGCAGTGCTCACGCCTGTAATACCTGCATTTTGGGAGGATCAGGTGGGCAGATCGCTTGAGCCCATGAGTTCCAGGCTGCAGTGAGCTATGATGGTGCCACTGCACTCCAGGCTGGGTGAAAGAGACCCTGTCTTTAAAAAAACTAGAAAAGACTTAGCTTCTAAGCCCAGTTATGTCATTAACTAATATACTTTCAGCTTCCTCTGCAGATGATCCTGCTGAGACAGAGCTGGGCATTCAGCCACAAAGCCCATGGCACAGCACAACTCTAGGAACTGCCATGCACAGAGCACAAAACATGAGTGGTGCAACTCAGCAGCCCTGTGCCAAGACTCAGACCTATTTTCCCCAAGTCATTAGGTTGCTGTGAAGGCAAAGGGGTTTGAAAATTATAGCATTCTTTGGCGGGGTGCAGTGGCTCACACTTGTAATCCCAGCACTTTGGGAGGCTGAGGTGGGTAGAACGCTTGAGTCCAGGAGTTCAAGACCAGCCTGGGCAACATGGCGAAACCCCATCTCTACTAAAAACAAAAAATTAGCCAGGCATGGTGGCATGCACCTGTAGTCCCAGCTACTTGGGAGGCTGAGGCACAAAAATCACTTGAACCCGGGAGGTGGAGGTTGCCGTGAGCCGAAATCATGCCACTGCTCTCCAGCCTGGGCAACACAGCAAGACTCGGTCTCAAAAAAAAGAAAATTATAGCATTCTAAAAATGTAAAACAATATTAACCTTATGAGTACAAGTTTAAACTAAAGATCTTTCTCCCACATCCTTTTACATGGGCTTTGGTAAAAAAGAGATGGCCAAGGCCGGGTGCGGTGGCTCACGCCTGTAATCCCAGAACTTTGGGAGGCCGAGGCAGGCGGATCACCTGAGGTCAGGAGTTCGAGATCAGCCTGGTCAACATGGTGAAACCCTGTCTCTACTAAAAATGCAAAGAAAAACAAAAAAATTAGCCAGGCATGGTGGCAGGCACCTGTAATCCCAGCTACTCTGGAGGCTGAGGCAGGAGAATAGCTTGAACCCCGGAGGCGGAGGTTGCAGTGAGCTGAGATCGTGCCACTGCACTCCAGCCTGGGTGATAAGAGCAAGACTCCAAGAAAAAAAAAAAGAGATGGCCAAAGGTCAAAGGATTCAGGTCTAAGGACCCATCCCATCCCATCCTACTGTCTCCCACCAGGGACGTACCTGCTGCAATAGGTCTTCACCAGTTCTGCCAAGCACAGAGATGGCACATCCAGTCCCAGGAGCTTCACTATCTGCATGTAAGTGCTAGAAAACACATCCAAATCTGCATACAACAGCGTGCAGATGGCCCCCATTGTTAGGGGCCAGTTATGCTGTCGGCAGGTGATTAAGACGCAGCACCCAACCAACACCTCCTTCTTTTGCAGCCTGGCCGCTCGGATGCCAGAGTGCCGATATGCCTGTTGGTAGTAGGCAACCGCGGTATCCTCAAATGTTGGTGGCAACTGCAGAACTCGACAAAGGTCTCTCACTCGCCGGAGACCTAGGAAAAACCCACGGCAAGAGTTAGAGGGGTCAAAGGAGCTATCGTGCAACTCCTAGAAAATTCTGCTAGGACTTACTTAGATCTGCTAAACTTGCCTCAGATATCAGATGCACAAATTATGTACCTTTCTGCATAGACAGGAGTGACACTTGGTATAGTCATTCTAAAGACACAAAAACATTTGTGTAAAGAAGTCACATTTCAGCCCACTAGTTTTTGCAGGCTGGTTTGATTCAGGGCCAAGCCCAAGTTTTATCCAGGCTCTTAGAGGCTACCTCAAACATACGTCTGATCAAACCCAAACCTTATACTGAATTGCTGCCTCTCTCAGAACCATCCCTATTTGTTTTATTTATTTTATTATTTTCTGAGACAGAGTCTGGCTCAGTTGCCCAGGCTGAAGTGCAGTGGCGCCATCTTGGCTCACTGAAACCTCCTCCTTCCAGGTTTAAGTGATTCTCCTGCCTCAGCCTCCCGAGTAGCTGGGATTACAGGTGTGCACCACCAGGCCCAGCTAATTTTTGTATTTTTAGTAGAGACGGGGTTTCACCATGTTGGCCAGGCTGGTCTTGAACTCCTGACCTCAAGCGATCTGCCCGTCTCGGCCTCCCAAAGTCTGGGATTACAGGTGTGAGCCACCATCCCCATTTTAAATTCCTAATTACCATTCTCTTCTACTCTACCTCACACCAGCAATGCTGAAAATAGGAAAAGTGAAAAGCTGGGCTAGGCCACCAGGATAGTTTTCTTTTATTATTATTATTATTATTATTATTATTATTATTTTTTGAGACAGAGTCTCGCTCTGTCACCCAGGCCGGAGTGCTGTGGTGCGATCTCGGCTCACTGCAAGCTCCGCCTCCCGGGTTCACGCCATTCTCCTGCCTCAGCCTCCCGAGTAGCTGGGACTACAGGCACCCACCATCACGCCCGGCTAATTTTTTTGTATTTTTAGTAGAGATGGGGTTTCATCGTGTTAACCAGGATGGTCTCAATCTCCTGACCTCGTGATCCGCCCGCCTCGGCCTCCCAAAGTGCTGGGATTACAGGCATGAGCCACCGCGCCCGGCTCATTATTATTTTTTTGAGATGGAGTCTCACTCTGTCACCCAGGCTGGAGTGCAGTGGCGCGATCTCAGCTCACTGCAACCTCCACCTCCCAGGTTCAAGCGATTCTCCTGCCTCAGCCTGCCAAGTAGCTGGGACTACAGGTACATGCCACCATGCCCAGCTAATTTTTGTATTTTTAGTAGAGACGGGGTTTCGCTATGTTTGCCAGGCTGGTCTTGAACTCCTGACCTCAGGTGATCCACCTGCCTAGGCCTCCCAAAGTGCTGGGATTACAGGCGTGAGCCACAGCACCTGGCCTAGGATAGTTTTCTTTAAAGCCACTGTGTTGTAAAAGGTCAATTCTCACCTCGTTGCTGGCTGCGACTAACTTGTTCGTTTTCCCCTGTGCTTCGGGAATATGTTACCTCTGTAAGATAATAAACAACAAATAGTGTGCTTAGCCTTTATTCATCAGACCCCTGCCCTCCCACCACACAAAACCAGGACGCAAAATTCAAATCATTGAGCATCTGCTGCTGCACAGTTAAAGGCCCCATCTGGTTTTCTATGTCTACAAGAGGTTCCGAATACACAGAGACTGGGAAAGGTTAGGACTGCATTAAAGCAGCTCCAAGTGTTCCAAATTTCCAGTCATCCTTCCAGTACATTCCATACAGGCAATTTTCCTAGCAGCAGATTTTGTTGTTGTTTGTTTAAGGAGTTTCCCTCTATAGTCCAGGCTGGAGCACAGTGGTGCGATCACAGCTCACGGCAGCCTTCAACTTCCAGGCTCAAGCAATCCTCCTACCTCAGATTCCTGGGTAGCTGGGATTACAGGTGTATGCCACCATACCTGGCTAATTAAAAAAAAATTTTTTTAGGCACTTGTCTCGTTACGTTACCAAGGCTGGTCTCGAGATCCTGGGCTCAAGCAATCCTCTCGGCTCTGCCTCCCAAAGCACTGGGATTACAGGCGTAAGCCACCCCACCCAGACAATGGCTGCAGATTTTGAGGGCTGCACTGGTCAGAAACTTGGAAAGCAAAGAAAAGTGATGTTTTGCCAGTTTGTGCTTAAAACTATTTCAGGGTAATAATACCTGCTATAATCGTATCGGCAATCCTTCCACAATGACCAGACATGGCAAGATGAGTGGAACTTTTGTTTCTGTCTCACTTATTCAATATTTATTACACGCACCATCTATGCCCGATACTAAGTGCTGGGAAAACACAGATGAATGGCAGCCCCCATCTCCTTCAGCTCCCTCGCTCACTTTAGGTCATTTTCTCTCAAATTAAGTGTGTGCGTTACAGTTAGGAGTATGGGGGGAGCGGGGAGGCAAAAGGAATCTGATGTTAATCCCTCCACCGCCCCAGGCTGTCCCCAGGGCCACAAGTACCTCGGAGATTGCCCTCGTCGCTGAAGGTAGTGGTAAGGACCCCCTCGGTGACCACGCAGCCGCAGTCGGAGCACACCAGCTGGCTCTGCGAATAGTGCGAGTCTTCCACCAGCTCCGTGGAGCCGCAGTCCGGGCAGCGGCCTCTGCCTGGCATCTCACAACCGGCCCCAAAGCCGCGGAAGCCTTCAGAGACTCCTGGGTCTGCAACAGCAACCGTGAGGCAGCAAGAAGTAGGAGGGGACACTTCAAAGGGTTGCACCCCCGTCTTCCGGCCAGCGCGACGGAGGCATAGGCGGTTCCCTCCGCTGGGAGGCTGCGCGCCACTTCCGGTCTGTGCCTCCGCGGGCTCGGGTAGAAACGTGAGCTAGGAGAGGAGGTTCCTGGGCTGAACTGTAGCTGTCTGGTTTCCCTGCACTCTGTAGTTAGTTTTTGGGACCTAGACTGGGGTTGAATTTGGGAAAGTTTTTGCCTACATGGACACGTATAACAGACAGAAGATTGTTGTCACCCCTGAACAACCCTCCTTTTAAAGTCCTAAGGGAATCGCAGGTTGGTAATGAATGTTTAATTGGCCATAGAAGAAAGTATATTTTTTAAAGGGAGAGTAGTGGAGAGAGAGCGGGAGCAGGAAACTGTGTTCTGCTTTCCAGAGCTGCTTCCTAAAGCAGATTCCTTCCTCTCTTTACCTCCTGTTTTTCTCAACTGTAAAATGAGGAAGTTGAAAAAAAAATCCAGAGATGCAAACCCAAACGCTTTTGGAGGCCAGGCAGGAATGTCTAAAGGAGTTTGGAGTGAAAGAATATGGAGTGATGGAGACCTGGAGCGGCGCAAGCACGCAGATTCAGATGTTTTTTAAAAAACCTTGAGCTATCTGGGCGTGGTGGCTCACGCCTGTAATCCCAGCACTTTGGAAGGCCGAGGCAGGTGGATCACCTGAGCTCGGGAGTTTGAGACCAGCCTGGGCAACATGGTGAAATCCCGTCTCTACTAAAAATACACAAAAATTAGCTGGGCGTGGTGGTGCACGTCTCTAATCCCAGCTACTCAGGAGGCTGAGGCAGGAGAATCGCTTGAACCCAGGAGGCGCAGGAGGCGCAGTGAGCCAAGATCGCGCCACTGCACTCCAGCCTGGGTGGCAGAGCGAGACTCCATCTCAAACAAAATAAAACATACCTTTAAGAAGTGTCACTCCCTTCTTTTCCACACCCAGTTTTTACACGTGATATCCAAACCTAAAGACACCATCCCTTCCCTAAGAGACTGCTTTCTCAGAGTGTGAGAATCACTACTCCTTTTCAGAGACATCCCGTCCATTCCCATGGGGATCGCTCACATTGGAGGGCCAAGAGACACAATAATACCCAACGGTCCTTTCTCTTCAATTTGAATTACTTTAGTATCATAACAGAAGGGGGCTTCAGCACATTAATCGTGGGTGGGATCCGGCAGTCCAAGCCCCCCCGCCTTTTCTAGACCTCCCCACTAGCGTGAGATACAGGATGAGAGCTTATTTCTGGCTGTCTGACAGTTAAATATTAAGATACATTTGCACATGCGCACCCGCACACACACACCACTCAGAGACATCCATTAGTTTTAGTGTGGTTGACATTCTTATTTGGATGAAGAAAGTGTCCCTGAAAGCGACATAACTTGCACTGGGAACAGTTCCTTGCATGATCACACAGCAGAGCATCAGACTCCCCTCATCCCCAGTTGTGTGCAGATCTTGAACCTACCTTCACTTTTTTTTTAAGCGGGACTTTACAGAGCCCATCTACCTAGGACAGAAGCCTTGAAATCCTGCCTGACCCAACCTGATTGATTGTAAAGTGGAAAAGCAGTTTTATGATCCTGCAGCCAGCCACGGAAGGAGAAAGCTGGTTGTCTTTCCCAGTCACACATGATGTACTTACTGGGAGCCTAGGAGAGCCTGGTCCTCGGGCACACACAGGCTGGGAGGGGGCAGGGTCCAGGCCAGAAGATGGCGCCCTCTACTAAGATGTGTAAGTTTGGGGTTCTCCACTTTCTCAGGAAGAAGTCCATTTATTTGGGAAATGTATTTGCCTTGCTCCAGGAAATCTGGACAGACGTGGAAATCATCTTGGTGCCCTCTCCACTGCTCCCAGTTCTTCTAAGAGTTATCATTCCTGGTAGTGATTATCTTATTTTTTAATTTTATTTATTTATTTATTTTGAGAGGAGTCTCACTCTGTCGCCCAGGCTGAAGTGCAGTGGCACAGTCTCAGCTCACTGCAGCCTCCACTTCCCGGGTTCAAGCAATTCTTCTGCCTCAGCCTCCCAAGTAGCTAGGACCACACGCGCCCACCACCATGCCTGGCTAGTTTTTGTATTTTTAGTAGAGATGGGATTTCACCGTGTTGGCCAGGCTGGTCTCAAACTTCTGACCTCAGGTGATCTGCCCACCTCGGCCTCCCAAAGTGCTGGGATTACAGGCATGAGCCACCATGCCTGGCAGTGATTATCTTTTTAACAGATGCCCCGAGTGCCCAGGGTGGGCTTGGCCAGAGCAGAAAGCTAGTCATGGGGAGGCCATTGAACAGCAGCCCAGCTGTGGTCCAGATGTATAATGCTGACATTGAGGCCAGAGTTCTTTGTAGAGGGGAGAGTAGAGGAAGGCACTGAGGAAGAGGAGGATCTGGCACCTGAATGCAGTCCTCTTCCTCCCTCGATTGGCTGTGTACATTCTAGTTCGTTGTTTGACTTTCTCTTTGAATGGAAGTCTCTATGGGAACAAGCTGGCTTTCTCATCCTTGTGTCCCCAGGAGTACCTCCTAAAGTGAGGGCTGGCATTCAGTAAAGAGGAGTTCAACTCCCGTGAATTCCTGTCCTAGGTGGGCCTATCCAAAGCACCAAATGGGCCAGGCACGTGGCTCATGACTGTAACCCTAACACTTTGGGAGTCTGATGTGGGAAGACAGCTTGAGGCCAGGAGTTCGAGACTGTCCTGGGCAACATAGTGAGACCGCAGCCCCTCTCAAAACAAATAGCAGGGTATAGTGGTGTGCACTTGTAGTCCCAGCTACTTGGGAGGCTAAGGCAGGAGGATCACCTGAGCCCAGGAGTTAAAAGGTTGCCATGAGCTATGATTGCACCACTGCACTCCAGCCTGGGTAACAGAGTGAGACCCTGACTCAAAAAAAAAAAAAGGATGAAGAAGAAGGAGCACCACATAGACCCAGTTCCTCTGAAGCAGACCCATTTCCATCTAGAGCAAGTGACTGCTGAGAGTGGGCTGCTCTCCAGGCCTGCCTTCCAGCCTCAGCCCTGGGCTCCTCTCAGCTTAGCTGATGATGCTTTGCGACCCCGACCCAGTTTCACCGAGCCCTGAGTACAGCTCGCACGGTGGCACTGGGCCTGGCAGTTGCCTCAGATTTGGAGCCTTTCTGACTGGACTTCCTTCCCACCACTCTTTAGTGGGCACTTCCCGATGAGATAGCCTCAGGGCAGAGCATGGCCAGGGCTTCCCAAATCCCCGTGCCAAGCACCTTTCCTCACTCATATGCAGCTTCCCCTCTGCATAGTTTAGTCTGCCCCTCCCAGCCATTTCTCTCTGGGCTAAAGATTCACACGTTCAATTTCTTGAACTCCTAGGAACAAAGGCATCTGGTAACTCCAGGAAGGTGGTCACAGCACAGACCTGGTGCACTGCGTAGTCCAGGGCAACCTGACCTGGAACGCCTCTCTGCTGGGAGGCTGAGGCTCATCTGGCCTTATGGAAAGTCCTGAGAGAGGATTGAGTCATATGGCCTCCATTTTCCTTGCCCGCCCCAATCCTCCGCAATTCCAAGTAAATGATATAATGTTATATTCCTGCCCCTCAAAGCGATCCTAGCCTAGGGGTTGGCAAACTTATTCTTTTCTATTTTTTAAAAATATTTTTAATTAAAAAAATTTTTTTTTGTAGAAACAGGATCTCACTATGTTTCCCAGGCTGGTCTCAGACTCCTGGGCTCAGGCGATCCTCCTGCCTCCGCCTCCCAAAATGCTGGGTTTACAGGCATGGGCCACCACACCCAGCCATCAGACTTACCCGGCCATCATACCTTTTCTATAAAAGGCCAAATAGTAAATATTTTGGGTTTTTGGGACAATAGCTACTCTGTTGCAATTACTCAACTCAGCTGTTGTAATGTGAAAACAGCCATAGACAGTTACGTAAACAAACAAACGGTCATGGCTGTATCCAATAAAGCTTCATCTATGGGTGCTGAAATTCAATTTCATATGATTTTTTGTTTTGTTTTAAAACCAAAGTTTATTCCGGCCAACTTATCGTACTGGTATGATAACAGCTCATAGATCAGAAATGGTCTGTTTTAAACCTTCCTATCCATATTGAACACAATGATGTTGAGGTAAAAGGGGCCCTTTCTTCTTCTTCTTCTTCTTTTTTTTTTTTTTTTTTTTTGAGACAGGGTCTTGCTCTATTGCCCAGGTTGGAGTGCAGTGGTACCATCTCGGCTCACTGCAACCTCCATCTCCTGGGTTCGAGCAATTCTCATGCCTCAGCCTCTTGAGTAGCTGGGATTACAGGTGTGTGCCGCCACACCCAGCTAATTTTTGTATTTTTAGTGGAGACAGGGTTTCACCATCTTGGCCAGGCTGGTCTCGAACTTCTGACTTCAGGTGATCCACCCACCTCGGTCTCCCAAAGTGCTGGGCTTATAGGCATGAGCCACTGCACCCAGCTGAGAGACCCTTTCTCTAAATGAAAATACAATACTTATCCTATGTACTTCTGGAGGGTCCAGAGATGTGGAAGTCATGTATTCGTAAGAATCGTATTAAACAATCTTTATTTGAAAAATAGTACCAATAGTACCATACAATCCTAATGCTATCTAACTTTAATAAGAGCAATTTCAGCATCAACTAGTGAACAGTAGCTAAACTAACAGAAATCAGTCAGAAGTGCTTTAACAGGAGCAGCACTGGCTGACATTCTGCTGGGTCTCTAGGTATTCAGGACCCAGGGAAAACAGAATCAAACCGGCAGGGGTGAGAGCTGAGAGCCGAATGGTCACGTTAGAAAGGCAGCACCCCGGCCTCCAGCAATGAGCAGAGTGACTCAGCCTCCATCTCCCGTCCCTCAGGAGCACAGTGAGCTCCTGCCCAGGACCCATTTCTCGGCTTCCCTTCACCAGACTCCCACCAGATCCCCACCGGACGATGGTGGTGGCCTCTCTGGCCCTACCGGGGACTGGGAGCAGGGAGGGGAAGGGTGGCTGACGGGCATGAGGTGAGCAGGCAGCCTGTGGTCTCTGGGTGCAGCCTGGTCTGGCCAAGGCGCCTCCTCAGGGCCCGCCCCTGCCCTGGTACAGGCCTCTATATAATTTTCTTTCCCCTGACATGGAAGTTTCGTTGTGTCGCCCAGACTGGAGTGCAGTGGCATAATCTCGGCTCAATGCAACCTCTGCCTCCTGGGTTCCACCAATTCTCCTGCCTCTGCCTCCCAAGTACCTAGGATTACAGGTACCCGCCACCATGCCATGCCTGGCTAATTTTTTTTTTTTTGAGACAGAGTCTCGCTCTGTTGCCCAGGCTGGAGTGCAGTGGTGCGATCTCGGCTCACTGCAAGCTCACACCATTCTCCTGCCTCAGCCTCCCAAGTAGCTGGGACTACAGGTGCCCACTACCACGTCTGACTAATTTTTTTTGTATTTTTAGTAGAGATGGGGTTTCACTGTGTTAGCCAGGATGGTCTCGATCTCCTGACCTCATGATCCACCTGTCTCAGCCTCCCAAAGTGCTGGGATTACAGGCGTGAGCCACCACACCCGGCCTAATTTTTGTATTTTTAGTAAAGATGGCGTTTCACCATGTTGGCCAGGCTGGTCTTGAACTCCTGGCCTCAGGTGATCTGCCCACCTTAACCTCCCAAAGTGTTGGAATTGCACATGTGAGCCACTGCACCCAGCCCTCCATATAATTTGTATGTGTCATGAAATACTGTTGTTTTGGTTGTTTTCTTTATTTTTTGGAGACAGGGTCTTACTCTGTCACCCAGGCTCCCTGCAGCCTTAAACTCCTGGGCTCATGCAGTCCTCCCTACTTGGCCTCCCAAGAAGCTGGGACTATAGATGTGCACCATGCCCAATTTATTCATTTTTTATTCTCTATTTTGTAGAGATGGTGGTGGGGGGCGGTCTCACTATGTTGCCCAGGCTGGACTCAAACTCCTGGGCTCACAGTATTGTGCCTCAGCTTCCGAAGTGCTGGGATTACAGGCGTGAGCCTCTGCACCCAGCTGACTTTTTTTGAAGCATTAAAAAAAAAAATGTAAAAACCATTCTTGACTTGAAAAGGCTGTACAAAAACAGGAGGCAGGCTGTAGTTTGCTGACCCCTGTTCTAGGCCTGCAAGTCAGACAGGTTATAAGATCGAATCCTCTCTTAACAACTCACAGTGTGACTTAGGCAAATGAGAGTGCTGCTGCCTCTCTGGGTCTGTTTGCCCAGCTGCACGATGGAGACATTGACCTGAATGAGAATTATTAAAAATAGTACACCTCAGTGCTTCAAGAAGCAGGCCTTCCTTTTGCAGTCAAGGTTTAGCCTGAAGTGAGCAGTCCATAAGGACAGAGGCAGCTTATTCTCAACTCTGAGAGCCATATCATGTCCCCAAGGCGATTCTTTCCCAGGCTCAAGACACAGGTTTCTGTGTAAAGTAATAGAAAGTCAAAAGGCCGAGTAAGGACATATCCCCTTAGGAGGCTTTTTGGCATTGGGAAACCCTGCCCTCAAAGGGCTCAAGGAAGCCAGTTTCGAGTCAGAAGTGATAGTTCATGACGTCCCAGTAGGGGAAAACTGCAGGGCCCAAAAGCTGACACCCGCAGAGCAGCCCAGGGGCAAGCTGCCTGTGTTGAGAGACTGGGTCCAAGGGCTAATGGCGGCTGTCGTGCTGACCACTGGCCCCAGTAAAGAATGGTAACCACGCCCGGTAAGTGACTGTTTTCCTGGTTGGGAGTGGGCAGGGTGTCCCCGGCAAGTCCCCACTTTGATCCACAGGTGGCTATGATTATAACCTGGGCCGGAAGGGACCTAGATTATCTTTGTGACTGCTGCAGCTTTTTTTTTTTTTTTTTTTTTTTGCCAAAGGGAATTGTTAGCCAGGAAAGTTTCTCCTGGGAATCCTATCAGTCCTTGTCGCAGAACACACATAGCTGCCAGCTACCAAGTCGTGGAGATACGTTCAAAACAGTACAGACGGTGTGATCCTATCTTCCTTGTAAAGTGTGGCTATTTACATGAGAGGAAAAATCCTGAGACAAGTCAAAACTACAGTGGTTACCTCTTGGTAGTGAGGAAATTAGGACTTTTTTCTTTTCCAAGAACAAACATGTTATGCTGTTACTTAGAAAAATCTGGAGTGAGGGCTGGGAGCGGTGGCTCATGCTTGTAATCCCAGCACTTTGGGAGGCGGAGGCGGGTGGATTGCCTGAGGTCAAGCTGGCCTCAGAGACCAACCTGGCCAACATGGTGAAACCCCATCTCTACTAAAAATAGAAAAATTAGCCAGGCATGGTGGCAGGTGCCTGTAATTCCAGCCACTCAGGAGGCTGAGGCAGGAGAATCGCTTGAACATGGGAGGCAGGGGTTGCAGTGAGCTGAGATTGCAACATTACACACCAGCCTGGGCGACAAGAGTGAGACTTCATCTCAAAAAAAGAAAAATCTAGAGTAAGTGAGCAGACAGGGGAGTGGAGGAGGGGAACAGCGTCTATTGCTCCTCCAGAATGGAGCACAAGGGAACTCAGGTCACCTAAGAACAACTGGGGCCCACCTAGCCGAGTGACTGGGTGCCTCTAGACCTTTGGGGCTTGACTTCGACTCAGAATTCTGGATTTGGGAAAGTTCACCTTTTATGTTGTTCATATATCCTATAATTATTTCCCTTATTTTCTTGTTTTTTTTTTTTTTTTTTGAGACAGAGTCTTGCTCTGTCACCCAGGCTGGCGTGCAATGGCATGATCTTGGCTCACTGCAAGCTCTGCCTCCTGGGTTCAAGCAATTCTCCTGCCTCAGCCTCCCAAGTAGCTGGGATTACAGTCATCCACCACCATGCCCGGCTAATTTTTGTATTTTTAGTAGAGACGGGGTTTCACCATGTTGGCCAGGCTGGTCTTGAACTCCTGACCTCCAGTGATCCATCCGCCTTGGCCTCCCAAAGTGCTGGGATTACAGGAGTGAGTCACTGTGCCAGGCCTGGTTTTTTGTTTTTTTTTTAAAGCTTTCCATTACTAGCTGCTGGGCTAAGGGGACTCAAAAGAAAAGATGGTTGTGTCTCCCTCCTTGGGCTGGAATTTGAAAAATATAATAGCCTGGCCCTGAGGGCTGGGTTTGGTGGCAATAGCAGGAACCAAACAGAACTCCAAAGCAAGGGGAATAAATCTGAGAGAGAAAAGTTGGGGTCATTTGTGTAATTAAACTTTCCTTCCTTGAAGACCTTCCATTTAGAGGGTTGTTTTATTAAGAGATTTAATAAATAAAATAAAATTTATTAAGTGTCTTCATGTCACTACACATGGCAGTCGATGTCCACTTGGAATCACCAGGCCTCTCCACCAAAACCAGGGAGGCCTTCAGGGAAGCTCCCCCATCCCAGCCCAGGAGTCTCACAGGCACCGCCTGCCTCTGTCTCTCTACAATGTGACTCATCTCTAAGAGCAAAGGTATCACTTCCATTCCAAGAGGTCTGGGACCTTGGAGTGTGGACCACGTGCACCGCTCGCGGGGCAGGCACACCTCTCACCTCCTTGGGAAAGGCCTGGGGTTTGGAGAGATGAACTCCAGGAGACTCCTGTGCATCCCTAATACCCTCTATTCACACATGGACAAACTAAGTCAACTGAACAAGGACCTGGTTCCCAGATGGGGCAGTTGAGCCCAGCCTGAATTCAACTCATGCCCCCAAAGTGAAGACATCACTCTGTGGGAACCTGTGTGTGTGGTGGGGGTGGGAACTGAGGAAAGACCCTGTCCAAATGCTCAGCCAAGGGTACCGGCTGCAAAGGAAAAGGGGGCAGCACGTTCCAACTCAGTTTCTCTGGCCAGTGCCATGGTCCCTCAGGCCAAGATGAAGGGTGCATCCGAAGGGACCAGACATGTCCGTCCTCTTTGAGAAAAAGGGCCTTGGGACTCCTGGGAACCAGGCAAGATGGCAGCAACAGAAATCCCAGTGAGAGACCCTCATGGGATGAGAAACACTGGTCATCCCCCCACCCCCACCAAGAGAGGTTTTCCAGGAAGACAAAATAAATTTTTATTGCACCCATACCAAACTACAGACACAAATCTTTGAAAGGTAAGTACCATTTTATTTAGTGTTGTAGGAAATGTTGGGTTACTTCTTAAAAACGAAACCAAAGAAATTCAAAAGTCCCAAAGAAAGAAAGCAGGAAATAATAATTCTATAATCCAAAAACGTTGGGCGATCCTTCAGTTGGAGGAAGAGGGCGTCAGTTAAGTAGCTCACACAGTAGATATGGAGACACCATATGGAGATACGGAGTTAAGTTTGGTGGATACTAGGAATTAAGTTCTCCACCTAAGGCAATTAATTTTTCAGCCTTGAGAGATAATTAGTAGTTCTAGAAAAAGAAAAAAAGTTGACTGGGAGAAGGGTGGGAGGGAGGATGGTGCGTCATTTAACATTAAATTGCCTCTCTCTACAGTATGTGGCTGAGCATCATGGACCTTCCTCCCTCTGCCCCGTTGAGCTCCCACTGTTAGCAAAACTGAGAAGCACATGCCTGTGTCTTCTTCATACCGGCATGTGCACACACACCTGTATCTCCTTCATACAGGCATATGCAGAGCCCTCACCAATCGGGGTCCACAGCTGTTCAGTATGGCAAAGGGCAGACTTACTCCTTCATCCACTCTGCTGCCTTGATGAGGTGAACACACTGGAATAAGATGGAGGGCAGGATACCTGCCAAAGCCTGAGGCATGAGATGATCTGAAACAATTGGGCAAAGGCTGGACATTTCAAAAAGCTGACTTCCAACTGCAGTTTATGGGTATAGAATTTGATGCTTCCCTCAAGTCCTGACTGCTCTTTCTGAGGCAGCCAGGCTAGGCCAAGAAATGAGCTGCTCCAGCTTCTCCAGAGCACAGCAGCCTCCCAGGGCCTGTCAGCATCTGCAGCAGCTGGAAGGAGGTCCCAGCTCTTCTGAGACATAGGCCATTTGTAGGATTCTCCAGTGCTCCAATTCACTAATGTCTCCTAATGGCTCAGAACAGGCTAAAGCTTCTCCCAGATAACCCCTCCCCCAAAACTGAGTCCTCAGGGACAGTTGTTAACTGAATGACCTCCAGGTTATCTACTTTGGGAGGTGCAGGAATGCTATAAACTGAATTTTTTCCCAGCAGCAGCAGAAGCCAGGCACCCTTGAGTCAATTGTCCTTCATTGTCCAGAGCTACCAAGTGGCATTTCAGAGCACAGGAATTTACTCCTCCACCCAGATGTCCCTCTCATATGGACTGAGTCACACACCCCAGGTCCTAGCAGCAGACATCTCCAAACCAACATCCTTGTGAACACTGCAGATCTCTACGCCAGCTCTCCAATGGAAGAAGAACCACATAGAGCACACCTGCCCCCCAGGGCACTTGGACTATCACAGTAAAAATACATTTATATCAAGTAAAAAACATAATGCAGGACAAATATATACATGTACCTTTTCTTTCTTTCTTTTTTTTGAGACAGAGTCTCGCCCGTTGCCCAGGCTGGAGTGCAATGATGTGATCTCAGCTCACTGCAACCTCCACCTCCCTGGCTCAAGCGATTCTTGTGCCTCAGCCTCCCGAGCAGCTGAGATTACAGCTGTCTGCCACCACACCCAGCTAATTTCTGTATTTTTTAGTAGAGACGGGGTTTTGCCATGTTGGCCAGGCTGGTCTCGAACTCCTGACCTCAATCAAGTGATTCACCCGCCTCAGCCTCCCAAAGTGCTGGGATTACAGGCGTGAGCCACCGCGTCCAGCCATACATGTACATTTTCAGAGTTCAAGTGAACATACAGTTTTCTTTATAAGTATGTAAATAAATTTCATAGCACTACAAAAATACAAGTCATCTGAGAAGTTTACAGTGGTCCCAGTACTGTAGGAGAGAATTAAATAAAATAAAATAGCTGTAGATAATTAAAAGCTAATTAGATAAATCAAGTTACAGTATCATCCTTCAGATTAAAGTGCTCTGATATAACCAATGCCACAGCAAACGAAATCCTGGAAAGAGATTGCACTGCCAATGATTTTGTCTCTTAACCTCAATGTAACAAGGACACACATAAAAGAGATTCCTGATTTAATAACTGCTATCATCTTCACCCCCAACCACGCTATTAGCCTGTGATATTCTTCCCCTAGGAGAGATGTCAAGATTAGATGAGATTCTATCATAGCCAGGGAAAAAAATGAGAAATACCAGAAACATTCTAATTCCAGTCTTAAGTGAGTAACAACAAAATTACCTGAAAAATCTCAGCTGGTGCTTTTAGCTAAGAAGGAAGCAAGTGCCCTAGTTAAAAAAAAAAAAAGTCTATAAATCTAGTTTTAAAAATACAAATTCAAAAATAAGTATCATCTTCTTGCTCTGCACAGTTTTATAACAAGGGGGTAAAATGCTGGTGAGTCTATTCATGAGGGAAAATGGAAAAAAAGCAACCATTTGAAGGCTGAGGCACCTGTTTTCTACTGACTTTTAACTTTTATTAACTACATTAAGCCCTTCACTACAATTTCCCCAGTATCCCACAAATAATTTGGGTTTCCTTTTGGGCAGGGAGAGAAAGTGTTCAAAGGACAGACATGCAGATGCAGTTCAATCCCTTTGGGGTCCAATCCATGGTCTCCTGTCCCCTGTAGAGTGAAGGGGCTTCTTTTTTTCTTTTTAGTTTTTTTTAAGACAGAGTCTTAAAAAAATTGCCCAGGCTCTTTTTTTAAGAGTCTTAAAAAAACTCTTGCCCAGGCTGGAGTGCAGTGGCACGATCTTGGCTCGCTGCAGCCTCCATCTCCCAAGTTCAAGCAATTCTCCTGCCCCAGCCTCCCGAGTAGCTGGGATTACAGGCACGCACCACCATGCCAAGCTAATTTTTGTATTTTTAGTAGAGATGGGGTTTCGCCATGTTGGTCAGGCTGGTCTCGAACTCCTGACCTCAAGTGATCCACCCTCCTCGGCCTTGCAAAGTGCTGGGATTACAGGCATGAGCCACCACGACTGGCCTGAAGGGGCTTCTTCATCTTGGGGAGTTGGTGGACCCTGTCTCTGCCCCTTACAAGGAGTGTTGCTGAGGAAACCAGAGCACCGAGCAAAGGCACAGGGGGAAAAGGCCAAGCAATCGTATTGACATCATTCCACACCTGGAGAACTGTATTAGCGAGTGCGTGGACCACCCAATCCCCTAGCAAAGCGCTGAATAGGCTGGTCTAGCCAGCAGGAACCTGGCTGTCATAAGAGGAGGGGCTTTCACCAAGTTCCTCAAATTGAATAAAGAGTAATTCTTTTAATTCCTGAATTCTACTTTTCCTATCTCCAGTAGAAGGGCCCTGGATCTAAGCAGAAGGTATTTTAAGGCTAGAGAGTAGTAGAAGTCGATGTTTAGAAAAGGCCGCTTGTTCAAAATCTGAAAGGCATACTCAGAGGCTTTCTCTAAACACCTCTGTTCCCATCAAAAAACAAGACCCAAGTCTGAGAAGCTGGGTAGGTTTACATGGTATCAAAATTTAACATCTGCAGCCAAAAGCCACACCTGAGCTACTCAGAAGCCAAGAAAGTATGTGTATGTAACACAGCACCAATCGCATGGTCCTTTTCTCATTTAAAGCTTTCTCAGGTAAGCTTTAAGAGCTGGAGGATACATACTGAAAAAAAATCTCAGTATGAAAGAAAGAAAACCCCAGTGTTAAAATACATGAATACTTCCTGTGCCATCTGAATCTCTGGCTCAGGATCAGATCTTATGACCACATCTCTGGTGGGCATAAAATATTTACAACCTTGTTAAAGGCACAGTGGCATTTAAAACTAAAGCCTTGGGAATGTACAGTAAAAGATTAATTGTAATCATTAACCTGGCTTCCATTGGTAGAATTCACTCTTGCCGGATAACATGTGAGGGAGATGGTGATTCGGAGCCTGCTGGCTGGTTATCAGGCAAGGCAAGTCCTTGACCCCTGGAGCAGGTGAAAGTGAAGTCACAGAAACGTCTCGGTGTTTTTTTTCTGCTGATTTACATCTTTCCTGCTTTTTTGCCAACCTGAGTCGGGATGCGGAGGATATTGGGGGTTTCTTCCATGACCCTGACAAGCAGGTTGTCAATGTAGTCTTCCAGCTCGCGGACCTGGAACTCCTTCTTGCTTATCGTTTCCTTCTGTTTGAGGACCAGCTGAATCAGCTCATCGTGGGTCAGCTGCGCATATGCAAATGCAGGGTCCGAGGGGCTGTATTTCTTTGGAGGGGGGGAAATAGTTGGGAAAAAGGAGTTATAAAATTAGCACAGAAACCTAAAACCTAAAAGAAGTACAAAGGAGGAAAAAGTGACTAGTGATCTGGGTCTCTTGGGAATCCATTTTCTTTCTTTCTTTCTTTCTTTCTTTTTGAGACTGAGTTTCACTCTGTCACCCAGCCTGGAGTGCAGTGGCGCGATCTCAGCTCACTGCAACCTCCGCCTCCTGGGTTCAAGTGATTCTCCCACCTCAGCCTCCTGAGTAGCTAGGACTATAGGCATGCACCACCATGCCTGACTAATTTTTGTATTTTTTTAGTAGGCACAAGGTTTCACCATGTTGGCCAGGCTGGTCTTGAACTCCTGACCCCAGGTGATCCGCCTGCCTCAGCCTCCCAAAGTGCTGGGATTACAGGCATGAGCCACCGTGCCCAGCCAGGGAATCCGTTTTCAATTTACAGTGAAAACAGGTTGTTGACTGATGAAGTCTTCTGGAAAGGGCCAGATAGCACATATTTGAGCCTTTGCGGGCCACAGACAGCCTTTGTTAACATGTTCTTCCTTGGTTTTTTGGTCTGTTTGTTTTGTTTTATTTTGTTGTATGAACTTTTAAAAATGTAAAAACCATACTTGCCTCACAGGTCGAGGACCTCTGGACTTGACTCTGGGTTTGGATTTTAAGCAGTGCCATCATGGGAGGACTCAGTTCTCCAAATGAGTGCTCACTCCTTTGGGAACACTAGGAGCTCACACAACCAAACACCAGTGCAGAGCTGGTGACGACTCCCAAGCCAGAGGGGGCCCAGGAAGACACAGCTGTGACAGCAAGTGCAGGGAGCAAGGGCTTTCTTTCCAGGGCAGCAGGTCGAGGTCCAGCCCAGACTGTCTGCTCCTGCCAAAGCTGCGCTCAGAAGGACTCAATGAGCAGGTGGATGCAGAGGACACCCAGGGACCCCACTTCACATCACTTCATACTCGAGAAATATGCGGAGTCAGAGCCAGGTGCCACCATGCCCCGTCCTCACCCGTGGCCGTCTAGGCACGCCCTTGGGTACACAGCGGCCTGTCCCAGAGCTGAGTGTTCCACTCCCGAGGAGAGCACACACCCTGCGGAGTCACTGTGCTTTATCAGCATTTATGATCTGGGGCCCCTGCAAGCCCAAGCAGCTTGAACCAGGAGGAGATGTAAGGTAAAGCTTAAATGAAAAGTCACATGCTGTGTAAGTCCCCAGTAAGGAAAAAAAAGTGACTTTTCCTGAAATCTGTAGCCTGAGATTTACATGTTTAAAGAATCAAGATGATTTTGCTGGCAGAGCTCTGAGGCAGGAATAGCTTTACTGCCCTGAGGGTCTAACGGTTTCACTGCCTACCAGGAAGGCCAAGAGACTACCTTCTCCAAGAATCAACACTAGTTCCTCAGTGACATGATAGGAGCCCCAGTTCAGTCAGTGACGCAAACTGCCTGGACACGAGCCAGAAGTCAAAGGAGGGATCCCAGCCCTCCCATCCTGGCTAGGAACAAAAGCAAGATGATGGCGGTACTAACTTAGACACACAACACCAACGTTTCCATAGACAGAGCGGGTTCAACCCCACACAGGCTGCACATTTAGAGGTGAGACACTGGACTGCTTTTCCAAAACCTGCTTCTCCCCTAATCTTTGTTTTTTAAAACTTTGAAGGCATGCATTCACGATGCACCTCCTCTGGACCTCAGTCACTGTAGATGTGACTTCCAAAACAATATTTCATTGAAAAGTCGCAAGTCTGGAAAAGAGCCCTAGCGATTGATTACACAACAATGTGAATGTACTTAATGCCTTTTTTTTTTTTTTTTCCCCATAGAGACGGGATCTCTCTATGTTGCCTGGACTGGTCTCAAACCCAAGCTCAAGTGATCCTCCCACCTTGGCCTCCCAAAATGCTGCGACTACAGGCATGAGCCACCACACCCAGCCTTACATTTTATATCAAGAAAAAAGAGTCACCTTTGTAAATAATGGCAAAGAATACGTCCTCAAGGGATTTTAGATTATATCTCTGTCATATAAGGATCTTATTTATTTATTTTTTAAAAGTCTCAATACATAAGATACTCTGCATGGAGTTTGAAAGAGAGAGGGATGCAGAGGCTGACACCTGTAGGGTGTCATATAATTAATTCCAACACCTAACATTTGGGTCTCTTTATTTTTCCTGGGATTCTTTTTTTTTTTTTTCTTTTTTTGAGACAGATTCTCACTGTGACACCCAGGCTGGAGTGCAGTGACACGATCTCGGCTCACTGCAACCTCTGCCTCCCAGGTTCAAGTGCTTCTCCTGCCTCAGCCTCCCGAGTAGCTGGGATTACAGGCACCTGCCACCACATCCAGCTAATTTTTGTATTTTTAGTAGAGACAGGGTTCCACCATGTTGGCCAGGCTGGTCTTGAACTCCTGACCTCAAGTGATCCACCTGCCTCAGCCTCCCAAAGTGCTGGGATTACAGGCATGAGCCACTGAGCCCGGCCTTCCTGGGGTTCTTGATGATATGTTTTATAATGTCAGCCTCATACAAAATAATAGTTTTACAGCTTTTTACTATTTAATAAGCATTTTTTCCATCATAACATTTTAGCAAAACTTGCTTTTCTAATGGATGCTTAAAATCTCATTATATTTTAACTATTCCTCTATTGCTGGATATTTATGTTGTTTTCAATTTGTACAATTATATATAACATTTTTATCAAAATGCACGAACATAAATCTTTGGCCATATCTCTAAGTACTTCCTTAAGATAAATGCCTAGAATTGAAAATGTGTACACACTTAAGGTACTTCATACGAACCGTCAAACAGCTATTTAATTTGGATTCTGTAATTGAAAGGGAAAAAGGATATAAAGGACTTGAAAATCATTAGAAGAGCCTAGTTTTGCAATATTTAAAAATTATAAAACAGGGCCAGGCATGGTGGCTCACATCTGTAATCCCAGCACTTTGGGAGGCTGAAGTGGGCGGATCATGAGGTCAGGAGTTTGAGACCAACCTGGCCAACATGGTGAAACCTCTTCTCTACTAAAAATACAAAAAATTATCCAGGCATGGTGGCGGGCACCTGTAGTCCCAGCTACTCGGGAGGCTGAGGCAGGAGAATCGCTTGAACTCGGGAGGCGGAGGTTGCAGTGAGCCAAGATCGTGCCACTGCACTCCAGCATGGGCAACAGTGCGAGACCCCATCTCAAAAAAAAAAAAAAATTATAAATAAGCCAGCATCATAAAAAGTGAGTAATGGCCTTGGAGAAGAAGAAGCACAGAGAAAATACCCACAAATGCAAGAAAGAATGGTGCCCATTGTCATGTATTTCTCACCAGGATTCTTACCCTGGACTTTTCCTTTTACATAGTTGTGATAATGACATACACTCAAATGTACATCCAACTTTTTCCATATCACAGATGATTTTTGGATCTAGTTGGCTTTACTATTTTAAAACGGAAATGTTAAAGCCACCTGGGTAAATAATACTCTCCCAGTTATAAATCATCTATAAAGGATGGAGGCGCTAAAACAACAACCAAGAAAAGAAAAAAAAAAAACACTGTAGTAATGATCCAGCTAGCATTTCATAACTTTAGCTATGCAATTTCTTTCCCTTAAACCTCTCTTACTTTGCAACATTCCAAAGAGTAGGTATCTTTATAAATACTGTCTTGTGCCTTAACACAAAGCATCTATCACGTGGCAGGCCAATAGCAGAGCCTCCAGGAAACGTCCCGTATTTACCCAGAATGTTTACTAGGCATGGTCCAGAACCAAGAGATGTGTTGCAGGCAGGCAGCGGGGTGGCAGCCAGGCTTACAAATCATGAGCAAAATAAGCAGCAGTTGCCTTTGTTTTGAGCTAAGTTATTCTCTTAGGGCCAGTAGATAAGCCCTTGAATTAAATGAGCTTTGAAGAGGAAATAAAATGGGAGCCAAAGGTCTTGCTAACTTCCCAGAAACAAGGTGTTTGTTTCTCTTTGGAGCCACACTGCATTCCACAGTAAAAGGAAGATGGATGGGAAGCTGCTGAATGACCCCAATTTTCATTGCTGTCCCTTTATGCTGTCCTTTTATCCCATTTCCTGATAAATATCATTAATTCCAGGAAGACAAGTGCTGCCTCATCTATCTGCAACACACAGAAGCCAGGCAAGCTGGTTGACATATTGTACATTTTTAGGCTAGGGCCGAAATGTAGTAGGTACACAATTCTGGCTGTGGCTGATAATTTTGAGACCAATGCTTACCACCTGCCCTGTCAATGTGTCCTACAAAGAAAGAGTGGGGTCCGGGCGCAGTGGCTCACACCTGTAATCCCAACACTTTGGGAGGCCGAGGTGGGTGGATCACCTGAGGTCAGGAGTTCAAGACCAGCCTGACCGACATGGTAGAACCCCGTCTCTATTAAAAATACAAAAAAATTAGCTGGGTGTGGTGGTGCATGCCTGTAATCCCAGCTACCTGGGAGGCTGAGGCATAAGAATTGCTTGAACCTGGGAGGTAGAGGTTGCAGTGAGCTGATACCGTACCATTGCACTCCAGCCTGATCAACCAGAGCGAAAATCCATCAAAAAAGAAAAAAAAAAGGAAGGAAGGAAGGGAGGGAGGGAAAGAAGGAAAGAAGGAAGGAAGGAAGGAAGAAAAAAGTGGGGCAAGGCAGCAAGAAGATGCTGACTTGTTTTCAGCAATCATCAGTTATGATTACTTCTCTTCTTTTACCAAAAACTTGGACCTCCAGCTTCCTGTAAACCTTTATCCCAGCTCTTACTGGTAGACATGCAGTGAAGCCAGAGGGAATAACAAGTACCCAGCACTTGAAAAACACTTTCAGTCAAGCATGGTGGCACATCTGTAGTCCCCGCTACTTGGGAGGCTGAGGTAGGACGATCACTTGAGCCCAGGAGTTCGAGGCTGCGATGAGCTATGATTGCACCTGTGAATAGCCATTGCCCGCCAGCCTAGGCAATAGAGCAAGACCCCATCTCCATTAAAAAACAAAACAAGGCTGGGCGCGGTGGCTCACGCCTGTAATCCCAGCACTTTTGGAGGCTGAGGCGGGTGGATCACCTGAGGTCAGGAGTTCGAGACCAGCCTGGCTAACATGGCAAAACCCCGTCTCTACTAAAAATATAAAAATTAGCTAGGCATGGTGGCGGGTGCCTGTAATACCAGCTACTCTGGAGGCTGAGGTGGGAGAATCCCTTGAACCCGGGAGGTGGAGGTTGCGGTGAGCCAAGATGGCGCCATTGCACTCCATCCTAGGCGATAAGAGCAAAACTCCATCTCAAAAAAAAAAAAAAAGAAAAAAAACTATTCAATATCCGGAGTCCATGGGACTGTAAAATATATGATGGAATGAAATTTTAGCTGCTCTGAACTAAAATAAAAACAAAGTTTATTTCTATAGACTGCAGTTCCCAGTGTCAGTTGGGAAGTCCCTCTCTACATATTTGAAATACAATATATCCTTGCCCACTAAAGGTCACCAATCCCTCAGTAAATCATTCTCTTCTAGTCCAGATAATGAGTTGAAGACCAGGGATTTGCAGCAAGGCAGTATTCTAAATCCTTCAGATTCTAGAACCAGAAAGAGCAGGATGAAGACAATCCTAGGCAGAGTTCATCTGGGAGGCTGGTTTTGTTTTGTGGGGAGTTGTTTTTTAATATTAGCCCATAATTTTAGAGACCCTCCAAATGAGCAAGATACTTCCTGGAAATTTACCTTAAGGAAAAAATCTAAAGGAGAAGAAAAAATTCCATATAGGAAATTGTTGACTATAGTATTAATTCATACTGAAAAACAGAAAACAGGCTGTGCATCTTGCCTCACACCTGTATCCCAGCACTTTGGGAGCCCAAAGCAGGTGGATCACTTGAGCCCAGGAGTTCAAGACCAGCCTGAGCAACATGATGAAACCTCATCTCTACAAAAAATACATAAATTAGCTGGGCATGGTGGTGCTCGCCTGTAGTCCCAGCTACTTGGGAGGCTGAGGTGAGAGGATTGATTGGGCCCAGGAGGTCGAGGCTATGATGAGCCGTGATCATGCCACTCCACTCCAGCTTGGGCAACAGAATGAGATCCTGTATCAAAAAAAAAAAAAAAAAAATTCCTGATTTTGATGAATGTCCTTACTGTTAGGAGTATTTAGGGGTAAAAGGAGCATGAGGTAGGCCGGGCGCAGGGGCTCATCCCTGTAATCCCAGCACTTTGAGGGGCCAAGGCAGGTGGATCACCTGAGGTCAGGAGTTCGAGATGAGCGTGGCCAACATAGCAAAATCCTGTCTCTACTAAAAATACAAAAATTAGCCGGGCATGGTGGCGCGCACCTACAGTCCCAGCTACTTGGGAGGCTGAGGCAGGAGAATCGCTTAAACCCAGGAGGGGGAGGTTGCAGTGAGCCGAGATTGCACCACTGCACTCCAGCCTGGGTGACAGAGTGAGACGCCATCTCAAAAAAAAGAAAAAGTTCCCTGATTTTAATAAATGTCCTTACTGTTAGGAATTACATAGTTAAGTATTTAGGGTTAAAAGGAACATGAGGTACACAACTTACTTCCAAATGATTTTTAAAAAAAATTATGCATACACCTGCGTGTGTATATCCAGAAAGAGAGAAGGTTGGGGAGAGGAAGCAGAGAGGATGAGACTGATGGGCAAATGTGGTCAAATGTTAACCACTAGAGAACTGGGAGGAAGGGTTTGTAGGAGCTCTTTGTACTGTTCCTGCAACTTTTTTTTAACATTTGAAATTATTTCAAAATAATGTTACCAAAAAAGTATATCTATGCAATGATTGCAATTATCAGAATTTTACATTCTTGCCAAAGGAAAGGAAACATGAGGGAAAAAGAAAATACCTGACCTGAATGGGCCAGACTGGGTGTGGTGGTTCACGCCTATAATCCCAGCACTTTGGGAGGCCAAGGTGGGAGGATCACTTGAGCCCAGGATTTCAAGACCAGCCTAGGCAACATAGCAAGACCCCATCTCTATTAAGAAGGAAAATTTTTAAATAATTTTTTTAAAAAAGAAGGGCCAGTGTCAATCATGTTGCTTGAGACAAAAAAAAAAAATTAACAATAACTAAACAAGTATAAGGGAATAAAGTAATTATCCAATGGAATGTCTGGGGGCTTCCAAAGTTTACTCAAAGACTCAAGATGTATGACTAAGTGTTCCTGGCACCACCGGCTGCCCAGGGAGAGGTATACGATGGTGACTATGGAAACGGGTGTTCTGTCAATCCCTAACGAACACACCAGCTTCTCAGAGGACATACCTTCATCATGACCTCATTGTTCAAGTTCTCACTGATGATGGTGGCAGTTCCCAAGCTGCAGTTAGCAACCTTGGTGGCCATTGCATTCATTGGCTTCACAGGATGAAGTCTAAAGAGAAGGGGAAAAGGATCTTTAGACCCTCCGGTCATGGCAAAACTGAGCAACTGCCCACTGCAAAGACGGCAGCCAGTAAGCCAGACAAGGGGCAGGTGGGTCACATGCTGCCCTCATCTCTGGGCCAAAGCACTCCAATGTCTCAGTTCCTGTGGAAACAAAAGCAGTCAGGACAGGGCTGCCACATGCAAGCCAGGAAAGCATGTCCTTGTCCAGATGTCCTGATATCTTCACGGGACCCTTGGTCTTGTTACAAACATCAGAACATTAAAGGCAGTCTCTTATTTTTTTAAGTCAACTAGAGCCTAGGCATTCACTGTAAAACTCTGCAGAGGCTTCTGTCCCTCCACAGTAAAGACAGCTCAAAACAAACATACAAGCTTCACGTTGGGGAGTGCTTGAAGAAGTTTTTGACACTGCTAGATACTACTACCACTCAATGCCAGTTAGTTCTGAGACAGTTAAGATACTGGTGGCATTGCGTTTCTGCAATGTGCGAGCTCCAAATCTGACCGTGCAGAACAATTCCTAAGCTATATTTACAGACTACTATTATGTTCTTGCTATAAACGCAGCAGTGTCTTGAGGTATTACCACCACAAGGGGCAGCCCTACCAGCAGGACAGTGACAGGTGGGTTGTCACATCAGACGTCTGTGTGGTTAGAAAGCCGTAACCTCTGCAGGTAGGAAGCAAAGGGGGACATTGCTCACATTTACATAGACAATCTCCCCCATCTCTCACCTGTGCTTGGCTGACCCAGTTCCAGCGCCTGGCTGAGCTGAGACTGGATGTGTCTCCGAGGGTGAGACCCAGGCCTGGAGGAGTGGCTTCCTCTTGCCAAAATTTTCAACTCTACCAGCGGAGCCCTCTGCTGTGGCTTTTTTTTGAGATTCTGCTGTGCTGGTGTGGTGAGTGTCAGAATGTGCAGAGCTGGGGAAAGAGTGTGTGACAGGAAAGATCTCAGAAGGGGAGGGGCTGGGTACAGGATTGTCCAGGGATGTGCCAGGAGGCGGGCTTGGACTCCCATTTCCCATCGGTTTTTCTTCCTCACCACCACTGGGGCCTGGCAGCTGTTTATCCAAGCTTGAGCTCTTGCCAAGATGTGGTTTGTGAATTCCGAACTCTGTGGTCTGCTCTGAAGGAGCTGTCACAGATGCCTGGGGTGCTTGCAGCCTGAAATCACACAGGCCCTCCCCCAGTACCAACCTATCTGCCTCGCCACTGGGCCCCTTTCCCCTCTCAGGACAGGGGACTACCAAGCCCAAGGACAAAGCTCCTATGTCCAGAGTTGACGACTTTGCTGTCTCTCCATCATCTTCAACCTGATCTCCGTCATCTTCAACCTGATCTATTCTTTCATCATCCGATGCGACTTCAGGAATGGAAGGAAGGCTTAAGTTCAGATCGGCCATGATTGGAGATTTAAAATCTGAGACCAACTGAAGGTCACTCAAGGGGTCAGACAATAAACCTTCGTGGTCACTGGCTTTGCTCTGATACTGAGTCACAAGGGCATCCTCTCCCTCCATCCTAAAGAGTGGAGTGTCTTTCGCTGAGCTTGCTTCACTCATGGGGACTTCGGAGAAACTCTCCTCCTGGGAGGGGAGGAGGAGGTGATCCGCTGGGGAGGCTGGCGCACCACACGTCGCTGGCCCAGGTGTGGTCACCGATTCCCTTTCTGAGTCCTCTGCGTGGGGAGACTCAGGAGGCTCTCCGTCAGACGCGTTTCCAGCAACAGACCATGCAGGGTTCAGCTCCTGGGGACAACTGCTGTGTCCTTCCACCAGCAAGGCAGCCCCCGCCACTGCCTCTTCCGTGAAGAGCTGCTCAGAAAATGACACACGCTTCTTGGTTTTCTTCTGGTCCTTGCGGAGGTTCAGACCCATCTCTTCCAGCTTCCGCATCATGGAATCAATGGAAGGGACTGATGCTCCCATGGGAAGAGGGGGCGCCACTTCTTCAGCTGCATCCCTGGCTTTGCTCTCCACAAGAGACCCAGCCTGACTCTCCAAGTCTCTGTCTCCTCCTGCTGCAAGCTCCCCAACAGGGCTCACAGCTCCATCACTGCTGAGTGAAAGGGCAAACGGTACTTCCTGGGCTTCTCCAGATGATGGGCTGTAGTCTTGTTTTTTGCAGGGGAATCTCGGAAGTTCTTCCTCTTGTCGCCCTGTTTCAGGCTGCTCTGGGAGAGACTCCTCCAACTCAAGGCTGCTGGTGTTCTTCTCTGTGCCTGTCTCACGGGTCCTGCCCATCAGAGAATCTTCTGTCCCTTTATTTGCTGGAAAGGATGGCTGTTTGAAAAGTGATCCCAGGGCAGAAGAACCAGAATTTGGAACCGGTGTTAAACTCTCAGTTTGCAACTCTGCCTTAGGGAGCAAGGGTGGTCCTTCAGACTTGGCCTGGCCCCTGTCTACGAGAGGCCAGCTTTCAATTGGAGTGGATGTGGAAATGGGAGCTGCTATGGGAGATGAGAGAGAGGAGAAGACAGAAGGACTCTCAGAGGACTGTGTGTCTGCACCATGTCCCAATTCAGAGGGGACAGATGCCTGGCCAGAGCTAGAAGGAAGAGGAGGAAGAGAGGAAGGGGAGTCAGTAGGGGAAGGAAGCCTGGCTGTGGGTTGCGCCTCTGGAGACACTTCCAGTCTGCAAAAAGGACAAAATAAAATCTGCAGGTCAGTGCAGATGCATCACGAGAGACAAAGAAAATACACAAAAACAAGTCATTCACCAGGGGAGAACGTCTTTACACGTGGGGCAGTACCTTAAGAAGTTAAAAAAGGAACGCTAGCCGGGCGCGGTGGCTCACGCCTGTAATCCCAGCACTGTGGGAGGCCGAGGCAGGCGGATCACCTGAAGTCAGGAGTTCAAGACCAGCCCAGCCAACATGGTGAAACCTCATCTCTACTGAAAAATGCAAAAATTAGCCGGGTGTGGTGGTGTGCACCTGTAGTCCCAGCTACTCGGGAGGCTGAGGCAGGAGAACTGCTTGAACCTGGGAGGTGGAGGTTGCAGTGAGTTGAGATCGTGCCACTGCACTCCAGCCTGGGCGATAGAGGGAGACTGTCTCAAAAAAAAAAAGGAACACTAACACTTAACATACACAACAGACACTTTTATAACCAAGCAGATCCGTCACACAAAAGTCTGTTGCAATAGAAATGAAAAGATCCCGGTAAAGCAATAGCCTCTGGTTTCTTGTGGTGATTAACACAAGGCCCGAGCATTTGATTATTACAGGACAAAATGCACCTAAAAGGTTTAAAGTGGTTAAAGATGTAACACAAAGCAACAGGCACAGATAAGTTTAAGAGGAACAGTGTGTATGTGTGTGTATATGTGTGTGTGTGTGTGTGTGCATGTCAAAGTAAGCAGAATCTCTAAAAAAAAAAATCTCACTCCCCAGACCGCAGAAATATTGTCAGTATGAATGTGATCACACAGAAAAGCAGAAGTCCCCAAGGCCAGTCCCCAAGGCTTATGCCGGCTCTTACAACAAGGGGCAGAGTGGACACAAAGAACCGTCACTGTCACTTGAGAGAGGACCGAGGGTCTCTCATACCAGAAACCAATGCCAAAAGGCAAGGAGGCAGGATAACATCTGGCTCAAAGGGAAATGTGAGATAAGAACTTCGAAAACACAGGTTCTGCATACACTACAACCCAAACTCAGTATTCCCAACTTGCAACACCCACAATCTGCTACAAACCACTGCGTTCCACTGAGATCTGATAAGCTGACTGAAAGGACAGACCATGCCTGCTGGGCAGTAGCTCTGAGCTGGGAAACATCACTGCAATTTATACAGGGCAGGCCAGGCTGGCAGTAGGGACTGGTTAAAAAAATAATTTAGACCAGCAAACCTTTGGCATATATGGGTACTATGATATCATGGGACCCACAAGAGCTGGTCTAACGTAAGCCTGAAAACCACCAATGGCAAGGCAGAAATGCCCTGCACGAGAAGAGCCAAAACTCACCGGGGCTTGACAGCTCTGGTCTGGGGAGCCCTCGGAGAGGAAATTGGAGGTCTCGGTTCAGACTTGGACTCTGGCTCAGCTTCTGGTTCTGTGATCTGCACATCTTCAAAGAGGTTCAGGGAGCTGCCCTGTCTGGAGACAACAGCTGCAGTATCTTTCTCAGATCTTCTCACAAGGTCTTCAGCAGGCCCCGATGCGTCCTCCCCCGGCTTAACCCCCATCAGCATGCCTTCCTTCTCCCTCCCTGGGACCGTGAGAGGGTTTTCACCTTCACTGCCCTTAGCCACATCCTTCTTCCCCGTCATCAGAGACAGCAAAGAGGACCTCCTGCTCTCTGGCTTCTTGCTCTCCTTAGCTTCTTTTGTGGCCTCTGAGTTTGCGGGGGCCATGTTTTCCCTGAGGTCCCCACTGACCAGTGGGGCAGGTCGGTAGGACGGCAGGGTCATAGACTTCAAGGAGTCCTTGGTGGAAGATTCGGAGAGCTGCCTGTCAGAAGACAGCCCACCTCCTTCAGCAGGCTCCTTCCAAGACCCAGCCGCCAGGTTCTCTGTAGAAGAGAACAAATGCTTCTTTCTGAAGCCCTTGGGGGATGGGGAGGAGGACGGGCTGCTATCCTTGATCTCACCCTTGGCTTCTGGCTGCTCCAGGTAAACATGGTTCCCATTGATGCAGACATTAGAGCGGGAAAGGACATCATTCTTAGACCGAAGGCCACCAAGAAAGGAAAGTCCTTCCTTCTTGGGAAGGGTAAAGTTGACCTGGTTCAGTTGCTTAAGATCCGTACTCGCTGTTCTCTTGTGAGACATGACTTTGGGAAGAAAAAGAACAGAAAGGGGATAAGATGTTAAACGGGTGGTTTGCAGTGTAGGGGCATCTGTCAACGTCTGGATACATTTCTGGTTGCCACAACTTGGAGGGGGTGTGCTGCTATTCGTATCCAGCAGGTAGAGGACAAGGATGATACTGAACATCTTACAACGTATAGCACAGCCCCCCACGACAAAGGCCTGTCTAGTCTAAACTGTCCACAGTGCTGAGGTTGAGAAACTCTGGGTTAAACCAATGAAAAGGGCAGCACTCTTGGTAGAGTAGCAGAATCCGGCCAATGGGAGGGATTTAGACATTGAAATTGAAGTTCAAAATACATAATTAACTCAGAGCTAAAGGAAGCAGATTCCTTGGCTTCTGATAAGGCTATATCCCACGAGGGTTGAGCACATCACAGGAACTCAATAACTACCTGATGAATTAATGAAATATCAGAATTACCATAAGGTTCCATGGTTTTACCCTTAAAAAAAAGAAAAAAAAAACTTGGAAGACACTCATTCTGTTAGCTCTAAAAGCTTGTACTAGTGGACATCATTTATAGAGCCAGGAACTCTGGAAAAGGAATTTATACATTCTTAGAAACCAGAGGGTATAATCCCAGCACTTTGGGAGGCCAAGGCAGGTGGATCACTTGAGGTCAGGAGTTCAAAACCAGCCTGGTCAACATGGTGAAACCCCAACTCTACTAAAAATACAAAAATTCACCGGGTGTGGTGGCACGGACCTGGAATCCCAGCTATTCGGGAGACTGAGGAAGGAGAATTGCTTAAACCCAGGAGGCGGAAGTTGCAAAGAGCCAAGATCGCACCATTGCACTCCAGCCTGGGTGACAGAGCAAGACTCCATCTCAAAAGAAAAGAAAAGAAAGAAAGGAAGGAAGGAAGGAAGGAAGGAAGGAAGGAAGGAAGGAAGGAAGGAAGAAAGAAGGAAAGAAACCAGAGGGCTTAGAAATAGAGAGGGCATCTCAGCCATGGGCAATGGTTCACACCGGTCATAAGAGCCCTTTGAGAGGCTGAGGCAGGAGGATCACTTGAAGCCAGGAGTTTCAGACCAGCCTGGGCAACATAGTGAGACCTCATCTCTAAAAAAAAAATTTTTTTTAATTAATCAGGTGTGATGATGCACACCTGTAGTCCCAGCTCCTCAGAAGGCCAAGGTGAGAGGATTCCTTGAGCCCAGGAGTTGGAGGCTGCCGTAAGCTATGATCGCGCCACTGCACTCCAGCGTGGGCAATAGAGCAAGACCCTGTCTCTAAAACAAACAAACAAAAAATATTTTAAAAAAAGAAACAGAGAGGGCATTTTTTTTTTTTTGAGACAGAGTCTCACTCTGTCACCCAGGCTGGAGTGCAGTGGCACGATCACAGCTTACTGCAGCCTCTACTTCCTGAGCTCAAGCAATCCTCCCAGCCTAGCCTCCTGAGTAGCTGGGACTACAGGAGTATGTCATCACATCTGGCTAATTTTTATATTTTTTGTAGAGACAGGGTTTCACCATGTTGCCCAGGCTGGTCTCAAACTCCTGGGCTCAAGCAATCTGCCTGCCTCAGCCTCCCAAAGTGCTGGGATTACAGGCGTGAGCCACCACGCCTAGCCTTAGAGAGGGCATCTTAACCACCGCTATCATCATCCCCACCACCATGATTTTGTAATTGAGGAATTGAATTAAACTCTTTCTCTTGAGATTTGTCTGTTTCTTCTCTCTCAGAACGAAGCATGGTAAGAGGAAGAAGAGAGGTCAAGCAGGAAGAGGCAGAAACTCACCATCCGAGGCCGAGGAGGACTCATCCTCATTGTCATCTTCATCCCACTGGGACTGAAAGTCTCCGGGACGAAGCAGCACTTTTTCTGGCTTTGAAGTCGGCAGGACAGACATGGACTGGGAAAGAGGCGTCTTCTGCAAATTTGACTTGGAAAGTAAGGTCTTGATCTTTGATTTCTTTTTCTTGTCTTTAACCACAGACTCATCATCACTGTCGACCGAAGGTGTCGTGCTAGGGATGATGGCGGAGGCGGTGTCTGACCCACTGTCCTTATTCTTCCCCTTGATCTTGTCCTTCAGCTTTCCAAATGGATTCCGAGACTTGTCTTTCATAGAAAGGTCAAACATGCTGGCAGTCATGTTGTTTCTCATAAACTGGATGTCAACCTCAATTTCTCCTCGCTCCTTGTCCTTCTTTCCTGGTTTGGATTTCAACTTATACCACCTGAAAGGAGAAAGGCTGAGGAGTTACCTTTGAATGGAAGCAACTGCAACAATGTTCACAATCCCCATGAACTGGCCTCTCCTCTCTGCTACCAGCAGCCTCTTCAATGCATGCATTCTCATGCTTTCTCTTCGGGAAGTGGTAGATGAGAGCAGAATTTTTTTTTTTTTTTTTTTTTTTTTTTTTGACACAGAGTCTTGCTCTGTCACCCAGGCTGGAGTGCAATGCCACCATCTCGGCTCACTGCAGCCTCTGCCTCCTGGGTTCAAGTGATTCTCCTGCCTCAGCCTCCTGAGTAGCTGAGATTACAGGAGCGCGTGACCATGTCCAGCTAATTTTTGTATTTTTAGTAGAGATGGGGTTTCACCATGGTAGCCAGGCTGGACTCGAACTCCTGACCTCAGATGATCCGCCCGCCTCAGCCTCCCAAAATGTTGGGATTACAGGCGTGAGCCACTGCACCCGGCTGAGAGCAGAATTTGCACTTTTATTTCTTTTGTTTTGTTTTTTATTTTGCACTTTTATTTTTGAGAAGACACGCGCTAGACAAAGATAGGATCCAGTGTTGTGCTTAGCGTATAATCACCTCAAATCCTGATTCAATAAAGAGCTCATTCTAAAAATAAAGAAAAAAAAATATTCCATGGAATCACTTCCGATGAGTGATGTTTTCCTTCAGTAGGGTAAAAATGTAAAGATCAGGGCAGGTGCGGTGGCTCACACCTGTAATCCCAGCACTTTGGGAGGCTGAGGTGGGTGGATCACAAGGTCAGGAGTTCGAGACCAGCCTGGCCAATATGGTGAAACCCCATCTCTACTAAAAATATAAAAAATTAGCCGGGTGTGGTGGCAGGCGCCTGTGGTCCCAGCTACTCAGGAGACCGTGGCAGGAGAATCACTTGAACCCAGGAGGCAGACGTTGCAGTGAGCCGAGATCGCACCACTGCACTCCAGCCTGGACAACAGAGTGAGACTCCATCTCAAAAAAAAAAAAAAAAAAAAAAAGCAAAGATCATACACAAACAGTTAAGAAGGGTGGCGTGCAAATGATGTATAATTAAATCTCAGAGAAAATCAAGTTTGTAGTAAGGAATGGTCCCTGCCAGGGAGTAAAAAAATAATAATAATACAACACAGAATTAAAAAAAAAAAAAAAGTGGGGAGGGGGTTGGGCATGGTGGCTCACACCTGTAATCCCAGAGATTTGGGAGCCTGAGGCAGGAGGATCACTTGAGGCCAGGAGTTCAAGACCAGCCTGGGCAATATTGCGAGACTCCATCTCCATAAAAAATTAAAAAATTTGCCGGCATGGTGGTGTGCGCCTATACTCTCAGCTACTCAACATGAGCCTAGGAATTCGAGGCTGCAGTGAGCTATAATTGCACCACTGCACTCTAGTCTGGGTGACAAAGTGAGACTCTGTTTCTAAAAATAAATAAATAAAAATAAAGAATTTTTTAAAAGAGTGAAATCAGGCTAGGCACAGTGGCTCACGCCTGTGATACCAGTACTTTGGGAGGCCGAGGCAGGCAGATCACCTGAGGTCAGGAACTCAAGACCAGCCTGGCCAACATGGCGAAACCCCGTCTCTACTAAAAATACAAAAATTAGCCGGGCATCATGGCGAGCACCTGTAATCCCAGCTATGCAGGAGGTTGAAGCAGGAGAATTGCTTGAACCCGGGAGGCGGAGGTTGCAGTGAGCCAAGATCATGCCACTGCACTCCAGCACTCCAGCTTAGGCGACAGAGCCAGACTCCATCTCAAAAAAAACAAAAAAAAAAGTGAAATCAGTCAGTTAGAAAATGACAAACACTATATGAGTCCACTTATGTGAGGTTCCTGGGTTAGTCAAATTCATCCAGTCAGAAAGTAGAATGGTGATTGCCGGAGGAGGGGAAGGAGAGAATGAGGAGTTAATGTTTGATGGGTATAGAGCTTCAGTTGTGGAAAATGAAAAAGTTCCGGAGATGGATGGCGGTGATGATCACACAACAATGTGAATATTCTTAATGACATTGAACTGCACACTTAAAAATGGTTAAAATGGGGCCAGGCGCAGTGGCTCACGCCCGTAATCCCAGCACTTTGGGAGGCCAAGGCGGGCAGATCACTTGAGGTCAGGAGTTTGTGACCAGCCTGACCAACATGGTGAAACCCCATCTCTACTAAAAATACAAAAAATAGCCGGGTGTTGTGCCACATGCCTGTAATTTCAGCTACTCTAGAGGCTGAGGCAGGAGAATCGCTTGAACCCGGGAGAGGGAGGTTGTAGTGAGCCAAGATCACACTACTGCACTCCAGCCTGGGTGACAGAGTGAGACTCTGTCTCAAAAAAACAGGTTAAAATGGTAAATTTAATGTTACATATATTTTACCACAATAAAAAAAATGGTTAGTTGGAAAGGAAGCCTTCTTCCCTAGCTTAATAATCAGAAAAAGTCACATTTCAAACACTATCCAAGAATTACACTTGGTCATTTGCAACCCACTTCAAGATGTGAAAAATGACATTATACCAGTCCAACTCCACTGAGAGACAAGCTTCAGAAAAAGGAGATCTCATGGCATTCATTTTCCATTTAGGAGCCCTATACCTTTGGTGAACTGTAAGAATGTGAGCCAGGTTGGGTACAGTGGCTCACACCTGTAATCCCAGTGCTTTGGGAGTCTGAGAGAGGAGGATTGGTTGGATCCAGGAGTTTGAGACCAGTATAGGCAACAAGGCAAGATCCCATTCTCCAAAAAAAAAATTTTTGTTTTTTTGAGACAGAGTCTCGCTCTGTCCCCCAGGCTGGAGTGCAATGGCGCGATCTCGGCTCACTGCAACCTCCGCCTCCCGGGTTCAAGTGATTCTCCTGCCTCAGCCTCCCGAGTAGCTGGGACTACAGGTATATGCCACAATGCCCAGCTATTCTTTGTATTTTTAGTAGAGACAGGGTATGGTTAGACAGGCTGGTCTCAAACTCCTGACCTCAAGTGATCCACCCACCTTGGCCTCCCAAAGTGCTGGGATTACAGGCATAAGCCACCAAGCGTGGCTAAAAATATTTTTTTTTAATTAGCTGGGTGCAGTGGTGCGTACTTAATAGTCCCAACTACTTGGGAGGTTGAGGCAGGAGGATCACTTGAACCCAGGAGTTCAAGGCTGTAGTAAGAGCTATGATTGCACCACTGCACTCCAGCCTGCGCAACAGAGTGAGACCCTATCCCTTTCAAAAAAAAAAAAAAAAAATGTGAGCCCAGTTTGTAGCAAGACCATACAATGGGACAAATAACTCCAAATACCTGGTCTATAGTGAGCTGTCCACCAGGTCACCCTCACAAACTGAGAACTCACATTCTGAAGTTCTTTTCGGTGACCTATTTAAGAGCGGAAGGTAGTGGACTTAAAGGAAATGATGGTTTTGCCCAAATGAGCACAACTTCCTCTTTCACCTTCAGCCATGGCTGGTGGCTCGCTCACAGGGCAGATCCCTGCCCCCACTGCTACGGCTCCTTCTACACTTAGAGGAAAGGCACAGGGGAAAGTCGAAACCTAACACCTAAACAGCACCTGTGGCATACCTGACACTGCCTACGCACAGAGACATCTTCATTTCAGCCTCACAAGAACGACACGGAGTAGATATTATACCCATTTTATAGATGAAGAAATTGAAGCTCAGAGGTCTGAGAACTGGCACAAGGTCTTGCAACCACTATGGGGTACAGCTAGGATTCCAAATCAGTTTCCCCTATTCTTTCTCCTATTCTTTCCCCTACACCAAGACTCCTGCTTTAAATTCTCTCCTAATTTATCTTGGATGGGCCATCTTTTGTAACATAGAGAAAAGAGGGTTCAAATTTAAATTCTTTTTGAGAAACATTTAAGCTTCTCATTTAAATGTCCAAAGATGAAAGAAGAAAGGAAGGAAACTAACATAGCTTGCCATCAGTCATAAATCGTTGAGATTACTTAAAGGCCAGTATACAAAGTCATCAAGAAGAACTTAAAATGAATTCACAAAATACAGCAAGGAGAGGATAAAATTATATGAGCTATAATTTTGGACCCTTAGGAGACAAATCTTTTATGGTTTTTATAACCTCAATCCAGAGCTGGGCAGGCGGGGAGTGGTGGGTGTTGCAAGACGCAAGGTCTTTTTTTATTTTTTATTTTTTGCAACAGGGTCTCACTCTCTTGCCCAGGCTGGAGTGCAGTGGTGCGATCATAGCTCACTGCAGCCCTGGACTCCTGGGCTCAAGTGGAAAATGCAAGGTCTTTATAGACAATGTCACCCTTGCCAGCCTAGTGTCTGTCCAATACATTTTCCAGGGCCTGGCCTGGAATTGTCTGCATATTTGTCACTTCAATTTTGAGAGGATTATTTATATTTTTCTCTTCTGACAGTCATGTGGTAAATGGTAGCCTTGGTGATGAAGGGTGTTTAGCTTTTGTAAATACCAGTTGCAGGCACCTGAAAAGGAGAAGTTGCTGAACGCTAACTGAGGAGGTTTCGATGACCTCACCAACCGCAGGCGGGCAGCACGCTTCACCTCCCCGCCCAGGGCAGGAGCTTCAGGCAGGGGTTTCTCCACAGCTCTTCCACACGGGCCCTTCTATTAGCCCTCCACGGGGATGCACAAATGTGACAGGCCTCCAAAGCAGCTGTCAGAGGCATTCAAACCAGTGCAACTCCATCTTGAGTGAGGGCTAGGAAAATGAGGCTGGGACTTGCTGCGCTGCATTCCCAGAAAGTTAGGTATTCCTAGCCTCTAGATGTTTATGGGTAAGGGAACAGATGGATAATGTTTACCAAACAGACCCAGACTTGGGAGTGTTCTAATATCCCCAAATCTGGAGAACAAAGGCTATCCTAATTTTGCTTTGAAGCTAATAATATTGATTCTCACAAAATATAGTAATTAAGAAAATTAATCCTTTATCACAAACCCTTGTAGTAGGGCACATCTCTCAATGATCTTTTTATCCTGTGTATGAATAAGCATAGTGCCTAGAGTGGAGGTGTTCCTCCTCTTACTTTCGGGAACGTCCTACTCTGTCTATGGAGTAGCTGTACCTTCAATACTTTGCTTTCTTAATAAACTTGCTTTTACTTTGCACTGCAGACTTGCCCTGAATTCTTTCTTGCGGGAGACCAAACACTCTCTTTTGGGGTCTGGATCAGGACCCCTTTCCTGTAACATAGCCAGTTGACAATTCCAAGGGCCAGCCTTGCCTTTCCGAAAGTATCAGTGAGGTTTTCTTTGCACTTCCTAATGGTTTTTGAGCAAAACTACAACCGATTCCAGAATCCTCCCTCGGGACCAATTATTACCTGATTCTCAGGTCCAATCCCTGGGTCCTAAAGTGGGATTTGCTTTGGAAACTTCCAACACCATTAGGAAGTGCAAATATAAACGTCACCAACTGTTCTTGCTGCTTAATTTCACAAGCAAACCTAAAGCCAAACACCAGGTAGCCAGGCACCAGCCACGGGGCTATTGAAGGATATGAAACAGGCTGAATCACAGGCCAGCAGGGAAACAGCCCAGGCAAAGAGGCAGAATTTACAAATCTGTGCTCCATGTATTAAAGCTGGAAAGCAAAACAAGAATTGTTTCGTTTTTTTTTTTTTCTGGTTTTTTTTTCTTGGTGTTTGTTTGTTTGTCTGTTTGTTTTAGAGACTGAGTCTCACTCTATCGCCCAGGCTGGAGTGCAGTGACGTGATCTCAGCTCACTGCAACCTCCTCCTCCTGGGTTCAACCGATTCTCCTGCCTCAGCTTGCTGAGTAGCTGGGATTACAGGCGTGCGCAACTATGCCCAACTAATTTTATGTTGGCCAGGCTGGTCTCAAACTCTTGACCTCAGGTGATCCGCCTGCCTCAGCCTCCCCAAGTGTTGGGATTACAGGCGTGAGCCACTGTGCCCAGCCAAGAATTGTTTCTTTTACTAGCAATATTATCCTCAAATTCAAAAACAGTTTAAGCAAGGGATGTTTGATAGAAGCATACTTTGATAAGACAGTGAAAGCCACAGTGCTTGAATATCTTGCCCTAAGAAATCCCAAACCAGAAGAACACATCTGGGGATTTTTATATTTAAGATCAACCCAGTTTCTAAGTGTTACTGCCCATGTGTTTTTCAGTTCACTTAATTCCTGCACCTCACAGAAGTAGCTCATAAATAATAAAGTCCCAGCCTAGCAACACAGCATGTGATGGCAGCGTGGGTGTGTTCCAGTATTATCTTTCACGTAGGCCCTGAAAGCTTGAATTATCTCAGAAATCAGGGTTGGGTCCATTTCCCTAGTCCAAAGGGCAGAAAAAGAGAGCCATAATCCCAATGTAGCAAGTTTATTTTTAAGCCCATATTCTGAAAAAATCTTGCCACCTATCAAAAGTAAAAATCAAATGATCCCTTCAATAAACAAATTATTATTGCTTATCATTAAACTCAGTCCTGCAAGAATTAAAAGGATCTCTGGATATGTAGAAAGTGACATAATTTTATTTATTTATTTATTTATTTATTTATTTTTGAGACAGAGTCTCATTCTATTGTCTATTGCCCAGGCTGGAGTACAGTGGCATGATCTCAGCTCACTGCAACCACCGTCGCCCAGGTTCAAGTGATTCTCCTCCCTCAGCCTCCCGAGTAGCTGGGAGTACAGGCGCACACCACTGCATCCGGCTAATTTTTGTATTTTTACTAGAGACAGGGTTTCACCATCTTGGCCAGGCTGGTATCGAACTCCTGACCTCATGATCCACCTGCTTCGGCCTCCCAAAGTGCTGGGAATACAGGCGTGAGCTACCACACCCGGCCAACATAAAATTTCTATAAACTATATACACACACATATATATTTTGAGATGGGGTCTTGCTCTGTTGTCCAGGCTGGAGTACAGTGCACATTCATAGCTCACAGCAGCTTCAAAGTTCTAGGCTCAAGCCATCCTCCCACCTCAGCCTCTTGAGGAGCTGGGACTAAAAGCATGTGCCACCACACCCAACTAGTTGTTGTTGTTGTTGAGACAGTCTTGCTCTGTTGCCCAGGCTGGAGTACAGTGGCATGATCTCGGCTTACTGCAACCTCCACCTCCCGGGTTCAAGCAATTCTCATGCCTCAGCCTCCAGAGTAGTTGGTATTACAGGCAAATACCATCATGCCCAGCTAATTTTTGTATTTTTAGTAGAGACAGGGTTTCACCATGTTGGCCAGGCTGGTCTCGAACTCCTGACCTCAAGTGATCTGCCTGCCTTAGCCTCCCAAAGTGCCAGGATTACAGGTGTGAACCACTATGCCAGCTAGTCTTTTGTTTTGTTTTAGAGATAGGGTCTTGCTATGCTGCCCAGGCTGGTCTTAAATTCCTGGCCACACAGAATCCTCTCACCTCAGTCTCTCATAGTGCCTGGGATTACAGGTGTGAGCCATTGCACTCGGCCTATATTTTTTAATTGTTTTTTTTTTTTTTGAGATGGAGTCTCACCGTGTTGCACAGGCTGGAGTGCAGTGGCGTGATCTCGGCTCACTGCAACCTCTGCCTCCCAGATTCAAGCAATTCTCCTGTCTCGGCCTCCTGAGTAGCCAGGATAACAGGCATGCGCTACCACACCCAGCTAAGTTTTGTATTTTTAGTAGAGACGGGGTTTCACCGTGATGGCCAGGCCGGTCTCGAACTCCTGACTTCAGATGATCCGTCCACCTTGGCCTCCCAAAGTGCTGGGATTACAGGTGTGAGCCAGAAGGCCCGGCCCCCAGCCTATATTTTTAAGTAATAACAGGCATTGGGTAAAAATTCAAATCATACAAAATGGTATAGGATGAAAAATTCCATCTTCCCACCCCTCCTGATCCCATGCCCCTCAGTCTCCATACCAGAGACAACCACTATTATCAGTTTTATACACCCTCCCAAATGGTGGTCCTGCCACAGACAAGCAAAACTGTGTATTATCCAAATAGGCTACCCTGCAGTTTTTGTTTTTGGGGATCTTATTTTTTTTTGGTCAAACACAAGACAAGGCACAGATAAAAGTATACAAAAAGTCATTTAAGTTTTCTACACTTTCAAAAAGATGTTTTATGAAGAGAAATAAGGGAACACAGAAAAAGAATGAGCTAAATACAATGCAGAAAAAAACATGAGCCTGTGCCCACACACAAGAGTGGTGTGCAGGGCACCCCTGAGTAGCCCACTGGGAAGCCCGTGCCTGCATCCATACTGTGAAATCTCTTGGGCTTTTCAGTCCTTCTGGAACAGCTAAGACCATTCAACCATGCCCTATCCTCAGGGCCGGTGTGCCTCAGAACATGGAGTTGGCTTCCCAAACATACCCAGAGCTGATCCCAGGGGTCCTTCTGTCGGAATGTGGCAGGGTCAGGGCAGCATGGCTCTTGCTATGGGGAAATGAAAAGCCTTCCCGTGCAGCCCTGCAGATATTCACGATTACGCTGGTAAAGGACTGACTGGTATGTCTCAAAAATAATCTTTCTGCAGCTGAAACAAACATGTTTTTTCCCTTTAGAACATTCCAGAGAGCAGACATATGCAGAGAAATGATGCCTTCGGAGATTCAGTTCCAACGTTTTTACATGCCAGACGCTGGAAATACAGAGAATGAGGAGGACTAAAAAGCTTTCCCTGCAATGGGATGGGGAACAGGCTCACCCAAGATCACAAAGCATTTGTTACATTGGGGCAACTGCTTCCAACTTTCTAACTTTCAGGCATGAGAGAAATTAATTACAGGTAAAACTCTTGCTGAAGTACACAATTTCATCACAATAATGACTCACATACAAATAAGGTTTCAGGTCATTTAAGCCCCAACAGGCTATCAGAACCACCTATCTAGGGACTGTTCAGGAAGTGAATAAATACTGCATCCCCGTATTAAACACAGGTCTCCAGGAAAGGCCAGGCAAGGAGGACCACCAGCTCTCTGGGTTACCTCCACACTTTACATGTGTCAGTGTTAATTTCAAGGGATCATCATTTCTGTATCCAGTTTGGACTCCGGGTTCGGTGAGGACTGCCTACTTCCTTGGCTACACAAAATCCCAATCCTGACTTATAGCATGAGTCATCTCCACGTTAACCAGGCATCATGACACAGGGGATGATGGCCTCGAGTGAGGAAAGAAGCAGGAAGAACAGAACCACCCCTGACCTAGTGTGGGACAGAGGACACACTTAACCTTTCTTAGATGAAGAAATTTTAAAAGCAGTCCATGAACTGTCTTCCCCAGGAAATAAAAAATCAGGCTGCAAATCATGTAGTTAGCAGTTGAGAACATCTTTTAAAAAGGATCTGAAAAGGAGTGATTGCATATGGGTAAAACGTCCAGTCTCTTCTTCTGGTCACCTAGAAGCCATGCACAGCAGACAGACAGAAATGTTTATGACCTATAAAACATCTGTGCTGTGTACCTTCCAGAAGCTATGCAGTTTAACGAGCGCTGGTATTGAAGAAGGTAGCTAGTCATCATAACCTAACTCTGAACACAGAATTACCCATCAGCCGACATTGCCTCCCTAGACCTTGCCCTCTGCCCATTGTCAGCTACTTGGAAAAATTCGTAAATCATGAGAGTGGCAAATAGGTCATGGCTTGTTTTTTTGACCTTAATTCCCAAAACAGCCACTCCAGCAGCATGGAAAGGCTGTTTGTAGCCACCAAACTGAATTCTAAGAACTGGTAAATGACAGCCAGACATGGAGGCTCACGCCTGTAATCCCAGCACATTGGGAGGCCGAGGCGGGCAGATCACTTGAGGTCAGGAGTTCGAGACCAGCCTGGCCAACATGGTGAAACCCTGCCTCTACTAAAAATACAAAAATGAGCCGGGTGTGGTGGTACACACCTGTAATCCCAGCTACTCGGGAGGATGAGGCACAAGAATTGCTTGAACCTGGAAAGTGGAGGTTGCAGTGAGCCAAGATCGCGCCACGGCACTCCAGCCTGGGTGGCAGAGTGAGACGCCATCTCAAAAAAAAAAAAAAAAAAGTAAAAATGGACTCAGTCCCATGCTAATCTGACCATTGCCTTTTTATAAATCTTCTTTAAGTCTTTTTCCCATACATTTTAACAACTAGCAGCTGAGAAACCTTAGGCAAGATATTTAACCTCTCTGTGGGACAGGATCCTCTTCTGAAACAGGGTTAGGAACACCCACCTCATAAGAATGTTAGGAAGATTAAATGGCTTAATGTATGCAAAGTGCTTAGAACAGTACCTGGCCATAAGTCTTAGCTATAACTCCTACTTAGCTGTACATATGCAATTTTCTTTGTAGTGCATTATACATTACTGGCTTATAATCGTCAAACTTATAATTTTGAATGGCTAAATGATATTCCGTGAAGTGGGTATATGCCATAGTTTATCTACCCATTCAGATGATTCTCTAAAGGGAACTTAGGATTTTAACAGTTTTGACACACTGTATTACTAACCACCCTAACTTATCGACCAAATATAAATAACAATGATTTGCATTTGAAGGGAACAGAAATGACTCACTTCCAAAATTGGTTTGCATTATATAATTTCCAAAATTATGTATCTGTTTATCTATTTTTTGAGACGGAGTCTCATTCTGTCGCCCAGGCTGGAGTGCAGTGGCGCAATCACAGCTCACTGCAGCCTCTGCCTCCTGGGTTCAAGTGATTCTCCTGCCTCAGCCTCCTGAGTAGCTGGGATTACAGGCGCCCACCACTACACCCGGCTAATTTTTGTATCTTTAGTAGAGACGGAGTTTCACCATGCTGGCCAGGTTGGTCTCAAACTCCTAACCTCAGGTGATCCGCCCCCTTTGGCCTCCCAAAGTGCTGGGATTACAGGCGTGAGACACCACACCTAGCTACATTTCCAAACTTAAAAGATATATAAAATTTTTAACAAACCATGATCAGTGTGTACTTTCTTTAAAAAAAAAAATGTATTTGTTTTCATTTTTTTCAGACGGGCTCTGTTGCCCAAGCTGGACTGCAGTGATGCCATCACGGCTCACTGCAGTCTCAACTTCCCAGGCTCAAGCAATCCTCCCACCTTAGCCTACAAAGTAGCTAGGATTACAGGCGTGCACCACCACACTCTGCTAATGTTTTATTTTTTGTAGAGACAGGGTCTCATCATGTTGCTTAAGCTGGTTTTAAACTCCTGGATTCAAGTGATCCTCCCAAAGTACTGGGATTACAGGAATGAGCCACCACTGCACCCAGCCCCTCAGTGTATACGTTCTGCAACTTTTTTTTTTTTTTTTTTTTTTTTTGAGATGGAGTCTCGCTTTTTTGCCCAGGCCGGACTGCAGTGGCGCTATCTCAGCTCACTGCAAGCTCCACCTCCTGGGTTCACGCCATTCTCCTGCCTCAGCCTCCTGAGTAGCTGGGATTACAAGCACCCGCCACCGCGCCCAGCTAAATTTTTGTATTTTTAGTAGAGATGGGGTTTCACCATGTTAGCCAAGATGGTCTCGATCTCCTGACCTCGTGATCTGCCCGCCTCGGCCTCGCAAAGTGCTGGGATTACAGGCATGAGCCACCGCGCCCGGCTTTACTTTCCGCAACTTATTGAGAGATGTCATGATCCTTATGGACCCCTTCAGGGTTTCTACACAGAAAAGAAAGAGACAAGAAACAGAGGGCCCTCGAACTCTCAGAAATAGGCCAAGATGGCATAATTAAGTCTATGAATCAAGATAGGTTTTCTAAGTGGAGAGCAATACTAAATTTCTTGTAGGTGAAGACTAAAGGAAATACCAAGCATCTTTATTTTAACAATTCTCTAAGAATTAGAAAAATTAACTCATTTTTAAACATTTAAGTCTACCACACCCATCATCATGACTTACCAATTCTTTACAAAGCTCGATCCTATCTCAAAAAGCCACATATGTTAATATTCTACCATCAAATCCAGTATCTCACCTCTTGCTCAAATGTAAATGCCACTGATGCATTTATTTGTTCTGTCAAAGAATATTGTCTTGGGGCAACCATGGGGTCCTCACATACAGAGACTTTAAGAATGGAAAAATAAAATGCAATAGTTTGGTTCACCACCCCTTAACCAGGACAAAAGAAAACAAACTTCAGCATGACTGACATCAGAGAACACTCAGCCCTTCCTCACCACATAAACTCCCATACTTCTTGCCATGAGAGTTTCTGGCAAGGAAGCAGAGTATCTATGATTTATTCCATAAGCAAGGTAAGTCCAAAGGAAGGGAAAATAATTACACCAAAAGCATTTCTTTTTTTTTTTCTTTGAGACAGAGTCACCCGGGCTGGAGTGCAGTGGCGGGATCTTGGCTCACCGCAAGCTCTGCCTCCCAGGTTCAAGTGATTCTTCTGCCTCAGCCACCTGAGTAGCTGGGATAACAGGTGCCCGCCACCATACCTGGCTAATTTTTTGTGTTTTTAGTAGAAACAAGGTTTCACCATGTTGGCCAGGCTGGTCTCGAACTCCTGACCTCAAGTGATCCACCCACCTCGGCCTCCCAAAGTGCTGGGATTACAGGCATGAGCCTGGCCTCACCAAAGCATTTCTAAATCCTGTTTTAATAACAAATGATTAGTAAAAATGAAAAGTTCTATTTTGGTGAACCACATGTCACAGTTCTCTGCATGGGAAAGGAGCAGACTGAAGAAACATCTGGGGCCCCAGTCGACTGCTACTGTATTTCACACAGGATGCCCATTCTTTTATAATAACCAGAGGCCTCTTTAGACCAGGCTTTCTAGAGGCCTTAATTGTTCTACCTAGACGCTAGCCATGTCCTTTTTTAAAAAGTGAAGTGGCAGTCACACCTCTAGAAATATTTTTTGGGGATTTCTTATAAATGCCTTCCCTCTACTCCATTCAAAGGCCAGCATTCAGGAAAAGATACTTAATTACCATTGCCTTTTTTCTCTCCACAGGCACATTCCTAAATGTGTCCCCCAGGAACACCCTGGAGACTAAAGCCCTTGATTTTCCTCTAACAGATTATCAACAATCGTCTCCCTGCAGGAGAGGAATTTCTGTCTCATTAGTGGTGAAAACTGCCTCCTTTGCCACAGGCATCATTAGCCAGCAAGCCGCAGAAAGTAACCTGCTTCTTCAAGAAGAAAAGGGTACTCAGGAGGCTGAGGAAGGAGAATCATTGCTTGAACCTGGGAGGCGGAGGTTGCAGTGAGCTGAGATTGAGGCATTGCACTCCAGCCTGGGCAACAAGAGCAAAATTCTGCCAAAAAAAAAAAAAAAAGAAGAAGAAAAGGGCACTGACCACAAAGCCATACCCCAAACTGGGAAACCAAAAGAAGCAGAGCTTTGATTTCATACTTCGGACATCCCCAGTCTGTAATCTACCAGGCTAAACATAAGATTAAATGCTTCTCCACGTTCACCCAGGCAATCTACTGCCTGCCCTGTGCCTACAGGAACCACAACCACTGCCTCCCTCACAGATGCATTTATTGAGCCCCTACGCTGGGTAACACAGCAAAGGACACAACAGACATGGTCCCTGTCCCAGAGGAAAACAGGGCAAAGTCAGGCTTGGTCTCCTCCTGAGCCAGCTGGGGCATGAGATCTGAACCAGGACATCTTATGGAGAGCAAAACCTCTCTCGTTGCCAATACAAGGGTCTGGGGGTTAATTTTGTTGTAATTCAGAGACCCTTAGGTCTAGAGATCTGTGCCAGACCCAGAACCAAAGGCCACCTAGGGAAGTGCTCTGAGATGAAGATAAGGCCTAAAATGACCTCCCATCACTCTCTCTATTCAAGGCTAGACCTTCTTAATCCTTCTGGAGCTAAGCCAGAGCTAGCTGTCCCTCCTTCAAAAGTATAGGGTAAGAAGCACAATTTTCCAGGGCGTATAGCAATGAAAACCATAGTATCTTAATGGATGTCTAAGATTATTGTTAAGGGATAGGAAGAGTAATGTCAGCAAATACATGTTAGAGTTGATGGCATTTTAATAAGCATGTGGATTGCTTGTAATGTAATTATAACATTTTTTAGTTAATAACTACAATTAAAATGACATATCAGATACTATTTATAAAAACCTTCCTCTGATGGGAGTTACAGAAATACAATAGAAGTCTTTGTAACCAAAGGCAGTTTAAGTAAAATGAGAAAGGCACAAGACTCTTTTCTATGCTTACAGTTCGTAATGCAAAAAACATTTAACTGGTTCACTTACTTGAGAATTTTTTTTTCATTTATGGGTCTAACTTTACTAATGTTATATATTATGTTCTCCTTTTCTTAGTCCTATATCCCTTAAAGCAGTGACTTCATCTGCTGTGTGACAGCACATCAATGAGATCACAGCAGCTCTGCTGTTACAAGACAAAGACTTGGCGGTACTGAGTGGGTAATCACTTGCAGACACATACATACACGCCCTGGTTTCAATGGCATTTCCTAGTAATTCACTTCAACAGAAATCTCCAACAGAAATCTCCACTCACAGGTGTCACAGCCCAAAGCTGTCTTTGTAATGGTGACCTCACCCTGGTATCACAGTGACTGTAAGGGAAAGAAAGCAGCTGCCACTTCCTGGTTCACTTTCAACACCAAGCTCTCCTGATTTTATGTGTTCATTCTTATTACTTTCTTTCCCTCTCACCCTACCATATCCAATCCATCATATGTCAGGTCAGTTGAACCTCCAAGATATTTCTTAAATCCACCACCTCTGTCCACCTCCACAGGTGGCTTGGACATCATTCTAGTCCAAGCCACCACCATCCACCATCTAGATTACTGCAACAGCCTCCCATTTTGTCTGTCCAATTCTAGGTTAGGCCAGCTTCAAATCCATTCTCTACCCAAGAGCCACGGTGATCTCTGACAAATAAATTGGACCGTATCAACCCACTACTTTTATTTATATTTATTTATTTATTTATTTATTTATTTATTTATTTATTTATTTTGAGACGGAGTTTTGCTCTTGTTGCCCAGGCTGGAGTGCAATGGCGCAGTCTCAGCTCACCGCAACCTCTGCTTCCCAGGTTCAAGCAATTCTCCTGCCTCAGCCTCCTGGGATTACAGGCACCCGCCACCATGGCCAGCTAATTTTTGTACTTTTAGTAGAGCCCATGTTGGGCCAGGCTGGTCTCAAACTCCTGACCTCAGGTGATCCACCCACCTTGGCCTCCCAAAGTACTGGGATTATAGGTGTAAGCCACTGTGCCCAGCCCCCACTGCTTTTAATTTTAACACTCAGTGGCTTACCATTCCTCCTAAGTAAAGCCTCGCCTTCCTCTTCAGCCTCATCTTACACAAGCACGCCCCCACTTCCCAGGTATTCCTGCCTCAGGGCCTTTGCACAGGCTGCTACTCCTCCACCAGGCCCCCTTCCTCCACTCCTCACTAGAAAAATTCCTCTTCTTTCTTCAGCTCTCTGCCTCAGAGAGGCTACCTGCAATCTCCTTCTTTAAATCATGTCCTTCCTGCCCTTTTCTTCTATAATATCCTGTCCTCTTTCTCCACAGTACTTACCACAATATATGATTATTTATTTGTGAGTTCTTTTTTCTTTTTTTTTTTTTTTTGAGACAGAATCTCACTCTATAGCCCAGGCTGGAGTGCAGTGGAGCAATCTCGGCTCACTGCAATCTCTGCCTCCTGGGTTCAAGCAATTATCCTGCTTCAGCCTCCCAAGTAGCCAGGATTACAGGTGCACACGACCACACTCAGCTAATTTTTGTATTTTTAGGAGAGACAGGATTTCACCATGTTGGCCAGGCTGGTCTCGAACTCCTGACCTTAGGTGATCCCCCTGCCTCGGCCTCCCAAAGTGCTGAGATTACATGTTCATTCGTTTAATGCCTACTCCCCTACAAGGCTCTGGGCTTCCTGAAAGCAGGGATCATCCCTGTTTTCTTCACCATTGTTTACACTGTATATCTAGCACCTGGCACATAGTAGGCATTAAAAAATATTGACTACAAGAATGGATGAGGCTGAGCAAGGTGGCGCACACCTGTAATCCCAGCACTTCAGGAGGCTACAGCAGGAGGACTGCTTGAGCCCTGGAGTTCAAGCACAGCCTGTAACATAGTGAGATCCCATCTCTACAAAAACAAAACCAAAAAATAAATTAGCTCGGTATGGTGGCACACCCCTGTAGTCCCAGCTACTCGGGAAGCTGAGCTGGGAGGATTGCTTGAACCCAGGAGGTCGAGGCTGCAGTGAGCTGTGATCATGTCACTGCACTCCAGCCTGGGAAAGAGTGAGACCCTGTCTCCAAAAAAAAAGGATAAACTTTAGAAACAAGAAGATGGAAAAAAAGCAGGTAGAACTTTCTCCATACTAACTGAATGTCTTACAAATGAAATCATAAACAATACCAACAAAAAAAAACCATGAGGGAATATCTTCCATGTCACCAGAACAACTCTGAAGGACTCTCATCCTTTTTAGTCATTTCATTCCTCTGTTATAAGCAGTTTAGGGTTGTTTATTCTAGAACCTACAGAGAATTCAGGCTTGAGCACTGAGCTATCTCAGTTTCCTACACTAGAGTGGGAGGGGACTGTGGCTTCGAAAGACCTGGGGAGGTTTCCAGTAAGGCTCAATATTATCTTTAAGGGAAATTCCAAGAAAAGAAAAATGTAATCAGTAATAACATTACTTGAATTTTCCAACCTATTAAGCAAAATCTAAATGTTCTTAGGAAACCTAAAGGTATAAAAACAAACACCCATTGCTTATAATTTGTGGATTATGGACCTCTGTGGTCATCTATGTCGTTTTTCTGCATCCAACTCTCCCAGAAAAACAACTATCTAGCCCTTGCTTTTTTCTTTTTTTTAATAACCAACATTTCTGTTGGCAACTTATTTCAGCATCTTATTAAACTTGCAGTTCTTCCAAGTATCTAACCCTTTATAATACCTAAGTCCTTTCATATGCAACCAAATTCCCTCTTGAGTTTTAATAGATATAAGAACATGGCCCTTCATCACTCACACTCTCTCTTCATGTGGGGAGGACTATCGCAATATTAAGTTTCATGGTGTTTAGTTACACAACAGCCTTCTAGTCACCAGGCTGCATAAATATTTGTTTTAATCTATACTTAAGAAATTACTTCCCTAAATTTTGTTGCTCTTAGTATCCAAAAAGGTTTTTCATTTTGATTTATATATACATAAATACATATATATACATATATATATACATATATATATATATATACACACACACACATACATACATATTTTGAGATAGAGTTTCGTTCTTGTCGCCCAGGCTGGAATGCAGTGGTGCGATCTCAGCTCACTGCAACCTCCACCTCCTGGGTTCAAGCATTTCTCCTACCTCAGCCTCCCGAGTAGCTGCGATTACAGGCACCCAGGCACCTGCCACCACGTCCAGCTAATTTTTTGTGTTTTTAGTAGAGACAGGGTTCACCATGTTGACCAGACTGGTCTCAAACTCCTAACCTCAGGTGATCCACCCACCTTGGCCTCCTAAAGTGCTGGGATTACAGGCATGAGCCACTACGCCCAGCCATATATATATATGTTTTTTTTTTTTAGAGACAGGCTTTTACTCTGTTGCCCAAGCTGGAGTGCAGTAGCCTGATCACAGTTCACCCTAACCTTTAACTCTTGAGCTCAAATGATCTTCTCACCTCAGCCTCCGGAATAGCTGGGACTACAGGTGCCTGCCAATATATATATATATATATATATATATATATATATATATATATTTTTTTTTTTTTTTTTTTTTTTTTTTTTTTTTTGGTAGAGTTTGGGTCTCACGTTACCCGGGCTGGTCTTGAACTCCTGAGCTCAAGTGATCCTCCTGCCTCGGCCTCCCAAAGTGCTAGGATTACAGGTAGGAACCACCATGTCTAGCCTCCTAAAAAGGTTTCTATCAATCTAGGGTCCCAAACTATATGAGACTAGAGAGTTGAGCAGAGAATCCCTCATATTGGTCACCCGATTCTACCTGTTAGATTCATGTCTGTTTTGCAGTCACAGTACTTAGCCGATTCCCATTTATCTGAGACCCACTAAGACCCCAGGTCCTTAACAGATGTGTAAGTGCAAAGTCAATTCATTTCAATTTTTCCTAATGGGCCACACATTCTTCCCTACTAGATATATCCTATTTATATGTTAGCCTCTGATGTTTTAAGAGTATATGTCATCACATCTTGACTCTAAATAAATGATACTGGGGCCTTATCAAGAAAACAAATGGAAATATTTGCACAGTTAGCTCTTAACTCCTTGAGTTTCAGCTTCTGGACCCAAGAAAAAAGTCATACTCTGTTGCAGCAACTCTTCTTTGCTAGAGATTAAGACAAAGACAGACAGACAGAGAGACACACACACACACACACACAATCTACAGACCAAGATTTTAGCTTTTGTTTCTTGTTTTAAGTCTGAAATGGAGTCAAACCATTAATCACCCGTTCAAATGACTTTTCTAGCACACCTCATTTCCTTCTGTTAAAATTTCACCTTTCGCCTGGCACGGTGGCTCACACCTATAATCCTAGCACTTTGGGAGGCTGAGGCGGGTGGATCACCTGAGGTCAGGAGTTCGAGACCAGCCTGACCAACATGGTGAAACCCCATCTCTACTAAAAATACAAAAATTAGCCGGACATGGTGGCGGGTGCCTGTAATCCCAGCTACTCGGGAAGCTGAGGCAGGAGAATTGCTAGAACCCAGGAGGCAGAGGTTTCAGTGAGCCGAGATCACGCCATTGCACTCCAGCCTGGGGGACAGAGTGAGACGCCATCTCAAAAAAAAAAAAAATTCCACCTTTCAATGCATATCTTATTCTTTAAATCTCAGCTATCTTGGGCACCAGGGCATCAGACAGCACCCTTGGCACCTTGGAAAGTCCCAGAAAGTTGTAGATGGAAAGTGGAAATTTCATCTACCCATAGAGATGCAAAGAAGCCTTCCTTTGCAGTTATTTTAAGAAAGAAAAAAAAATCAACTAAGCACCATTTTCCTGGAAGTCAATACTGTGACTAGGTGGTAATCGGTTCACATAATAGGTGGGAGTTATTGTATAGGTTTAGGGTTACATTGGATAAAATAAGAAAAATGAAGATGCAGAGACTGAACTCTTCCTGAAAAAAAGAGAGCTCAAGGTTTCAATCTCTCACAAAGCAGTTGCCAACCTTTTCAATCACTTCTTGGATACATTGGCCCCATTAATCCAGGAACCCAGAAACATCTTACAAACATCAATTAAGTCTGGCAACATGCTCTATTTACAAATAGAGAAACTTGGGTGTTTAGGGACAGAGAAGCCCAACAATGAGTCAGGGCTGCTGTGGGCACTGGACCCAGGACTCTGGAATCTCCATCTCTGGCAGGGAGATGTGATCTACCTCTCAAGGGGATAAAATGTCCACATAAGAAACAGGTGGCAGAGAAGGAAGTGAATACACACATGTTGGGATGGCGCAAGACAACGGATGGCCAACAGCACCCATTTGAAGCTGAAGGGAAGCCAACCCACCACCCCCAGTGTCATTTAATCAGATGGAAGATCAGCATTGCTGCAGCCCCTCCTTAGCAAAAACACTGCTCACCTTATGGCTTGTAAATTGATGCTGTGAGATACCCCATCCATCCTCACATCAAGGCTAGTTTTATCTGATGTGAGTTCAGAAATGCCTATTCATCTCTGGCCAGGTAAGTTTGCATCATCAAATATTCCATTTGCAAGCCTACATGCTGAAATGGAACCCACCCCACAGTAAAGGGAGCCTCCAGAGGACAAACCCTCTGGCTTTTCCTGTCTCCCACAGAAGGGAAAGTTAAAAGGCTATGTATATCTAAAACACACAAAGCAAATCAGTGTGATTCCTAGACTATAGGCTTTCGGTGCTAACTGACTGGCCTGTGTATTTAAGATCTAACAAAGTAACCAGCTAAGCTAATCGAGGCTAGCTTTGGCATACTAGATGAACATAATCGAACGTTCCTTTGGGTGAAGCACTGCCCTTTCCGAACACCTGTGAAACAAATAATTCGGTAATATCATGGAGTGAATGGTTTTTGCCCAGTTTTTACTGCAGAAGTGAAATAACCTGACACAATCTTTGGGAGCTACAGGCGAGCAGACATCCACCAGGATTAGGACCAGAGAGAAGAACTCTACCAACTCCAAAAGGAAACAATGCCCAGTTCTGCTCCGTCAAGGGCCCACCCGGGCTCCTTCCAACCTGGAGAAATCTTTACTAACATGGGGCCCAGGGCACACACCACACTGTTGTAACATTCTTTCTGTAGGGGCAAATTCTCTTCACCAACCCCCTAGGCAAGTATGAGGTAGGGGAAGGGGTTAGCAAGTCATGTGACAGCCGGCAAACGCCATTCCCCTCCCCCAACCTCCACCCACCCCGCATTGTAAAGGCGTTGCGCCCGGGGTTAGCCTTTAGGGTGGGGGTGTCAGCTGGTTTCATGCCTCCTGTTCCTCTGCCCTGCGCCCTGGCCCAGTCATTCTCGGCTCGAAGTGTTCTTCTATTCAGTGAAATACCCAGGAGGCCTTCCACCCAAGCGAAGGCGAGTATCAGACACGGGCTACCACCCTAGTAAGAAGAAGGCACCTGCCCACGTATAGTTGGAATTCATCTAAAATTCACTTAGTGCTTACTGTGTGCCAGACGCTGAGGGGCGTCCTGCAGATTCAAAAGCGCCCCAGGCCCGGCGCGGTGGCTCACGCCTGTAATCCCAATACTTTGGGAGGCCGAGGTGGGCGGATCACCTGAAGTCAGAAATTCGAGACCAGCCTGGCCAACACGGTGAAACCCCGTCTCTACTAAAAATACAAAAATTAGCCGGGCGGGCCGGGCGCGGTGGCTCACGCGTGTAATCCCAGCACTTTGGGAGGCCGAGGTGGGTGGATCACGAGGTCAATAGTTCAAGACCATCCTGGCCAATCTGATGAAACCCCGTCTCTACTAAAAATACAAAAATTAGCCGGGCGTGGTGGCGCACGCCTGTAGTCCCAGCTACTCGGGAGGCTCAGGCAGGAGAATCGCTTGAACCCAGGAGGCGGAGGTTGCAGTGAGCCGAGATCGTGCCACTGCACTGCAGCCTGGCGACAGAGTGAGACTCAGTCTCAAAAAAAAAAAAAAAAAAATTAGCCGGGCGTGGTGGTGCGCGCCTGTAATCCCAGCTACTCGGGAGGCTGAGGCAGGAGAATCACGTGAACCTGCGAGGCGAAGTTTGCAGTGAGCTGAGATCGTGCCATTGCCATTGCACTCCAGCCCGGGCGACAGAGACTCTGTCTAAAAAAAAAAAAAAAAAAAGCGCCCCAGATACGGCCCCTTCTTCCAAGAAGACCCAAAGCTGGCAGAGCTGGGCGGGACAGCCGCAGAAGGGGAAGCCAGGTGAGAACACCAGCACCGGCCGAGGGCTCCGTCCCGAAAGGCCTTCCCCGCTGCTGCCCGGCTTACTCTCGAAGGGTCCAGCGCCCAGACCGCCCTGCCGGAGGGGTCCGCGCCCCCAGGCCGGGCCCTCCCCTCCCCGCCCGCACTCACTGCGTCTTCCTGCGGCCCTGGTCGCGGTGCAGATCCCGCAGGTCCACCTCGGCGCGGCCCAGGAACTTGTCGAGGCCGAGCAGCGCGCGGTGCAGCACGGTGAGCTGCAGGGTGGCGGCGGCCGCGGGTCCGGAGGACAGCAGCGATGGCAGCTCGAAGGTGGCCTCCTCGCGCCACACGGGCGCGCCCAGGCTGCGCTCCGACACGGAGGTGGCGTACTTCTCCTTGCCCACCTGGATCACCGCGTACGCGTCGCTCGTGCCCCCGGGGCCCTTGGCCCGCAGGCCCCGCGCCTGCAGCACCGTCACCTGCACGTGGGTTGGGGACCACACGGCCCCCAGGCCCCGGCCAGCCGAGACCATTAGGGACATGGTGACGATAACACTCCAGAAGCGAGGAGAAGATCGCCGCGACTGGCGGCCTCCACGGCCCGCCCCGGCGACCAGGCCACTTTAAGGCTTCCGGCCACACCCCCGCCAGGCCACGCCCCTCATGGCCAAGGCCACGCCCCTGCCCGAGCCGCCTGCTCCACCTGCTGCGCCGCGCCCCGCCCCGCCCCGCCCCGCCCCGCCGGCCTCAGCAGCGCGGGCAGCTCCGGGCACCCGGGCGCCGGAGGCGGGGCTGGCGCGGCCAGGCAGGCAGGGGATCACGTGCGCAGGGGCGGGCGCATCGAGAATCTAATCTGAGAGGTGGTAGGTGACGGATGGGGTCCCCAGCTGCCAAAGGTCGCACGGCGGGAAGGAGCTGGCCGAAGCACTGACTTGGAAGTCAGACCTCATTTCCAGGGTCACATCGCCAGTCGTGGCCTTGCGCGGATTACCTAACATCAAGTCTCAATTTCTTCACCTGACAATCACCTCCTAGGATTGCTGTAAAAAATAATAATAATAATGCATTACAGTTCTTGGCCCAGTGCCTGGCTCATGGTGAGTTCTCAGTAAATAACCATGACCAGCACGTTGGGAGGCTGAGACAGGAGGATCTCCTGAGCCCAGGAGTTCGAGACCAGCCTGGGCAACATAGCCAGATCCCCGTCTCTACAAAAAAAATTAAAAATAATTAGATAGGAGTGGTGGCAAGCGCCTGTGGTCCCCGCTACTTGGGAGGCTGAGTCTGGAGGATCTCTGGAGCCCAGGAGGTCGAGGTGCAGTGAGCCGAGATCGTGCCACTGCACTCCCAGCCTGGGCAACAGAGCAAGACCCTGTCTCAAAAAAATAAAGTTGGTAACTATGAGGGTGCTAAGGAAGATGCCCACCCAATTCACTGTGCTTTCTACTTCTCCCGCTGGAAAGCCTTGCTCTGGAGGAAGGCAGCTGCAGAGGAAGGTGAGGACCTTGTGAGGGCCGGAAAAGGGGAAGGTATCCTGGGGAGCATGAGTTCAATGTGGGAGTGTCCTATTTTGCCCTCCCCCCACCAGATAAGGCGAGGCTGAGTTAGAAAAAGGGAAGAAAGGAGGAACTGAAAATGGGATTGCCAAATCAAACATCGGGACAGTGGCAGGCCCCCAGCCCGCAGTTCCCCATTTCTCCCTTGCCAGGCCCTCTTTAGTCTCTCCCTGCCTCTATCCCTGGGCTCCCAGGCAGTCCCTTTCTTGTTCCAAATGCCTAATAGATCGGCTGCTTCCCTTCATTTCACAGGTCCTAGTTCAAAGGCTCAACTGTTTAACGAGTCATCAGATTGGAAAGGTCACTTGGAAGGTTTTAAAGTTTTACAGTTAAGGAAAGACTCAGAAGAGAGGAGTGACATGTCCAAGGTCCCTCTGCAGAGCTGGGACTGGGATCCCAGTGTCCTGACTCCCAAACAGCTGTTCAGTGCATCTCTTGATTCTTCCAGATCCACAGAACCCCAATCTTGGATGGCTACTCGTGTCCCTCCAATCTCCAGGCTCTCCTCCCTCTGGTTCACACTGCACATTGCTTCACTAACCTGCTGGCTGCCTCACCAGCAACCGCGTTACCTTCGGACTGAACAGAGATTTCAAGGTACTCCATTTTGACCCCACCCTACCTCATTCTCCTCTATCTCCCGAACAAACAAACCTGTAGCCCAGACACTTTTTACTTCCAGGCCTTTACGTTGTACCCTTGACTGTCTTTGCCAACCTCCCACTGCAAGGGTTCACTCATATTTCTCCAAGGTTTGACTTCCTATGCCCTGCTGAGGGCAGGGACCAGGTAGTGACTTATTCAACTTGTCTCCTTCACAGCCTCCAGCACAAACCTGGGTGCACAGTAGGTACCCGGGAAGTGCTACTGAACTCAAGAGTTTGCAGGTTAAGTTGGCCAACCATGAGGACCAAGTGTTTCCTTTTACCACGTAGGAAATTAGAAGACAGAGGTATGCCTCAGGTTTGCAACTGAGGGCAGCTGCAGTGTGAGAAAGGCCTGTTTAGTATGTTGGAAATATTTTTTTTCTTTTTTTTTTTTCTTTTTGGAGACAGAGTCTTGCTCTGTCTCCCAGGCTGGAGTGCAATGGCGCAATCTTAGCTCACTGCAACCTCTGCCTCCCAAGTTCAAGCGATTCTTGTACCTCAGCCTCCCAAGTAGCTAGGATTACAGATGTACGACACCATGCCCGCTAATTTTTGTATTTTTAGTAGAAATGGGGTTTCACCATGTTGGCCAGGCTGGTCTTGAACTCCTGACCTCAAGTGATCTGCCCACCTCGGCCTCCCAAGGTGCTGGGATTACAGGTGTGAGCCACTGCACCTGGCCATGTTGGAAATATGTAACGATGATGGGAGGAGTGGGGGAAAGAAGCCAGCAGGCATAGAAGGGGCAAGAAAGCCTAACAGAACTGTGTTGTTTTGGTGCCATTTTCCCTTCTGGATGATCCATTATACTCATTCAACATTATGACTCAGTTAATTTCCATAAAGGCTTCTTGAGGCCAGATGCAGTGACTCATACCTGTAACCCCAGTGCTTTGGGAGGCTGAGGTGGGAGGATCACTTGAAGCCAGGACTTCAAGACCAGCCTGGGCAACACAGCAAGATCTCGTTACTACAAAAAGATAAAAAATAAAACCAATAATTAGCCAGGCATGGTAGTGCGCACCTATAGTCCCAGCTACTCAGGAGGCTAAGGTGAGTGGATTACTGGAGCCCAGGAGTTTGAAGCTACAGTGAGCTATGATTATGTCACTGCACTCCAGCCTGGGCAATAGACCGAGACCCTGTTACGATTTGTTGAGCATTTACTTTGTGCCAGGCATGTGCCGGGTGCTACCAAGTGCACAAAGCTGAATGAGACTCAGTTCCAAGGCACTCCAGCATCATCTAAAGGAAGTCCTGATTACTGTGATGCTTTGGGTGTTTTGAGGAGAGAGCGATTTCTGTAAGTTGGTGGATTTTTGTGAAGTAGGAGGGGCTCAGCTGGGCCCTGAAGGATATATCAGATTTGACAGAAACAGGAGGAGACATATGAGAAGAGCATTTCAGGAGAGAAGAGGAGAACAGCCTACGCAAAGATATGGGGACCAGAGAGTCGTGGCGTTTCCAGGTTTCACATACCCCATTGTGGCTGGAATGTAGGATGCTTTAGGAGGCCACTGAGAATGAGTGGTAGAAATAAGACAGAAATAAGACAGGCTGCGCTCAGACCATGAACACCAGGCTAAGGAGCCAGCCTTCAGAGAACACCAGGCTGAGACCAGGGGAGCCAGCCTTCAGAGAACTTTGAGCAGTGACCTGCTTAGGCTGTTCTCAAATTGCAAGGGAGGTATGAGAAGAAGGAGTCCAGCAGCCAACAGCTTGGCAGGCAGGTCACAGCTAGATGCCTTCATTCATTTTCACCTGGGGATTGTCTGCCTTCTGCCCCAATCTGCCTACCTCTTCCCCATCTTGGAGTCTCTTCTAAGTTGGTACTGAATTAAATAAGAGGGTATACACTTTCCTCTTGATTATCCTACCTGTCCAATGTTCTACTACACGCCAGCTGGACAAAGTCATAGATTTCAGTTCAAAACTGACCTGGGGAGGTGGGGCACAGCGTCTCACACCTGTAATCCCAACACTTCGAGAGGCCAAGGCTAGAGGATCACTTGAGCCCAGGAGTTCAAGACCAGCCTGGGCAACATACTGAGATTCTGTCTCTATAAAACAAACTTCAAAAATTAGCTGAGTGTGGTGGCGTCCACCTGTAGTCCCAGCTACTAGGGAGGCTGAGGTGGGAGGATTGCTGGAGCCCAGGAGTTCGAGGCTGCAGTGAGCTATGATTGCACCACTGCACTCCAGCCTCAGCAACAGAGTGGGACCCTGTCTTTAAAAACAAACAAACAAACAAACAACTCAGCCTGGGAGGAAGTTTTTCAGCTCTAGTTCCCCCTCCTCTCCAACACTCACATTTTTAGTGCTGCTCCCCCAATAAAGAAAACAAGGCATAAAACCTAGCTGGACAGCCTCCCCAGCTGAGTATGAAACAAAGCATATCTTCCACCCATGGAAAGGATTAGAGGACAAAGAGGGTGGGGAAGTACCTGTGACCTCATGTGTTTGAGTTTCTGTGAGACACAAATAGACTTTGGTGAAAGCAGATGTGGTAGTTTGGAGGCAGGCACAGCTGCCTCACCACCCAGGAGAAATCCAGACCACTCTCATCAGACACTGACCACTGGCAGGGGTTAGCTCAAAGGAGTGGGGGCTTCCCAAGGCAGGAACTGGAAATTTTTCAGAGAAGGAAGAGGCCGGAGCCCCAGCACCAGGTGTGCCTTGCTGCCTCCAGCTGTTTGGTGGCTGTTTTTTCCCCTCCACCAGCCCAGAGCACGTTGTTCCCATGACTCTGCCCAGGAGTCACCCTCTGTCTTCTCCCAATTTTCCAGACCCAGAATCCAGGCTGGGGGATGCACAGGGACAACAACAAGGGCAGTGACAAGGCAGGCACCCTGCAGGCCCCTGGCTCCCCACTGGCCCTGGGAAGACTCCACCGTGGCCGCTCCTCCCCACTCCCAAAGGCCAGGCTATGCTGGCCGGCTGAACCCGCGCAGGGTCACTGAGTTCCAGGAGTGTTTGTAAATACCTCCCGCAGCCAGGGTGCGGCAGAACAGGAAGGCTGCTCCTTCCTCCCATCCTGCCCTGCCTCCAGCTTGGACTGAAAGAGGAAGAGTTTCAATCAACCCTGAGCACATGGACAAGCCTGGCAGGTTAGACTGGACAGGTGAGACACCTGTCCTCCTTCAAAAGCAGCAGAGCAGAGAGTGCCAGGACTCCCAGCCACCTAGATGGCCCTGGGCAGCCGAGCTGTGCAGTTAGAGCTGATGAGAAGGCAGGGCTGTGTCTAGACCAGCGGGAAGCACCTCTTCCATAAGAGAGTCCCTGGGGCCACGCTGGGGAAGAGGAGAAAAGGGGTTCCAGGGAGAGAATCCTCCTGACAGTCACTCCCCCAGAGCCCTTCAGTGTCCCTGATGCCCCTGCTGCAGGGACACTAGCTCAGAAACCATCTCTGGGGACTCCAGGTGGGCTCTTGTGCTAGCCCATGGAGGAGCAGAAAGGGGCTGGAAATGGCTCCTTGACCTTCTGCTCTGCTTCAGACTCTGGGATGTGGTGACAAATGTCCACACAGGGTGATTCACTCACCTGGCTCTAAACAGCCCTCGGGCTTCCCCGTGTCCAGCTGCCTCAGCCTCCTGCCCACTTGGTTGGCCGTGGGCACCTTTCAGTTGTAGGTTTGAGGAGCAAGGGCTTCCTGCCTTGGGGGGTCAGTGAGAAGAAGGGAGGTCAGAGTGCCTGACATCGGGTTCTCTTTCCCTTGCCCCAGTAGCTGTGGCAATGTGGAGGTTGAAACCATGGCCCAGGCACCTTGGTAGCTGTTTTCTCCCCTTTACCAAGGCAAAACACATTGTACTGAGACTCACTGCAGTCCCCGCAGTGCTGCAGTCACAGCTCACCGCAGCCTCAAACTCCTGGGTTCAAGCAATTCTCCTGCCTCAGCCTCCCAAGTAGCTGGAACTACAGGCACACACCACCATGCCTGGCTAATTTTTTAAATTTTATCGTAGAGACAGGGGTCTTGTTATGTTGCCCAGGCTGGTCTTGAATTCCTGAGCTCAAGCAATCCTCTTGCCTCGGCATCCCAAAGCAGTGGCTTGTAGGCACGAGCCACCGTGCCGGCCAGTAGGGCACCTCTGTGTTACCATTTCTAGCTTTCCTGATTGCTTGCAAATAGAAGGCAGTTCAAGGTAAGTAGAAGATCCATAAATGACGTGCAAGCCTTCAGCATGGACAGAAAACCGGACAGAAAATGATCTCAACAGGCAAGTGGCTAACCATTTCCCCTGCAACCGTGTTAAGAGCATGGCTTTGTTGAACAAAACTTATGTTATAGATAATGCAAAGGTATTGTCTTTCCAATTTGTCAGGTCCCCTCAAAGAAGACCCCTGGATCCCACAAATACAATGTAGTAGAAAATGTGCACCCCTTTCCTTCCCTTCCCACTGCACAAATCCTTCCTTTAGGCCTCTCCTAGCCAGATTGCTTCTGTTTCCTAGTTTATTTCTTATGCTTTATTCAGGACTTGCTTTATTCACTTGGTATCATCTCAAAAGCAGGAAATGGGCACCTCATCTTTGTTTCTTGTTTTGGTTTTTTGTTTGTTACTTTGTTTTTAGAGACAGGGTCTCACTCTGTCACCCAAACTGGAGTGCAATGATGCAATCATCACTCACTGTGTTATCGGATAGGAAGTCTTGACTGTGAGTTGTCCAGGTTCTTGACTCATTGAATGAAGAATTGAACAAAACACACAAAGCAACAAAAGGAAAAAGCAATGAAAGCGCAGATTTATTGAAGTGAAAGCGCATGCCACAGAGTGGGAGCAGGCTCTAGCAAGCGGCTCAAGAGCCCCAACTGCAATGTTCTTTAGGGTTTTTATTAAGATAAGAGAATTTGGTAACACCCCAGGTGCCCTTTAGAGGCCTCCATTGGTTACACCCTATGAAGGATTGGCACGCAACCAATCGGAGTCTGAAGTGTTATCAGAGGAGCGAGGATGTGGCCTGGATGTTGCCTAATCTTGCCTAGAACTGGCTGCACCTGTTGTTCTTTTGCTTATGCCTTAACCCTTAGTTACCCTGATTCCCTATTCTCCTACCTTAACTGCAACCTTGACCTCTTAGGTTCAAGCAATCCTCCTGCCTCAACCTCCCAAGTAGCTGGGACTACAGCTGTGTGCCACTATGCCTGGCTAACTTTTAATTTTTTGTAGAGATGGGGTCTCACTGTGTTGCCCAGGCTGGTCTCAAACTCCTGGCCTCAAGCCGACCTCCCACCTGGGCCTCCCAAATCAGTGGCTTGCAGGTATGAGCCACAGTACCAGGCCAGTACTTCACCTTTGTACCACCATTTCTAGTTCTCCTGATTCTTTGTAAATAGAAGGCAGTTCAAGTTAAGTAGAACAGACACAAATAACTTGCAAAGCTTCAGCATCTGTCCGTTCAATCCTTGCCACCTTTAGCCCTACACCCTGTATAATTAGCTTTCTAAAATACAAGGTTTAGGCCAGGCATAGTGGCTCTTGATTGTGATCCTAGCACTTTGGGAGGCTGAGGTGGGAGGATCCCTTAAGCTCAGGGGTTCAAGACCAGCCTGGGTAACATAGTGAGACCCCCCCATCCCTATTTTTAAATTTAAAAATTATTTTTTGGCTGGACATGCCTGTAATCTCAGCATTTTGGGAGGCCGAGGAGGGTGGATAACTTACGGTCAGGAGTTTGAGACCAGCCTGGCCAACATGGCAATACCCTGTCTCTACTAAAAAAATATAAAAATTAGCCTGTGATGGTGGGTGCCTGTAATCCCAGCTACTCAGTAGGCTGAGGCACAAGGATCGCCTGAACCCAGGAGGCAGAGGTTAAAGTGAGCTGAGATTGTGCCACTCCACTACAGCCTGGGCAGCAGCCATCAATATGTATATATACATATATATTTTTTTTTCTGATGCTAAAAATATACCTGTTCATCATAGGTCAGGTGTGGTGGCTCACACCTGTATAGTAACATATTTTTTAAATTTTTTTAGACGGAGTCTCAGTCTGTTGCCCAGGCTGGAGTGCAATGATGCGATCTTGGCTTACTGCAACCTTCACCTCCCATGTTGAAGCAATTCTCCTGCCTCAGCCTCCTGAGTAACTGGGATTACAGGCACGCACCACCATGCCCGGCTAATTTTTGTATTTTTAGTAGAGATGGGGTTTCACCATGTTAGCCAGGCTAGTCTCTCGAACTCCTGACTTCAGGTGGTCCGCCCACCTCAGCCTCCCAAAGTGCTGGGATTACAGGTGTGAGCCACTGCACCCAGCCAGTAACAAGATTTTTAAAAATAAACTTCATTAAAATGTAGCATAGTTATAATAAAGGAAAGAGGATGAAAAGAAAAATGTATTATAGCCATCCTATGCAGAAAAAGTGTACCAAAATGTTTGGTTTGGTGAATTTTCACCACCCAGGTAAAGAAATAGTATCAGCACCTACAGAAATCTGCCTGTGAGTCCTTCCCAGTCCCCCTCCCCTCCAAAAGTTACCCCTGTCCTAATTTCTTTCTTTCTTTTCTTTCTTTCTTTTTTTTTTTTTGAGATGGAGTCTCGCTCTGTCGCCCAGGCTGGAGTGCAGTGGTGTGATCTCAGCTCACTGCAAGCTCTGCCTCCCGGGTTCACACCATTATCCTGCGTCAGCCTCCCGAGTAGCTGGGACTACAGGCACCTGCCACCACGCCCAGCTAATTTTTTGTATTTTTAGTAGAGACGGGGTTTCACCGTGTTAGCCAGGATGGTCTCGATCTCCTGACCTCATGATCTGCCCACCTCGGCCTCCCAAAGTGCTGGCATTACAGGCATTAGCCACTGCGCCCAACCCCCTGTCCTAATTTCTATCTTCATACATTAGTTTTGCTTTTTTTTTTTTTTTTTTTTAAGTGACAGGCTCTCATTTGTCATCCAGGCTGGAGTGCAGAGGCACAATCATAGCTCACTGCAGCCTCAAACTCCTGGGCTCGAGTGATCCTCCCACCTCAGCCTCCCAAGTACTTGGGATTACAGGTGGGAGCCACTTCACCCAGCTTAGTTTTGCCATTTTTGAACATAAGTGAATCAGACATTTATCAGACATTTGGGTCTGGCTTTTTTTTTTTTTTTGAGGCAAAGTCTTGCTCTGTCATCCAGGCTGGAGTGCAGGGGCACAATCTCGGCTCACTGCAACCTCCGCCTCCTGGGTTCAAGCGATTCTCCTGCCTCAGCTTCCTGAGTAGCTGGGATTACAGGCACACACTACCATGCCTGGCTAATTTTTGTATTTTTAGTAGAGATGGGGTTTCACCATGTTGGCCAGGCTGGTCTCAAACTCCTGACCTCAGGTGATCCACCCACCTCGGCCTCCCAAACTGCTGGGATTACAGGCGTGAGCCACCACACCCGGCCAGTCTGACTTCTTTCAATCAGCATTATGTTTATGAGATTCACTAATGCAGTTCCTGTAGCAGTAATTTTTTCATTCATATTGGTTTATAGTATTCCATGGTATGAATATACCACAATTTATTTTCCATTCTAAAGCTGATAGACATTCATGTTATTTGTAGTCTGGGGCCTGCAGTGGACTGAAGGATGGCTCTCCAGAAGATATGTCCATGTCTTAATCCTCAGACATGTGAATGCTACCTTGTTTAGAAATAAGGGTCTCATGGGGCATGGTGGTATGCACCTGTAGTCCCAGCTACTCAGGAGTCTAAGGCTGGAAGATTGCTTGAGCCCAGGAGTTCTGGGCTGTAGGGCACTAGGTTGATTTGGTGTCTGCACTAAGTTCAGCATCAATACGGTGAGCTCCTGGGAGCATGGGACCACCAGGTTGCCTAAGGAGGGATGAACCATCCCAGGTTGGAAACGGAGCAGGTCAAAACTCCTGTGCTGATCAGTAGTGGGATCACACCTGTGAACAGCCACTGCACTCCAGCCTGGGAAACATAGCGAGACCCTATCTCTAAAATAAATAAATTTTATATATATATATATATATATATATATATATATATATATAAAAACAAGAGTCTTCGCCAATGTAATTAAATTAAGGCCCTTGATATGACACGATCATCTCGGATTATCCAGAAGGACCCTCACTCCAGTGACAAGTGTCCTAACAGAACAAGGCAGAGCGAGACTACACAAACAGGAGGAGAAAGACCTGAGAAGGAGGAGGCAGAGATGAGACTGATGCATCCACAAACCAAGGAATGCCCAAGGCCACCAGAAGCCAGAGGACACGAGTGACAACACCTCCCTAGAGCCTCTGGACAGAGTTCAACCCTGCTGACACCTTCATTCTGGACTTTCAACCTCCAGAGCTGACAGTGAGAGAATAAATATCTGTTGCCTTTTTTTTTTTTTTTTTTTTTCAGATGGAGTCTCTCTTTGTCACCCAGGCTGCAGTGCAATGGCACAATCTCAGCTCACTACAATCTCCGTCTCCCAGGTTCAAGCAATTCTCCTGCCTCAGCCTCCCAAGTAGGTGGGATTACAGGTGCCCGCCACCATGCCTAGCTGATTTTTGTATTTTTAGTAGAGACAGGGGTTTCACCATGTTGGCCAGGTTGGTCTTGAACTCCTGACTTCAGGTGATCTTCCTGCCTTGGCCTCCCAAAGTCCTGGGATTACAGGTGTGAGCCACTGCGCCCGGCCATCTGTTGTCTTAAGCCACCAAGTTAGTGGTAATTTGTGACAGCAGCCACAGGAAGCGAATACAGGGGTATGGGGAATGAAATCGCTCTAAATTCTCCTCTGTCTTTCAGTGCATAGACATAAGTGTGCACCCACACCCAAGAATGGAATTGCTGGATCACAGGGTGGGTGTATGTTCAGCACTAAGAGATATTGCTAAACAATTTTCTAAAGAGGTTATAGCAATTTATACTCCCACCAATGTTTGAGATCCAGTTTCTCCACATGGTTGTCAGCCTCAGTGCTATGGTTTGAATATTTGACCCCTCCAAACCTCATGTTGAAATGTGATCCCCAGTGTCAGAGGTGGGACCTAATAGGAGGTGTTTGGGTCATGGGGGCGGATCCCTCAAGACTTCATGACAGCTTGGTGCAGTCTTGGAAGTAGTGAGTAAGTTCTCGTTCTGTAAGTTCCTGTGAGGGCTGATTGCGTTTTTTTTCGTTTCGTTTGTTGTTTGTTTGTTTTTCTTCGAGACGGAGTCTTGCTCTGTCACCCAGGCTGGAGTGCAGTGGCACCATCTCGGCTCACTGCAACCTCCGCCTCCCAGGTTCAAGCAATTCTCCTGCCTCAGCCTCCCAAGTAGCTGGGATTACAGGCTCCTGCCACCATGCACAGCTAATTTTTGTATTTTTAGTAGAGACGGGGTTTCGCCATGTTGGCCAGGCTGGTCTTGAGCTGCTGGCCTCAAGTGACCCACCCGCCTCCGCCTCCCAGAGTGCTGGGATTACAGGCATGAGCCACCGCGTCCAGCCTGGGCTGGTTATTAAAAAAAACAGACTGCTACCTCCCCTCTCTCTCTTGCTTTCTCTCTCACCCTATGGTCTCTGCACACGCAGGCTTCCGTTTGCCTTCTGCCATGAGTGGAAGCAGGTTGAGGCCCCCATCAGAAGTAGATGTTGGTGCCATGCTTCTTGTATGGCCAGAAGAACCAGCAGCCAAATGAACCTCTTTTCTTTATAAATTACCCAGCCTTGGGTATTCCTTATAGTAACACAAGCAGATGAAGACATTTAGTATTGTCTTTTGCATTTCACCCTTCTGGCGGCTGTGCAATAGTTTTAATTTTTATTTCCCTGGTGACTAATGAGGCTGTATGCTTTTTCTTAAGCTTTTTCACCATTTGGATATGGTTTTCTCGTGATGGGCCTACTCATATCTTTGGCCCATTTTTCTTCTGTCTTTGTATTGATTTGTAGATGTCATTACAAAGATAGAGATATCAAGTCTATAATGTAATGCAAGTATCCTCTCCCACTCTGTGGCATGCCTTTTCACTCTCTTAGTGGTGTTTCTTGATGAAAAGCAGTCTTAATTTTAATGACACCCAAATGATCAATCTTTTCTTTTATGGTTAGTGCTTTAAGTCCTTTCTAAGAAATCATTGCTGTCTCAAAGTCATGAATATATTCTCCTTTATTGTCTTATAAAAGCATTTTGGTTTGCCTTCCACCTTTATATTAGCAATCCACCTAATTTTTTGTATTATTCAAAGTTAATTTTTTTGAGACAGGGTCTTGCTCTGTCACCCAGGCTGCATGATCATGGCTCACAGCAGCCTCAACCTCCCAGGCTCAAGTGAGCCTCCTACCTCCGCCTCCCAAGTGTTAGTAGCTGGGACTATAGGCATGAGCCACAATGCTTGGCTAATTTTTGTAGTTTTTGTAGGTGTAGGGTTTCTCCACATTGCCCAGGTTAGTCTCAAACTCTTGAGCTCCAGTTATCCACCTGCCTCGGCCTCCCAAAGTTCTGGGATTACAGTGTGAGCCACTGTGCCTGGCCAAAAGTTAATTTAATTTTATTTTTTTTGAGATGGAGTCTTGCTCTGTCACCCAGGTTAGAGTGCAGTGGCTCCATCTCGCCTCACTGCAACCTCTGCCTCCTGGGTTCAAGCAATTCTCCTGTCTCAGCCTCCCGAGTAGCTGGGATTACAGGCATGAGCCACCACGCCTGGCTAATTTTTGTATTTTTAGTAGAGATGGGGTTTCGCCATGTTGGCCAGGCTGGTCTCGAACTCCTGACCTCAGGTGATCCACCCCCCTCGGCTTCCCAAAGTGCTGGGATTACAGGCGTGAGCTACTGCGCCCAACCCAAAAATTAATTTTTTAAAAAACATAAAATTATGAACTTTCATACAGACATAAAAATAAACATGTTAAAATTTTATTACACTTATTATTAAGAAAAACTAGTAAGGTGTTACAACCAGTTCAAAGGTGAATCCAAAGAATAGACGCATTTAGAGACCAGAAATATTGAAATGAATATGCAAATGGAGGCAAAGCTTGTTTTTCTGGAGGAGGGGGCAGGGAGTGTCCCTCCACTAGACAATTTGCTTTTATGAATTTTGCATTGCTTTCAATTGTCTACCAGACACAGAGCTGTAAAATAGCTATCATAGAATCAAAATCAGATAATCCAGAGAATGTACTATAGATAATGCAATTTTCCACTGAAGCACAAAATTTTCCCTACCATATAGTATCTGTTGGGATCAAGATTCATTTTTCCCCATATGAATACTGAAGGAACCCAAAAGATTTCACTCCGAAATATACTTTGACATTTAAAAAAAATTTTTTGAGACAGGGTTTCACTCTGTCACCCAGGCTGGAGTGTAGTGGCACCATCACTCACTGCAACCTCCGCCTCCCAGGTTCAAGTGATTCTCCCGCCTCAACCTCCTGAGTAGTTGGGAGTACAGGCGTGCACCACCACACCTGGCTAATTATCATTATCATTTTTTTTTTTTTTTGAGATGGAGTCTCGCTTTTTTTGTCGTTGCCCATGCTGGAGTGCAGTGGCACAATCTTGGCTCACTGCAACCTCCGCCTCCTGGGTTCAAGCGATTCTCCTGCCTCAGCCTCCCAAGTAGCTGGGATTACAGGCATGAGCCACCACACCTGGCTAATTTTTGTATTTTTAGTAGAGATGGGGTTTCACCATATTGGCCAGGCTGGTCTTGAATACCTGACCTCAGGTGATCCGCCAATCTCGGCCACCCAAAGTGCTGGGATTACAGGCATGAGCCACTGCGCCAGGCCTAATTTTTGTATTTTTAGTAGAGACAGAGTGTCACCATGGTGGCCAGGCTAGTCTCGAACTCCTGGCCTCAAGTGATCCACCTGCCTTGGTCTCCCCAACTGTTGGGATTACAGGCATAAGCCACCGGGCCCGCCTTAAATTTTTTCTGAGACAGCATCTCTCTCTGTCCCCCAGGCTGGAGGGCAGAGATGCGATCACAGCTCACTATGGGCTCCAGCAATCTTCCCACCTCAGCCTCCCAAAATATTGGAGTTACAAGCATGAGCTACCACATCCGGCCTAGTCTGACATATTTTGAGATGGTTGTTCAGAGGACCTGTGGACAGAAGGAGTCCTACCAAGCTGTCTTTTTCTTTTTTTTTTTGAGATGGAATTTCACTCTGTTGCCCGGGCTGGAGTGCAGGGACACCATCTAGGCTCACTGCAACCTCCCCCTCCTAGATTCAAGCAATTCTCCCTGCCTCAGCATCCTGACTGGCTGAGATTATGGTGCCCTCCGCCACACCTGGCTAATTTTTGTATTTTTAGTAGAGATGAAGTTTCACCATGTTGGTCAGGTTGGTCTTGAACTCTTTTTTTTTTTTTTTTTTTGAGACAGTTTCACTCTTGTTGCCTAGGCTGGAGTGCAATGGCGCAATCTCGGTTCACCGCAACCTCCACCTCCTGGGTTTTCAAGCAATTTTCCTGCCTCAGCCTCCCGAGTAGCTGGGATTACAGGCATGTGCTACCACACCCAGCTAATTTTGTATTTTTAGTAGAGACAGAGTTTCTCCATGTTGGTCAGGCTGGTCTCGAACTCCCGACCTCAGGTGATCTGCCTGCCTCAGCCTCCCAAAGTGCTGGGATTACAGGCGTGAGCCACCGCGCCCGGCCTTGGTCTCGAACTCTTAACCTCAAGTGATCTGCCTGCCTAGACCTCCCAAAGTACTGGGATTACAGGGATGAGCCACCGCGCCCAACCCCAAGCTGTCTTTTGTCGGGGAGATTTGCATCTGTTGAGAATCTGCGTGATGCAGCCAGGCTTTCTCTGAGATCCTCCCTTGCCTGGATCCAGGAAAGATGAACTGAGAGTCTGACACCATTAAAGGTCTGAAAGAAACATTTACCACCTATTCTCTCTGAAGGCTCCAACCTGTGAGATCCCCTCCATATAACAAGACACCTTTGCTAGCCAGTCCTCTCTTCTCTCCCTCCCATAAACTATTTTGCCATGAATCCAAGCCCCTATTCTTTCTGTAACTTCAAGATAGTATAAAAGCATCAATGACATTTTTCTTTGAGATCTTATATTTTGATAAGATTCCTGTTCACGTTAAAAACATTTGTGGGCCATTTCTCTTCCTAATCTGCCTTTTGTGAGTTGGTTTTTCAGCGGGTAGAGGGAAAGTTTTTCCTCAGCTCCTACAATATCCCATAGACCCAGTGCCATTTATTGAATGACCCAGCTTTCCCCTATGGGCCCGTCAATATCATGTTTCTGAACTCTATTCTGTTCCCTGGTCTATTTCATTATTACTGAACCAATACCATACTGTCTTAATTACCACAGTTTCATGACACATCTTAATATCTAGTAGTGTAAAGTCTTCAGCTTTGTACTTCCTCTGTCAAGATTTACCAGCTATTCTTAGACCTCTGCATTTCTTTTTTTCATTTTTTTCTTTTTTCTTTCTTTCTTTTTTTTTTTTTTCTTTTCGAGACAGGGTCTCATTCTGTCACCCAGTCCAGGGTAAAGTGGCACAATCTCGGCTCACTGCAACCTCATCCTCCGGGACTCAAGCAATCCCCCTGTTTCAGCCTCCCGAGTAGCTGGGACTACAGGTGAGTGCCACCGCGCCCAGCTAATCTTTTGTATTTTTGGTAGAGACAGAGTTTCACCACGTTACCCAGGCTGGTCTCAAACTTCTGCATTCAAGTGATCCAGCCACCTCAGACTCCCAAAGTTCTGGGATTGCAGGCATGAGCCACTGCGCCCCACCTGGAGTTTTGCATTTTCATATGCATTTTAGAATCAACTAGCTAGCCACAGTGGCTCATGCCGGTAATCTTAGCATTTTGGGAGGCTGAGGCAAGAGGATCAGTTGAGCTCAGGAGTTTGAGATCAGTCTGGGCAACACAACGAGATCCCATCTCTACAAAAAAATTTTAAAAATTAGCCAGGCATGGTGGCACATGCCTGTGGTCCCAGGTACTCGGGAGGAGGATCGCTTGAACTCAAGATTTGGAGGCTGCAGTGAGCTATGATTATGCTACTGCATTCCAGCCTGGGGGACAGAGCAAGCCCTATCTCTAAATAAATAATAATAATAAATAAAGTTTCAGTCTTATGAGTTTAGAGCTTTAGCAGCTCTGCTTCTAAAGCATCAAGGGAAAGTTCATGAGTCCATAATGACAAGATGGTTAAAACATCCCACTCCACCCCACCGGAAAACTTGGTGGTAACAGCAGCAACCCTAGAAAAATGCCCAGGGGAGACATCGGGAATCCCAGGGGCCCAAAGTCATGGCTATCTGATTCTGCTGCCTTTTCCCATAAGGAGTTCATCTCTCTCCCACCAGTCTTGGAGGCTTCTAGATATTATAGTCCCTGAGGGATGTAGTAATTTTCTTACATCAGCACAAGGTTCAGCAAATATCAAAACATCTAACCTTTTAGAGCTGTGTTTTTCTATTTATTTGTACCCTGTCCTGTTTCAAAAAAGATTTAAGGTTGTTTACAACACCACATAAATGAAGTTAAACAACATAAATTAGAACACCATGAGAAAGGTGAGGCCAAGGGAACACAAGGGTAGGGACACAGAGGTATGCTAAGAGTGAACACCAGCGTGCAGTGAGGTTCCACGGGCTTTGGAGTGCAGGGCTTTTTAAAACTTGCTGAAGCTGCCAAACCAGTGTTGTGTTCTCACATCCCAGAATCCTAGCATTGTTGGGGGCAAAGCCCAGTGAAACAATCAAATACTGATCCCCAGGGTAGAAGGAGACCTCCTCCCTAATCCCACGCTCTAACCCACACAGAAAGCACCACAGTTCTGGAACCTGTGTAGTTCACTGGATAAAAATATGAAATTTAAAAATGCATGTAAGGAGAGGTTTTTCAAGTGTTTTGTCTGTTTTGCTGTGGAGCCCCAGAAATCTGAGAGCAATTCCAGCTTCCTAAGGAAAGGAGGTAATCCTAGGGTCAGGAGGAGCTCATAAAGCTGTTGAAGCTACCCTGAGCTGAGGAGTGGGTGAGTCAGCCCAGCCCATGGAGGGGTGTGTGAGGATGCCTTCGAACTTCCTCACCCCTCTCAGAAAGGCTGCACCTGAGCCGCATTCCAGAGACGTTTGGGATACCAACACACGTGGGAAACACACATGAAAACAGATCTCAGCCCTCCCTCCTCCCTGGGGCCAGCAGAGGAGCTCTAAGGAGCTTAAAGAGGAAGAAGACTCCCACCTTCCATACCTTCCTCTGCCCTGGCAGATGGAAGGGAGAGTTACCCGGGTGCAGGGGCTGACCTCTCAAGTTAAAAGCTCAGGTTTCTTGTTCTTGGTGCCCAGGTTTGCTAAACAGCACCATCTGCTGCCTCAGAAGTCATGCAACTGGAAAGTAGCAATGCACATGTGAACCTTCCAGGTTCCCGATTAGGGTGCGCCCGTGAGACTCTCCTGAAAGGCAGAGGGCAGGATACACCTGCAGGCCAGCTTTGTGCTCCCTCCTCCCGCCCTTCCAATTAAACTCACTTTTTTTTTCTTTTTCTTTCTTTTCTTTTCTTTCTTTCTTTCTTTCCTTTTTTTTTTTTTTTTTTTTTGAGACAAGTCTCACTCTGCTGCCCAGGCTGGAGTGCAGTGGCACAATCTCAGCTCACTGCAACCTCCGCCTCCTGGGTTCAAAGCAATTCGCCTGCCTCAGCCTCCCGAGTAGCTGGGATTACAGGCGCATCCCACCATGCCCAGCTAATTTTTGTATATTTAGTAGAGACAGTGTTTCACTATGTTGGCCAGGCTGGTCTCAAACTCCTGACCTCAGCCTCCCAAAGTTCTGGAATTACAGGCATGAGCCACTGTGCCCGGCCCTTCAATTAAACTTACCCATTTTCTATAGCTTTACACTAATTCCAGCACTGGCACCATCAGTGATCCCACCATCATTAACTTACCATTGACAAAACAGGCCCTAGACCAAAGTCTGTCATTGAGCTTCTGCACTTTCTAGAAGGTAGGGATGGGTAACTGCCCAGGGTCTGGTAGGGTAGACCCTAAACATTCTCATGGAGGATATGATGGCCAGTAACTAAAAATTATGGTGAAGGCCAGGCACAGTGGCTCACGCCTGTAATCCCAGCACTTTGAGAGACCAAGGCAAGAGGATCACTTGAGGCCAGGAGTTCGAGACCAGCCTAGGCAACATAACAAGACCTCACCTCTAAAAAAAATTTAAAAATTAGCTTGGCCTGGGCTCACCCCAGGAGGTCGAGGATGCAGTAAGCCATGAACGTGCCACTGCACTCCAGCCTGGGTGGCAGAGTGAGATTTTGTCTTAGCATTTAAGTGTCTTACATTTAAGTTCAGTAGTGTTACGTACACTGACGTTGTGTAACCAATCTCCAGAGCTCTTTTCCTCTTAGCCCCAGTAACATTTCTAGGCCATTCTCCCCCTCCTCCCATTCCAACCTCTATTTCTGCTGCAATCCACAGAGTTCTTCTTGGTCACCATATATCTTTCATTGATACCATGAATCTTTGTGAAGCTCACAAAACATGCTCCTGTTCACTTAGTCATTTCTCACTGCTCACAGACTGACTTTAAGTACTGGCTGAATTTTTTTTTTTTTTTTTTGAGACGGAGTCTTGCTCTGTCGCCCAAGCTGGAGAGCAGTGGGGTTCAAGCAATTCTCATGTCTCAGCCTCCCGAGTATCTGGGTTTACAGGGGCACACTGCCACGCCTGGCTAATTTTTGTATTTTTAGTAGAGACAGTGTTTCACCATGTTGGCCAGACTGATCTCAAGCTCCTGGACTCAAGTGATCCATCCCTTTTGGCCTCCCAAAGTGCTGGGATTACAGGCGTGAACCACCTCACCCAGCCTGATTTTGTTTCTTTCTCTCCCTGACCCCCTTAGAGCAGTTATTATTTCCTTCTCCTGGCACCTCCTGACAAAGGGAAGGCAGGAAAAGGGGAAAGAGTTGAGGTCTGTTTTTCTGCTGCTGCAGCTCTGTGAGAGACCTCCCGGGAAGGTACTGAAGGTGTCATCCAGGCTACCTGGGTCTTGGGAACACTTAGGCGGCACTGGAAGGGCATCTCTGCATCCAAGAGCCCCTGAGATTGTAGGCAAGTGTTGTGTGCATGTGAGAATATATATCTTTCTAGACAGACAGTTGCTACCTTTCATCAGATTCTAAAAGGTTCTCTGACCCAGAAAACGTTAAGAGCCACTGATATCCACCATTGGAGACTGGCATCAGGACTTCCATGTATCTAGCTCCTTCCTTGAACAATCAAGGGCTGTGAACCACACGATGCCCAGTGGTACCCCCTGCTTCGTATGTGCCCATGGTTGTGGAGGGAGAGAGTGAGGACATTAGAAAGTACAGGGGCATCACAAAAGGGAAATTTAAGCAAAGAGCTAGGAAGAAAGATTGAGTGGGATCGTGAGATAAGGATTCTCATCTGCAGACATTCTTGGGGAGCCAGATAAATGAAGAGGCTACACAGCAAACCTTTCATGACCCACAGTGGCTGTCGTGGCTTCTTGAGTTCCCTCCTGGGGACTTTAGTGATGAATGAAACTTCTAGAAATTCTGGAAGATTTCTGCTAATAATAACTCTTACTGAGCACTTATCATGTACCAAGATCTTTTTTTTTGTTGTTGTTGTTTTTGAGATGGAGTCTCGCTGTCACCCAGCCTGGAGTGCAATGGTGCAATCTCAGCTCACTACAACCTCCACCTCCTGGGTTCAAGCAATTCTCCTGCCTCAGCCTCCCAAGTAGCTGGGATTACAGGCACGCACCACCATGCCCAACTAATTTTTGTATTTTTAGTAGAGACAGGGTTTCACTATGTTGGCCAGGCTGGTCTCAAACCCCTAACCTCAAGTGATCCACCAGCCCCGGCCTCCCAAAGTGCTGGGATTACAGGCGTGAGCCACTGTGCCCAGCTGTGCCAAGCTCTTTACATAAATGATCTTATTCATCATCACCACAACCCATAAAATTAGGGATTTTTTTTTTTTTTTGAAACGGAATCTCACTCTGTCACCCAGGCTAGAGTGCAGTGGCACCATCTCTGCTCACTGCAGCCTCTGCCTCCCGGGTTCAAGCGATTCTCCTGCCTCAGCCTGCCAAGTAGCTGGGATTACAGGCGCCCACCACCACGCCCAGCTAATTTTTGTATTTTTAGTAGAGACGGGGTTTTACCATGTTGGTCAGGCTGGTCTCAACTCCTGACCTCAGGTGATCTGCCCACCTCGGCCTCCCAAAGAGCTGAGATTACAGGCGTGAGCCACCAAGCCCGGCCTTAAAGTAGGGATTTTTACCCCCATCTTACAGAAGAGAAAACCGAGCCTTAGTGAGAATAGAGAACTTGCCCAAGGCTCCACAGATCAATGCAGAACACAGATGTGAACTCAGGTCTGTTTCAGGCCAAAGCACAGTCTCCTAACCACTAGACTATCCTTTTTAATTGTAGTAAAATGGAGAAATGCTAATTTTTCTTAAGCACAGAACATACTCCCACTGACCAAGGAAATCCACTTTCGTTGGAGGAATACTAACTAAGCCACTCAGCTGTGTATCCGGGGAAGTGACACCCCCAGAGGTCGTGCTCTCCAAACTGCCTTCTAAAGGCAGGATTATATTGAAGGGACGGTATAAGCTTGGGGTCTGAGCTGATCTGTTCAAGGCCATTAAGAGATGTGAGAGATTCTAACAGAAACAAGCAAGAGGAAGAGGAGGAAAACAAGGCCACTGGTAGATCAGGGGAGTCTAGTGGGGATTTATTAAATTTCCCATATGGGGTAATCCACTTCTCCATGTTCCCGTGACAGCTTCAGTGCTGTGGTGTGGGACCAGTTTTGCAGGAACTCTGGGATGTGCTGAGTGTGTCTCAAAGAAGGGATAGCCCAGGCAGCAGTGGGAGGCCCGCCCCCACTCAGAACTCGGTATTTATTGTTCTGAGTGCCAGGCCCTGGTTTCTTCTAGAAGTGTTATAATTTTATGTTTTACATTTAGGTCTATGATCAGTTTTTAATTAAATTTTATATATGGTGCAAGGTATGAATTAAAGCTCTTTTCTTTCTCTCTTCCTTTCTGAATTTCTTTCTTTTTTTGCGTGTGTTTATCCAATTTTTACAGCACTATTCATTGCATTGCCTTTGTATCTTTGTCAAAAATCAGTTGTCCATATGTAGATGTGTTTATTTCTGGACACTCTATTCTGTTCCACTGATCTGTTTGTCTATGTTTATACCACACTATCTTGATTACTATTGCTTTATAAGACTTGAAATTAGATAATGTTAGTATTCTGACTTTGTTCTTTTTCAAGATAGTTTTGGCTATTCTAGGTCTTTTGCTTTTCCATATGAATTCTAGAATCAGCTGTCAATATCTACAAAAAATACCTGGTGGTATAATGCTTGATTTGAAAACCTGAATTTGTTCCAACACTATTAATATGTTAGGAAACAGTTTGAGCATAACTTATATGTGATTTCTTCTGCAAGAAAGTGAATACAGACAACTGGCACCTAGTTAAACAGAGCCATGTAGGAATATACAACACAAAAACAACTCCCCTCCATATCTACCAGCTACTTCAGTTCATGTCATCTGATATAAGCCACACTGCTATGGACTGAATTGTGTCTCAGAAGTGGAATTGCTAGATCATATATATTTTTTTCATAATAGACATTTACAGCTATAAATTTCCTTCTAAGCACTGCTTTTACTTTCTCTCATAAGTTTTGGTATGTTATATTTTCATATTTGTTCATCTCAAAGTATTTTCCAATTTCTCTTGTGATTTCTTCCTTGACCCATTGGTTATTTAGGAGTATGCTGTTTAATTTCCATGTATTTATTAATCTCCCAACTTTCCTTCTGTTATTGATTTCTAATTTCATTCCATTGTGGTTGGAGAATATACTTTATATGATTTCATTCTTTTTAAATTTATTGAGGCTTGTTTTATGGCCTATACTGGAGAATGTTCACATGCACTTCTGTTGTTGGGTGGAGTGGTTTATAGACGTGTTTTAGGTCTAGGTTGTGTATAATGTTGTTCAAGTCTTCTATTTTCTTGTTAACTTCCTGTTTTGTTCTACCCATTATTGAAACTGGACTATCAAAAGTCTCCAACTATTATTGCTGAACTATTTGTTCTTCTTTTCAACCCCGACAGTTTTGCTTCATGTAATTTAGGGCTTTGTTGTTAGGTGCATATATGTTTATAATTGTTAAATATTTTGGATGTATTCCCTCTTATCTTTTTTAAATTACCATTATTTATATCTAGTATTGATTTTTTGTCTTGAAGTCTATTATGTCTGGTATTATGTCCATTTTGGTTTAAGTATTTGCATGTATACTTTTTTCCATTCTTTTAATTTCAGCCTATTTGTGTCTTTGAAACTAAACTGTGCCTCTTGTAGACAGGATATACATGGATCATAGTTTTAAATCTACTCTGCAAATCTCTGCTTTTTCAATGGAGTTTTTAATCCATTTACATTTAATGTAATTGCGAATATTTTTTTTTTCTGAGATGGAGTTTCACTCTTTCACCCAGGCTGGAATGTAGTGTCACAATCTCAGCTCACTGCAACCTCCACCCACCCCTTCCCCACTGGGTTCAAGTGATTCTCTTGCCTCAGCATCCTGAGTAGCTGGGATTATAGGCACCCACCACCATGCCCGGCTAATTTTTGTATTTTCAGTAGAGACAAGGTTTTGCCATGTTGGCCAGGCTGGTCTGAAACTCCTGACCTCAAGTGATCTGCCCACCTCAGCCTCCCAAAGTGTTAGGATTACAGATGTGTGTTGCTGCGCCCGGCCAATAAGTTAAGATTTACATGTGCTATTTTGTTATTTGTTTTCTATATATCTTCTTTGTTCCTCTATTCCTCTATTACTGCTTCCTTTGTGGTTTCTTTTTTTGTATTTTTGGGTTTTTTTGAGGTGGAGTTTTGCTGTTGTTGCCCAGGCTGGAGTACAATGGTGCGATCTCAACTCACTGCAACCTCTGCCTTCTGAGCTCAAGCAATTCTCCTGCCTCAGCCTCCCAAGTAGCTGGGACTACAGGCACCCACCACCATGCCTGGCTAATTTTTTTTTTGTATTTTTAGTAGAGACAGGGTTCACCATGTTGGCCAGGCTGGTCTCGAACTCCTGACCTCAGGTGATCCGCCTGCCTCGGCCTCCCAAAGTGCTGGGATTACAGGTGTGAGCCACCATGCCTGGCCCCTTTGTGTTAAATAGACATTTTCTAGTGTGCCATTTTCATTCTCTTGTCATTTTTATTTATTTTATTTTATTTATTTTTTGAGACAGGATCTCACTTTCTCTCCCAGGCTGGAGTGCAGTGGCATGATCATAGCTCACTGCAATCCTGACCTTCTGGGCTCAAGCAATCCTGCTGCCTCAGCCTCCTGAGTAGCTGGGATTACAGGCATGCACCACCAAACTCAGCTAATTTTTTTCATATTTATTTTGTAAGGTCAAGGTCTCACTATGTTGTCCAGGATGGTCTCGAATTCCTGGGCTCAAGTGATTCTCTCATCTTAACCTCCCAAAGTGCTGGGATTACAGAAGTGAGTGAATGAGCCACTGTGTCCAGCCCCTTGTCATTTATTTTACTGTATTTTGAAAATTACTTTCTTATTGGTTGCCCTGGGGATTACAATTACATCTTGATTTATAAAAATCTAGTTCAAATTAATATCATCTACTATGGACTTAATTGGGTCCTCACCCCACTTCCAAATTCATATGTTGAAGTTCTAATCCCCAGATTAAGAGGTGATTAAGGTTAAATGAGGTCATAAGAATGGCCTTATCTCTCCCACTCTCTTTCTTTCTCTCTCTCTCTCTCTCCCATATGAGAACACAGTGAGAGGGCAACCATCTGCAAGCCAGAGGAGAGCTCTTACCAGAATCCAATCATGCTGCCCCTCTCTCTGATTTCAGACTTTCACCATCCAGAACTGTGACAAAATAAACTTCTGTTTAAGCCATCTCTTCTATGGCATTTTGTTCTGGCAGGCCAAGATGACTAATACATCATTTTAATTTCAGTTGTATGGAAAAACATTAGTCCTATAGTAAACCTATAGTAAAGCTGCCTATGGCTCCATTCCTTTCCCCAACTTTTGTGCTGTTATCATAAAAATTACATTTTTATATACTGTGTATAAATCAATGCTGATTTATAAGTATTGTTCTATGAAGTTGCTTTGTAAATAAAAACAAGCAATGTCATTTTCCAGCTTTCCTCTTAAGTTTTTTGGTAAGCTTATCATTTGCCCAACTGTTATCCACTGCCTCAGACAGCTGCAAAGTTGAAACGTTATCTCTAGAAGGTAGGAAGAAAAGAGAATTATGAACAAAAATATATTTATAATGTCTTTTTTATTTACCTGTGTTGTTGCCTTTACCAGTGATCTTTATGTGGATTCCAGTTACTGCCTAGAGTCCTTTCATTTCAGCCCAAAGGACTTCCTTTATTATGTAGAACAAACACACTTGCTAAGGGCAAATACTCTGTTTTTGTTTATCTGGGAATGTCTTAATTTCTTCTTAATTTTTGAAAGATAGTTTTGTTTGGCTTACTGCAACCTCTGCCTCCTGGGTTCAAGCAATCCTCCTGCCTCAGCCTCCCGAGTAGCTGGGACCACAGATGTGCACCACCACGCCTGGCTAATTTTTGTATTTTCAGCAGAGATGGGGTTTCACATGTTGGCCAGGCTGGTCTTGAACTCCTGGCCTCAAGTGATCCATCTACCTTGGCCTCCCAAAGTGCTGGGATTACAAGTGTGAGCCACCATGCCCAGCCTCTTTCAATGTATTTTAAATAGCTGATTTGTCTAGTAAGTGCAATATCTGAGTATCCTTAGGGACAGTTTCTATTAGTTGAGTTTCTTTCTGTTTATGGACCATTCTTTTTTGTTTCTTTGTACTTCTCATAATTTTTATTATAAGAGGACATTTGAAGTAATACAATGTGGCCACTCTAGAAATCAGATTCTCTCATGCTTGTTGTCATTACTGCCGCTTGCTATTTTTTAGTGACTTTTCTCAACTAATTTATAAAGTCTGTATTCTTCATCATATATGGCTACTAATGTCTCTACTTGGTTAGTTTAGTGGTCAGCTAATGACTGACTAGAGATTTTCTAAAATGCTTGGAACCAAAATGTGTCCCAGTCTTTGCCAAGGGGCTCTGTGTGCATGTGGGGGCCTGCCTTCATCATTCAGGTGAGCAGCTGACAACTCTGCCTTATCCTTTACCTCATCTTGCACAGAGCCTCAAGGTCAGCCAGAGGGGAGAGATTAGTGCTGTTTTAGGTCTTTCCTGGGTATGTGCATAACCCTGTACATGCATGTGGCCCTGTAGGTTCTCAGGAATATTTTTGAGCTTTTCGAAACCCCTGTCAGTATCTCATTCCCCAGTCTTCTTGCTAAGTTTTTTGGTTAGCTTATCATTTGCCCAACTGTTATCCACTGCCTTAGACAGCTGCAAAGTTAAACCATTATCTCTCAGTGTTGCTGATGAATGTCCCGGGGAAAAGGCCTTAGCACCAAGTTAGCTCTTGTCAAACAGCCTTATGAGTGGGGTCTTCCAGGGAACCACCACACAGATCAAATAATGACAATTCTCTGGGAATGAGGCTTGAAAGAGTTTTGCCCCATTCGGCCCTATTTTGCCCCCTCTAGTGGCTGCCAGGCTACTGGTTTTCACCACGTTTGTACGTTGTTGGTTTTTTGGGGGTCGGGGTGGGTTTTTTGTGTTTTTTGAGACAACGTCTCACTCTTTTGCCCAGGTTGGAGTGCAGTGGCGTAATCTTGGCTCACTGCAACCTCCTCCTGCCATGTTCAAGTGATTCTCTAGTCTCACCCTCCCTAGTAGCTGAGATTATAGGCGCCCAGCTAATTTTAGTATTTTTACTAGAAATGGGGTTTCACCATGTTGGCCAGGCTGGTCTCAAACTCCTGACCTCAAGCGATCCACCTGCCTGGGCCTCCCAAAGTGCTGGGATTACAGACGTGAGCCACCGCGCCTGGCCGGCATGCTGTTGGTTTTAAGGCTACTGCATAACTGGAGAGAAGGGGATGGGACTAGAGCAAGTTAAACCAGCACAAAAAATACCCTTCAGCTGTTTGTCTTGAATAAACACTCCCCAGGTTGCTGAAAGCCATTGGTTAATTTCTGGAGTTCTGAAAATGTTGTTTCTGACAATTTACCAGTCTCTCACTGATTTTGCAAAGGAGAAATTTTTCAGTGGTCCTTACTCTACCTTTGTGGATGATATCACTTCCTCTCCCCATATCTTTACTTTCCTTCATACCCAGGCCAAATCCCATGTCCAGAACAGCAGTTGCTGCCTGCAGATTCTCATCTCTCTCTGGCCTGTCTCCTCAGTCATACTTTCCTGTAGAATCTCAGTCCTAATTACACCTCACTTCTCTCTTACTCTGAGTCTGCATATAAGTAGCTGAACTTTGCTGGAGAAAACCATGAACCTGACTCAAATAGACACTCAGCACAGGTGAGCAATCTTGTTAATCCTCTTCCCCCACTCTTAGTTAATCCTCTTCCCCACCCTTCAGGAGAAGCAGAGCAATGAGTCTTGGGTCCTGATGTTTCCATTTCTAGCCAGCATCACAGACTGCCTCTTCACTTCCTGCCCCTTGGATGCTAATGAGATTGACTCATCTTTATTGTTTGTTGTGTCTTTCTCCACATGCTTGTGAATTCTTTCAGTTTGCATTATTTGATTAATGATGAATAATTTCAGGTATTCGTGTTTTTTTTTTAGGAAATTGCTCACCTATGTCCTAAGCCCACTTTTCCATCAGGATCTTCTTCTTTATGTCATATATATATTGCAAATCTACTAGTTTTTGGTCCATTTGTGTTTTGTTTTGTTTTGTTTTGTTTACTTAGGAGCCAAATAGGAAATAATTGTCTAAAAGCAACAGTGAAATGAAGCAAATGAATCTGTGAATTAAATTGGTGACATGACCACACACAGGAACTATTCCAAATATCTTTAAAATGAGTAATTTAGCTATACATCCTTAGAGGGATATATTCTTTTATTTTTCTTTTTGAGACAAGGTCTTTCTCTGTCACCCAGGCTGGAGTGCAGTGGTGCAATCACGGCTGACTGCAGCCTCTGCCTCCCAAGTTCAAGTGAACCTCCCACCTCAGCCTGCCTCCCGCTGCCACACACCTGGTCTTGTCTGTCTCGTCTCGTCTCATCTCGCCTTATCTCGTCTTGTCTTTTCTTTCTTTTTTTCCCTCTCTTCCTTCCTTTCCTTCCTTCCTCCCTCCCTTCCTCCCTTCCTTCCTTCCTTCTTCCCCCCTCTCTCCCTCTCCCTCCCTCTTTCTTTCTTTCTTTTGAAATGGGGACGGGGTTTTGCTCTGTTGCCCACGCTCATCTCAAGTTTCTGGGCTCAAGCGATCCACCTGCCTCGGCCTCCCAGAGTGCTGGGATTACAGGCATCAGCCACCGTGCCCTGCTCCCCAGGAGGATATATTCTAAGGACACCAAGGCTGAAAAAAGTTTTTAGGCCAGACACTGTGGCGCACACCTGTAGTCCTAGCACTTTGGGAGACTGAGGTGAGAGGATCCCTTCAGTTTAGGACTTCGAGACTAGCCTGCACAAAATAGTGAGATCTCAGCTCTGGAAAAAAATTTTTTAAAGAAAATTAGTGGGACGTAGTGGCACATACCTGTAGTCCCAGCTACTTGGGACGCTGAGGCGGGAGGACTGCTTAAGCCCAGGAGGCTGAGGCTACAGTAAGCCATGATTGTGCCACTGCACCTCAACCTGGGCAGCAGAGCCAGACCTTGTCTTAAAAAACAAAATTTTTTTTAAATCATTTCCAGTAATCGTATCAGTATTGGTATTATTTTTCAGAGGCTATCGTATGGGTAATGTCAGTTAAAGCAAATAAGCGACTACACTTGTGTGGTCGAAACTAGGATTTTTGGTATGAAAGAAAGGAGATTGGCTCCCTCTCCCTCTCCCTCTCCCCCTCCCCCTCCCTCCCCCTCTCCCTCTCCCTCTCCCTCTCCCCACGGTCTCCCTCTCCCTCTCTCCCCACGGTCTCCCTCTCCCTCTCTTTCCACGGTCTCCCTCTGATGCCGAGCCGAAGCTGGACTGTACTGCTGCCATCTCGGCTCACTGCAACCTCCCTGCCTGATTCTCCCTCAGCCTGCCGAGTGCCTGCGATTGCAGGCGCGCGCCGCCACGCCTGACTGGTTTTCGTATTTTTTTGGTGGAGACGGGGTTTCGCTGTGTTGGCCGGGCCGGTCTCCAGCTCCTAACCGCGAGTGATCCGCCAGCCTCGGCCTCCCGAGGTGCCGGGATTGCAGATGGAGTCTCGTTCACTCAGAGCTCAATGGTGCCCAGGCTGGAGTGCAGTGGCGTGATCTCGGCTCGCTACAACCTCCACCTCCCAGCCGCCTGCCTTGGCCTCCCAAAGTGCCGAGATTGCAGCCTCTGCCCGGCCGCCACCCCGTCTGGGAAGTGAGGAGCGTCTCTGCCTGGCCGCCCATCGTCTGGGATGTGAGGAGCCCCTCTGCCTGGCTGCCCAGTCTGGAAAGTGAGGAGCGTCTCTGCCCGGCCGCCATCCCATCTAGGAAGTGAGGAGCGCCTCTTCCCGGCCGCCATCCCATCTAGGAAGTGAGGAGCGTCTCTGCCCGGCCGCCCATCGTCTGAGATGTGGGGAGCACCTCTGCCCCGCCGCCCCGTCTGGGATGTGAGGAGCACCTCTGCCTGGCCGCGACCCCGTCTGGGAGGTGAGGAGCGTCTCTGCCCCGCCGCCCCGTCTGAGAAGTGAGGAGACCCTCCGCCCGGCAGCCGCCCCGTCTGAGAAGTGAGGAGCCCGTCCGCCCGGCAGCCGCCCCATCTGAGAAGTGAGGAGCCCCTCCGCCCGGCAGCCACCCCGTCTGGGAAGTGAGGAGCGTCTCCACCCGGCAGCCACCCCGTCCGGGAGGGAGGTGGGGGTCAGCCCCCGCCAGGCCAGCCGCCCCCTCCGGGAGGGAGGTTGGGGGGTCAGCCCCCGCCCGGCCAGCTGCCCCGTCCGGGAGGTGAGGGGCGCCTCTGCCCGGCCGCCCCTACTGGGAAGTGAGGAGCCCCTCTGCCCGGCCACCACCCCGTCTGGGAGGCGTACCCAACAGTTCATCGAGAACGGGCCATGATGACAATGGCGGTTTTGTGGAATAGAAAAGGGGGAAAGGTGGGGAAAAGATTGAGAAATCGGATGGTTGCTGTGTGTGTAGAAAGAAGTAGACATGGGAGACTTTTCATTTTGTTCTGTACTAAGAAAAATTCTTCTGCCTTGGGATCCTGCTGATCTATGACCTTACCCCCAACCCTGTGCTCTCTGAAACATGTGCTGTGTCCACTCAGGGTTAAATGGATTAAGGGCGGTGCAAGATGTGCTTTGTTAAACAGATGCTTGAAGGGAGCATGCTCGTTAAGAGTCATCACCACTCCCTAATCTCAAGTACCCAGGGACACAAACACTGCGGAAGGCCTCAGGGTCCTCTGCCTAGGAAAACCAGAGACCTTTGTTCACTTGTTTATCTGCTGGCCTTCCCTCTACTATTGTCCTATGACCCCGCCAAATCCCCCTCTGCGAGAAACACCAAAAAATGATCAATAAAAAAAAAAAAAAAAAAAAAAGAAAGGAGATTGGCCAGTCACCGTGGCTCATACCTGTAGTCCCAGCAACTTGCAAGGCTGAAGCAGGAGGATCACCTGAGCCCAGGAGTTTGAGGCTGCAGTGAGCTATGATCTTGCCACTGCACTCCAGCCTAGATGACACTGGGAAACCTCATCTCTAAATATTTTAAATTATAAAATTGTTTAAATATTAAACTTGAATCTGATCAAGTCTCCAGATTTAGATTGCTATTTTCATGAAATGCAACGAGACAGAGGAACATGTTAAATGATATCATGAAGATGAAATCAGCAAAATTCACTCCGTGGGAAACCTGACAAGACAAAAGATCCAGTTCTTCAATTTTAAAAAATTGCAAGTCAAAAAAAGATGGAGGGGGAAAGTATAGATGAAAAGAAACATAGAAGACAAAATAATTGCTCTAGCTATCGGGGCAAGGAGAATTAAGCTTTACCTTTATATGGGAGGAGTGCCAAGAATTTTCAGAAAATGTTTAAAGCCATCACAATAACTAATTACCATATGTGATTTAGTATTTAAAAACTATTTTTTTTTTAAGAGAGATGAGGTCTTGCTGTGTTGCCCAGACTGGCCTCGAATTCCTAGGCTCAAGCAATCTTCCCACCTGGCCCTCCTGAGTACCTCCAGAGAAGCTGGGATTATAGGCACATACCACTGCACCTGGCTTAAAAAAATTTTTTTTAAATAATAATAATACAAATATTCAGGAAATGTACATTTATGATATTATATACATGAACATATGATATTGGATATATTATGATATCAAGCAATTGTTGATTTGGAGGTGTATGATGATGGTGTTGTGGTTATTTTAAGAGAGGAAGCCCTTGTCTTTTAGACACACATACAAAAATATTTACAGATGAAAATATGTGATGATTTGCTTCAAAATAATTTGGAAATATGTGTGGAAATGTAAAGGAAACAAGATTACCTACAATGCAATCATGGACATTGGATGATGGGTATAAGGAGACTCATATAATTCTTCCTACTGTGTTTGCAAATGTTTACAATAAAACGTTTTAAATCATTAATACTTTAAACAAAGAGGGCCAGGCACGGTGGCTCACACCTGTAATCCCAGCACTTTGGGAGGCTGAGGCAGGCAGATTACCTGAGGTCAGGAGTTCGAGACCAGCCTGCCCAACATGGTGAAACCCTGTCTCTACTAAAAATACAAAAATTAGTCAGGCATGATGGCACGCCCCTGTAGTCCCAGCTACTCAGGAGGCTAAGGCACAAGAATAAATAAATAAATAATAAAGAGTAACCAGGTATCTGAAACTAACTTTAAGAGGTGATTTAGGCTGGGCATGGTGGCTTATGCCTGTAATCCCAGCACTTTGGGAGGCCAAGGCGGGTGGATCACCTGAGGTCAGGAGTTCAAGACCAGCCTGACCAACAAGGTGAAACCCTGTCTTTACTAGAAATACAAAAATTAGCTGGGCTTGATGGCAGGCACCTGTAATCCCAGCTACTCAGGAGGCTGAGACAGGAGAATTGCTTGAACCTGGTAGGTGGAGTTTGCAGTGAGCCGAGATCGCACCACTGCACCCCAACCTGGGTGATGGAGTGAGACTGAGACTCCGTCTAAAAAAAAAAAAAAAGAGGTGATTTAGGCAGAAAATACTTTCAAGAAAGGTTTAAGTGAATCTTGAGTGTGAAGTCAATAGTGGGGAATGGAAGCCAATTAGGAACAAAGGTTGAGGATAACCAGTCTGTCCGCCAAATCCTGCCAGCATCCTGGGCTGGGTACACTAGAAATCCTTGTGGCTCATGTAATCCACTAGTAAGAAAGGTCAAAGACAATAGTCTTGCTTTAGTAGTTCAAAGCTTTCTGACCTCCGTAACATGAGAGTCCATGATTTTCTTAGGCTCAGGAGGGTGGGGAGAACGTTGGCTGAATAAATTATCTCCTCATGCTAGTACGCCTTTGAGAACAGTTAAAACCTGCCATCTGCAAGCACTGAGGGTTCTCTAGAGTTATTCTGACATTGGGACAAGAAGCCTTTAGAACCTGGGGACAAAGGAGCCATCAGAAGACCTGAAGAAGAACCTGAGACTGTGGACAAATACAGGGGCTCAAAATAAAACCCATCTCTAAACAACAGGAAGCCAGAGGAGATGGCTATGTTTGTTCTATGAACTTTCTTGCAAGCCTCCTCACAATCACCTCTAGTCAGATGCCCTGTGTATTAGCTTGTTTTCACACTGCTAATAAAAACATACTGAGATTGACTAATTTATAAAGAAAAAGAGGTTTAATGGACTCACAGTTCCACGTGGCTGTAGAGGCTTCACAATCATGGAGGAAGGCAAAAGGCACATCTTACATGGTGGCAGACAAGAGACAAGGAGAGCCAAGTGAAAGGGGAAATCCCTTATAAAACCATCAGATCTAATGAAACTTATTCACTGTCACGAGAACAGTATGGGGGAAACCACCCCCATGATTGAATTATCTCCCACTGGGTCCCTCCCACATGTGGGAATTATGGGAGCTACAATTCAAGATGAGATTTAGGTGGGGACACAGCTAAGCCATATCACTCTGCTACCTCTCATAAGAATTACGGTCTTTGGGAAGGGGATTTTCTTTTCCAGGCAGGAGCCTACTAACCTTGGCAGCCAGGTTTTTGGATCTCAAGCCCAACCCTATGAGGCTGATCACTTGTCTGTACTCCCTGCAGGAGCCATCCTCAGGGGATGCAAGGAAGCTGAAAATGGGCTTGCCTGAATCTTCCTGCTAAACCCAGCTCTGAATCTAATTGAACGTGTGTGTTGGAGGTCTCTGAGGCCACCTGCAGGCTCTCACAGGACTCAGCATAGCTGTTACACTTGTGGTTACGGTTTATTACAGTGAAAGGAAACGGGGTGAAATCAGCAAGGGAAAAAGGCACAGGGTGGAGTCCACGAGAAACCAGGCACAAACTTCCAGCTGTCTTCACTGAGTGGATTCACACAGAACAGTGCTTAATTCTCTCAGCAACAGTGTGTGACAACACATGTGAAGTGCTGCCAACCAGGGAAGCCCCCCTAAGCCTTGGTGTCCAGAGTTTTTATTGGGGATCAATTACATAGTCATGCAGTACCCATATAACGGACCTTAGCTGCTCAGTCTCCAGCCCCAAGAAATCAAACTAATAGATGCATCCCAAGGTCTTGGGCCACAAAGACACTCTTATCAGGTAGGACACTCAAGGGTCTGGATGCACACCCCAGGAGCCAGTGAGGCCCAGTCCTGAAGACCCTTGGAATATGCAGGGTTTGGGTAACTAAGTCCTCCTGGGCTAACCCTTTACTGAAACACTTATTAGCACTTACTACATTTCACCTTTTATTGTTATCTACATTTTTATCATTGTGGTATTGTGATTTATGATAAGAAATAGATTCGGTCGCTGTCCAGTTTCTGGCACAGAACTCCTAAAAACCCCTGGAGGCCAGACACAGTGGCTCACGCCTATAATCCCAGCACTTTGGGATGCGGAGCCGGATGGATTACTTGAGGTCAGGCTGGAGTTCGAGACCAGCCTGACCAACATGGTGAAACCCCGTTTCTAGTTAAAAAAAAAAATTAGGCAGGCACGGTGGCACATGCCTGTAATCCCAGCTACTTGGGAGGCTGAGGCAGGAGAATTGCTTGAACCCAGGAGGCGGAGGTTGCAGTGAGCCAAGATCACGCCATTGCACTCCAGCCTGGGCAACAAGACTGAAACTCCATCTTAAAAAAAATAAAACAAACCCTTGGAATTTCCAAAGCATTAAGAAGTGTAGAGTGAAAGGAGCACTGTTTATTATTCCTAATGAGACCTCTTCAACCACAGCTGAGTTTATGTTAATGCGGTCACTGTTCGAAAGCCCATAAGGATGGTTGGCTTGTTGTGGGAGGGGCCGACAATGTGATTAGAAGGTTGGACCTTTTTAGCCTACCCCTGACCTCTGGGGAGAGGAGAAGGACTGGGTGGAGGTTGAGTTAATCAACAACGGCCAATGTTTTAGTCCATCATGCCTGTGCAATGAAGCCTTCATAAAAACCCCTAACTAAAGGGTTTGGGAGAGCTTCCAGGTTGCTGAACATATGGAGGAGCTGGGAGGGCGAACCCAGAGAGACCATGGAAGCTCCACGCCCCTTTCCCTATGCGTGTCTTCCATCTGGCTGTTCCTGAGTTGCATCCTTTTATAACAAACTGATAATCTAGTAAATAAACTATTTTCCTGAGATATGTGAATTGTTCTGGCAAATTATCAAACCCAAGGAAGGAGTGGTAGGAACCCCAGTTTATAGCAGATGCACAAGTCACACCACTGGACATGTGACTGGCATCTGAAGTGGGGTGCAGTCTTGCAGAACTGAGCCATTCACGGGGTGCAGTCTTGCAGAACTGAGCCATTCACCTCTGGAATTTGATGCTAACTCCAGGTAGGTAGTATCAGAATCTATTGAATTGGGCTGGGCATGGTGGTTCACGCCTGTAATCCCGGCATTTTCAGAGGCTGAGGCGGGTGGATCACCTGAGAAGAGGAGTCCAAGACCAACCTGGCCAACATGGCGAAACCCCGTCTCTAACAAAAATACAAAAATTAGCCGGGCGTGGTGGCACATACCTGTAGTCCCAGCTACTTGGGAGACTGAGGCAAGAGAATCTCTTGAACCTGGGAGGTGGCAGTTGCAGTGAGCTGAGATTGCACAACTGCACTGCAGCCTGGGCGACAGAGACGCCATCCCAAGAAAAGAAAAAATAAAAAAGAATCTATTGAATTTTAAGACACCCAACTGATGTCTACCAAAGAACGGAATTAATTGTGTGGGAAAAACCCTATACAATCTGGTGTCAGAATTGAGAGTCACAGTAGAGGAGAGAGAAAAAAGAGTTTTTCCTTTCAACCATATAAATTGTGTCTCCCCAACGAGAGTGGAGGGCACCAACTGTGTCATATACCTGTTGGTATCCTGGGAGTTTGCAGAGTCCCATGTATTAGTAGCTGCCCGATAAACATTTATTTTTTCTTATCATGTCAGTGACACTTGCTCAGGTTGTTATTGACCTAGGATATCCTTCCAGCTTCTATTAGTTATTATTCATCCAATCCATTCATCTGTCTATCAATATCCCAATCAAGTGCTACCTCCTCATGAGATGCTCCCCATCTATTCTGGCCCACTTTGACGTATTTCTTTTCTAAATTCCTGGCACATTTTCTGTTTATATATTCTGACTTCTGTCACATTCAGCCTTAAAATGTTACTTAAGTGTTTTATGTGACTAAGGCTTGTCTCCCAACTAGACTGTAAGTGTCTGGAGAAAACAGGCTGGTTTCTACCTGTTTTTTGTACTCCCTTTCACGGCCAGCTCAGGGCCTTAATGTAGTAGGTGCTCAATAAATATGAGATGGCCAATGAAGGTAGATACACCCTTCCCCTCTGGGCCTTTCTCTCTCTCTTTCTCTCTGTCTCTTTCTCTGTACTGAGGCCAGACCACTGCTTCATAAATAAGCAAAGAAATGAATTGTAGTAATGAATAATCAGCACAAGATTTTTGCAAAGACTAAAGTTTTATTCCAATCAGTGTTTTTTTTTCCTTTGGAAGACACATCTCTGAGCTCTCTGTGAGGAGGACAGCCTCATTGATGCCCTCAGTGATGTAATTTATGTTGTTGGCATTGATACAGCTGAAGTTAATCTGACCGTTCTTGGGGATATAGATGTGCTTCTTCCTGACCAGGTATTCCACCTGCTGGGCTAAAATCATGACAAGGTCTCAGATCTCGAGACTGGCCATCTCGAATTCTCCTCTAGCCCAGGCTGGTTTATTTTCTTATTTTTTTATTGATTGATTGATTGAGATGGAGTTTTGCTCTTGTTGCCCAGGCTGGAGTTCAATGGTGCAATCTTGGCTCACTGCAACCTTCGCCTCCCAGGTTCAAGCGATTCTCCTGCCTCAACCTCCCAAGTAGCTATGATTACAGGATGCACCACCATGCACGGCTAATTTTCATATTTTATTTTTTAGTAGAGACGGGGTTTCACCATGTTGGCCAGGCTGGTCTCGAACTCCTGACCTCAGGTGACCCACCCGCCTCGGCCTCTCAAAGTGTTGGGATTACAGGCATGAGCCACTGCACCGGGCACCCAGGCTGGTTTATGAAGGATAGGGAGTGTCGGTACTTCTGGGGGTCCAGAAGTGTCTTTAAAGCAGCCCATTTTCCAGAGGACAGAATCAAAATCTGGAGTGAAGCTAGGAACTGGTCACCTAGTCAGTGAAGTTTAATGCTCAAATACAGGCCAAAGGTCAGAAAGGGGGGACACCAGCCCCCTAGACCCTTACAGTTGAGTCCAAGATAGCCGTGGGTCCCACTCTGCTCGGTGATGTGACCCCAGGACCCAGGGGTTCCCAGGAGCTGGAGTTTCTCCTTCACTTTTTCCTTGGTTAGCATGATGTTCTCTACAACTTCTTTTAGACTCTGCTTCCTACCAAGGAAGGACAATGAGAAAGGAGGGTGTGAGGTCCCCCTTGCCCTCAAACCTCCCTCATTGCCAGTCCACTCTTCTTACCTTCAAAGGTCTCCAACAGAGTGCCAGAGGCTCTGGGATGATTATGAGTGGGAGGGAGGTTTGATCTCATATTCATTTAAGCAAACCAGGGAGGCTCCCAGGCAGATTTTGCCAGAGTTGCAAGCCCCTGATGCTCTCTTATCTCCCCAAGCAATCTGGAAGAGTTCATATAACTCATTGGCCTGGGTGCAAAACAAATGTCCTATCACTCTGTCCCCTAAGGCAACCCTTGGCATAGCCACCGCCATTGGTACACATCAGGTCCTTAGTAAATGTTGATGAATGAATGGAGTAAAAAGGCCACATGGGCAGGAGAGAAGCACCCTGCCGAATCCTGCAGATCAGCAGGTCTGCAGGCACCCAGGGCCTCTCCCATCCCTTCCTGCTCCAGCCCTCACCCTTACCATTCTCCCAGCAGAGCAGGGTTGCAGAGGATGGAGGTGATGACACGTGCACCCGTGTTGGGGGGGTTTAGCCACAGGGCCTGGGCTAATCCTTCCAGCTGGGAGAGGACACACAGCAGCTGCTGGTTGTTGACTGCCACCACCACTAGCATCCCCACTCCTTCATCTGCAGTGTTGGGAAGACAGCCTCAGCCTCAGCCCCTTCCTCCACTCCCAAGGCCTTCACCTAGATCTCAACCCCCAACCTTGCAGAAGAAAGGGTTGAACCACAAGGCCCTCATTGCAGCCCAGCCAGGGTGATATTCAGGCTCCGGGAAGTTGCCAGAGGCTCTCCTTCCAGCAAAAGTACCCATAAGTCAGAGTCTTAAAGGAGGAAGGAATTTGAAAGATCACTAAGTTCTACTCTCCTGTTTTTTCCTTTCCTTTCCTTTTTTATTTTTATTTTTATTTTTATTTGTTTAAAGTGACCATCTCTCTCTGTTGCCCAGGCTAGAGTGCAATGGTGGAATCATAGCTCACTGCAACCTCTACCTCCTGGGCTTAAGCAATCCTCCTGCCTCAGCCCCCCGGGTGGGTAGGACTACTGGTGTGTACCACCATGCCCGACTAATTTTTTTAATTGTTTGTAGAGACCGGGTCTCGGTGTGTTGCCCAGGCTGGTCTTGAATTCCTGGCCTCAAGTGATCACCTAACCTTGACCTCCCAAAGGAGGGATTAGGAGGTGTCAACTGGGATTACAGGTGTCACCCACCATGCCAGCCCCACCCTCTCATCTTATAGTTGAGGAAACAGAGGCCTGAGGGGGTGAAATGATCCAAGCCAAGCTGGGTTGGGTTCTGTTACTAGATTTAGTAACAGAACCAAATTCTAGCTCAGTGCTCCCCACTTCTGCTTCTATAGTGCTCTCCCTAGAGTCCTTGGCTCCCTCCCAAGGATGAGATATCAAAAACATCACTGTGCTGTGAGCGCAGCACCACTTCAGCAACAGACCCTCCCTTCTTCTGCCTGTACCATACCATAAATGCCAAAATTCTTGGACAGAGACTGGCTGCAGAAGAACTCAAAGCCTTGAGACACAAAGTATTGTAAGATTCTAGTATCTTCTTCCAAGTCACTGGTGTATAAACCTTGACAGGGAATATCAAAAAATGGGAATATCTGCTTGCTCTGTAGGAGAAAGGAGAACAAAAAAAGAATGAGACAGATGGAGGAGAGAGCAGAGAGTCAAAGACAGGAAGGTCGGGTGGGAGATTGGGTTTACCTTTATCATGGACATCAACTTTGCCCACCCACTTGGTGTCAACTTGCAGTCGATAATGTTCCCCATCACAAGGACACAGCCATGTGGGATCTGCTGCAGGTACAGACGGTCTCATCAGGCTTCACCCCCACCCAGGAGTGGCGGCCCCAGGGCATTTGGGGGTGAAGTGCTCCTCCATGTTAGTTACCATTGAAGGGCCAGGCAAATTCAAACCTGGAAAAGGTCTTGGATGACTTAAGAGGTGTGGGGAGGAGAGGAACATTAGGCTGTAAGTCAGCTCTAGGGAGGAGTTTCTGAGCGGGGCCCCTCTACCTCCACCACATTGAGGAGTATGTCGGGGTCCATGCATAGCTTCTTGGGGTCCCAGACAGAGTATTCATAAACTGTAAAGCCCATGTCCTGGAAGACGAGTCCATGCAGTTCTGTGGGAACACAGCCCCCCACTAGCTGGTACATGGGAAACAGAGAGACGGAGACAGAGGTACTGGAGTGTGGGGCTGAGAGTCACTGGCTGAAGGTGGGACATTAACAGGAAAAGGACATAAATAGCTTGGCTTGTCTGCCATTTTGCTCATGACAGAGAATGAGGGATAACAGTGAAGATGGCAAATGGGGTGAGGATTAGGAACAAGGGACGGGGATTGCTGTTCCCCTCATCTTGGGTAAGACTAACCTTTTTGAGAAGAGATGATGTAAACTATACGAGCATCCTTATGCCAAGCTCTGAGAAACTGGACGCCAAGCTGGAAGGCACCACTGTCACCAACAGTGTGTACACCCCCTACCTGCCAGCAAGACATAGACACAAATAGGCCAGGTGTGGTGGCTCACACCTGTAATTCCAGCACTTTGGGAGGCTGGGGTGGGTGGATCACTCGAGGTCATGGCCAACATGTTGAAACCCCGTATCTACTAAAAATACAAAAATTAGCCGGATGTGGTGTTGGGCATGTGTAATCCCCGCTACTCAAGAGGCTGAGGCAGGAGAATCACTTGAACCCGGAAGGCGGAAGTTGCAGTGAGCGGAGATCAGGCCACTGCACTCCAGTCTGGGTGACAGAGTGAGACTCCGTCTCAAAAAAATAATAAGTAAATAAACATTAAAAAATAAAAAGAAATAGACAGAAATAACACTCTAAAACAGTAATGGAGGCGAGACGCAGTAGCTCATGCCTGTAATCCCAGCACTTTGGGAGGACGAGGCAGGGAATCCCCTGAGGCCAGGAGTTTGAGACCAGCCTGGCCAACATGGTGAAACCCTGTCTCTACAAAAAATACAAAAATTAGCTGGGCGTGATGGCACATGCCTGTGATTCCAGCTACTCAGGAGGATGCAGCACCAGAATTGCTTGAACCTGGGAGGTGGAGGTTGCAGTGAGCTGAGATGGCACCACTGCACTCTAGCCTGGGTGACAGAGTGAGACTCTGTCTCAAAAAATATATATAATAGGTTAAAAAATAAAACAGTAATGGGAATACTAACACCACCTCCAATTCAGATCATTCCTGTCTTGAAAGAGCTTTCAAATCAGCAGTGTGAGCAGGTGGGAATACCACTGGACTGAGATTCCGATCCTGACTCGATGGCTAAGGACTTGTGGACTCTCTGAGCCTCAGGTATCTCTTTTATCAATACCAGGGGGCCCTCCGAGGTCCCCTTCGGGTTTAAGGTTGTGCAGACCCAGATCGCCACTCTCTGTGTCTAAATGAGCCAGGGGAGGGCCCACCTTCTCACCCTGTTCTCCACAATGGCTTGGCTGTGCTTTCCAAAGAGGAGTGCTAGAGAGGCCTGGATGAATGATTTCAGGCCCATGGTGGGCAAGTACTCATAATTCAGGGAGGGATCCTGTGAAATCTGTAGTCGAGTCTTCTGCACCACGAGAGAAACCCAGGGATGGCCTTCATTTGTCATGCAGACTGTGAGGAAAACCACAGAGGGAGCTCCAGATGCCTGGTTTGGGCCCCCAGGGCTGAGCTCTGCAGACAGCCTGCAAACAAATCTCTCCTGGACTCCATGGGGCTGTGGGAAGGTGCCTGTGAAAATACAACTTTCCCTTTTCTTTTCTCCTTGATGAAAAGAATATGCTGTTAGTGAATGTGTATTATTTTTGTCTTTTTAAAAAAGACAACTGAAACCTATGCCATTTTAAAGGTTAAAAATTATACAAGCCCAGGATTGGTGGCTCAGGCCTGTAATCCCAGCACTTCGGGAGGCTAAGGTGGGTGGATCACTTGAGTTCAGGAGTTCAAGATCAGCCTGGGCAACATGATGAAACCCTGTCTCTACAAAAAAATACAAAACAGCCAGACATGGTGACCAGCGCCTGTAGTCCCAGCTACTCAGGAGGCTGAGGCAAGAGGATGGTTTGAGCCCAGGAGGCAAAGGTGGCAGTGAGCTGAGATCTTGCCACTGCACTTCAGCCTGGGCAACAGAGTGAGGCCCTGTCTCAAGAAAAAAAAAAAAAAAATATATATATATATATATATATATATATATATATATATATATGCAAAATGAGAGTTATAGGTAGATGAAGCTAAATAAAGGTAACCCTGACTTTCACAGTGGTGAGCCCCAGTTGCATAGCAGAAAGCTCAATCTGGAGAACCATTCTTGGTTCAAGAACAGGAAGAGAAAGAGAAAGAGAGAGAGAGGAGGTAAGAATCTGAAGAAGTGTGGGATGGCCATGCAGGCCCCCAAGCATAGAGTTGTGGAAGAGGACATAGCTCTCACCAAATCCCTAGAAGCCCCCAGAGAAGGGCAGAGAGCATGGAATGACCTGGGACCTTATCTGCACTTTTCCCCACTGGGTAATTCTGTTAACAAGAAAAGATCTCTCCACCCACAGAAGCTTGGGCTGCACCCCTCCCCCTGCAGCAGGGAACACTGTCCTCCTAGAGGCAGTTACCATCACTTAAGTCTTATACTTCAGAACTGCTAGGCATCTACCTCTATAGGCTAAGAATATCTTGTTCGGGTAATCATCTTGTTTGTAGGTCTTTAACAAGCTGCCCTCTAGCTTGTGGGCGAGGGGCACATCCATGAACACTGAAAGGGTGGGCATAACTGAAACGAAACTGGAGCCAAGACTATGTGTCTCTGCTCCTGTGTTCCGCTTCTGCCCAGAAGTCTTCCTCCAAGGCTGGGCCGGGCAGTCCTGCCTCTTCCTGGAACCTTGGCAGCCCCAGTGCAGAGGCGCTGGACAACGGGTTGCCAGGGCAACAGAACCTCATGATCTTTGTGGTGGCGATCCACAGGGGCCACAGGAACATTCCAGGGTACTTGAGGAGAATCCCCTCAGACAGCGGGCAGGGCAGGATAACAATCTCCGGAATTCCCAAGCCCGTTTCCCTCACTCAATGCCTTCTCTTCTCTAGCCCCAGGTGGCTCAGTCCAAAGTAACAAGCCCACTCCTTAGATGACAGGGCAAGGATAATGGGAGATTACTTAACAGATACAATGTACATTGTTGGGGTTATGGATACCCTAAAAGCCCTGACTTCACCACTATGCGATGTATGCATCTAACAAAATTACACTTGTACTTCACACATTTATACAAATTAAAAAAAAAAAAAAGAAAGAAAGACATAGGGCAAGGCAGGCAGCCAATAAGCCAGATAGGGCTTCTCCTGCAGAAGCAAAAACCCCAGATCACACACCAATGCAAGTCGAGGCATTGATTTCCATTTTGCAAAGTGCCCCAGATTTCAAAAGGAATAAAAAGCAAACACTGTTTTCTTCCACAGTTGTTTTAATAAAGAATCCTATTATTAGAATATAATTGGCAACTCACTAAGCCAGTCCTATTTCTCTCAGTTATCTAGAGCCAAGACTTCTACATATGTTTGTTAAGTTTCTTTTTCTTTCTTTTTTTGGTTTTTTTTTTTTTTGAGATGGAGTCTCACTTTGTCGATAGTCTCGAACTCCTTGCCTCAGGTGATCTGCCTGCCTTGGCCTCCCAAACTGCTGGGATTACAGGCATGAGCCACCACACCTGGCCATTTGTTAAGTTTCAATGACAGCCAACTAGTAAGTATAGACAGCAGAGGCCAAGGGGAGAAAAGAGCCAGCCTCTATAGAGTCAGTCTGCATATTGCTTGCTTTCTTTTCCTTTTGATGTTTAATGACTCTCTCTTTTTTTTTTTTTTTTTTTTTGAGACAGAGTCTCGCTCTTGCTGCCCACATTGGAGTGCAGTGGTGTGATCTCGGCTCACTGCAACCTCTGCTTCCCAGGTTCAAGAGATTCTCCTGCCTCAGCCTCCCGAGTAGCTGGGATTACAGGCATGCGCCACCACACCCAACTAATTTTGTATTTTTAGTAGAGAGGGGGATTTCTCCATGTTGATCAGGCTGGTCTCAAACTCCAGACCTCAGGTGATCTGCCCACCTGGGCCTCCCAAAGTGCTGGGATTACAGGCGTGAGTCACTGCGCCCGGCTTTTTTTTGTATTTTTAGTAGAGACAGGGTTTCACCACGTTGGCCAGACTGGTCTCAAACTCCTGACCTCAAGTGATCTGCCTACCTCAGCCTCCCAAAGTGTTAGGATTACAGGCATGAGCCACCACACCCAGCCTGATGTTAAATAACTCTTTAAATGATTGTTGCAAACACTGTTGATGTCTCACCCAGAAGGCCTTCACCACCAATGTGCCCGGCCCCAGCTGCTGCTTCGCTGGTGGACAAGGCTTATATGCCTGTGTTCTCTGGAGAATTGTGCTTGGCTGGCAGGAGTCAGCTAGCCTAGAAACCACCTGGAGGTTTCACCCCCACTGACAGGGGTAGCCAATGACTGCCTGATTTAGGCATACAAAGGGTCAGCCACAGCCAGGCATGGTGGCTCACACCTGCAATCCTAGTGCTTTGGGAGACTGAGGCGGGAGGATCACTTGAGCCCAGGAGCTCAAGACCAGCCTGAGCAACATAGGGAGACCCCCCCCACCCACTCCACAAAAAATTTTAAAATTAGCTGGGCGTGGTGGTATTGCAGTGAGCTATGATCATGGCACTGCACTCCAGCCTGGTTGACAGAGTGAGATCCTGTCTTTAAAAAAAAAAAAAGGTCGGGCACGGTGGCTCACACCTGTAATCCCAGCACTTTGGAAGGCCAAGACAGGCAGATCACAAGGACAGGAGATTGAGACCATACTGGCTAATGGGGTGAAACCCCGTCTCTACTAAAAATACAAAAAAAAAATTAGCCTGGCTTGGTGGTGGGCGCATGTAGGGAGGAGGCTGAGACAGGAGAATTGCTTGAACACGGGAGGCAGAGGGCACAGTGAGCCGAGATCTCTCCACTGCACTCTAGCCTGGGTGACAGAGCGAGACTGTCTCAAAAAAAAAAAAAAAGGAAAAGAAAAAGAAAAAAGGCCAGCCCCCTTGTCTCGGTTCACCTCTGTGGCTCAATCTACACTTCAGGGCCCATTCCCCAACCAGGCGAAGCCTAGACTTGACCTGAGGCCACATCCTTGCTTGGTTCCTTCCCCTTCACAATCCTGCTTCCTTCACTCCCTTCCAGGTTCTTCCTGAAGGGCACTCCTTCCCTAAGTCACATGCCCAGGAACTCCTGTCTCAGGCTATGCTCCCAGGGAACCTGTTTTGAGGCAAATGATTATGAAAGTAGTCCGTATTATTGTAGAAAACTCAAAAGCATCAAAAAATTATAATGAAGCACACAAATTCCCTACAACCAATCCATAACTTCAGTCCGGGTGCACCTCCATCCAGTTTCTATTCTTTGACATTTATATTTTAAGGTAATTGCTATCAACATTTATGTGTCATTTTCATCATACTTTCTTCACTTAACATTTCAGCTGTGAGGATTTTATTGTGTGCCAGTGAGAACCTTTTATGCTGCAGGTAATTTAAAAAAGACCTAGTCCAAACCAGCTTGAGCAACAGAGAGAAAGTATTGGCACCTAACTGGGAGGGCCAGGGTACATCTGACTCCAGTCGGAGTTCAGTCCAGAGGGACACAGTTATCATCAGGGCCCCAGCTTCATTCTCTGGCATCCCCTTGGCTCTACTGTCCTGGATGCGTCAGGCTGGTTCTCTGGCTGACGCTGGATGTGAGAACAAAAGTGGATGGGGCCGGGCACAGTGGCTCACGCCTGTAATCCCAACACTTTGGGTGGCTGAGGCGGGCAGGTCACCTGAGGTCATGAGTTTGAGACCAGTCTGGCCAATGTGGTGAAACCCCGTCTCTACTAAAAATACAAAAATTAGCTGGGTTTGATGGCCTGTGCCTGTAATCCCAGCTACTCAGGAGACTGAGGCAGGAGAACAGCTTGAACCAGGGAGGCGGAGGTTGCAGTGAGCCGAGATTGAGCCATTGCACTCCAGCCTGGACGACAAGAGTGAAACTCCATCTCAAAAAAAAAAAAAAGTGGATGATGGATGGGATGCAGCACATAAACGAAGTGATACACACTTAAGGAATCTACATGTCAGCTTTGTTTGCAAATAAACCAAATACCAATTACCGAAGGAATGTTTAAATTAATAATGATATCCATGCAATAGAATTCTCTGAAGCCTTTAATTTTTTTTTTAATTTTTTGCAAAGGTGGGATCTTGCTATGTTGCCCAGGCTGGTCTCAAACTCCTGGCCTTAAGTGATCCTCCCACCTCATCCTCCCCATCTGCTAGGATTACAGGCACTTGAGATCCTGTCTCTACCAAAATACAAAAATTAGGCCAGCCACAGTGGCTCACACCTGTAATCCCAGCATGTTGGGAGGCAGAGGTGGGCAGATCACTTGAGGTCAGGAGTTCGAGACCAGCCTGGCCAATATGGTGAAACCCCGTCTCTACTCAGAATGCAAAAAAAGCTGGGTGTGGTGGCAGGTGCCTGTAATCCCAGCTACTAGGGAGGCTGAGGCAGGAGAATCGCTTGAACCTGGGAGACAGAAGTTGCAGTAAGCCCAGATAGCACCAGTGCACTCCAGCCTGGGTGACAGAGCAAGACTCTGTCTTAAAAAAAAAAAAAAAAAAAAAAAAGAAGTTTGTAGGGGTCCTGATATTTAAAATTTTTCCTTTATAAAACGTTTACTTTTCCTTTCCTGAATTCCCTGGGCCCCTTTGTTGTTTCTCCTTGGCTTCAGTTGAGTCCCTCGCCCATCCCTAATCTTAACATGGCTGAGAATGGAATACTCCATCAGTTTAAACCAACCACCTAGAGCCTAGGGTGGTGCCAGCCGAGAAAGATTCCCCCTGAGATTCCAGGTGCTCTTAGGAATGGGAGAGGGGAGAAGGAATTCTGGGAAGACAGTCAGCAAGTGTTCACTGCATCATTCATTACAAATTATTATTATTATTATTATTATTGTTATTATTTGAGACAGGATGTCACTCTGTCGCCCAGGCTAGAGTGCCATGGTGCGACCAAGGCTCACTGCAGCCTCAAACTTCCCAGGATCAGGCCTTAGCCTCTGGAATAGCTAGGACTATATGTATGCACCGTCAGGCCCAGCTAATTTTTCTAATTTTTGGGAGAGATGGGGTTTCACTATGTTGCCCAGGCTGTCTCAAACTCCTGGGGTCAAGTGATCCTCTTGCCTCCAAGTCCCAAAATGCTGGAATTAGACATTAGCCATTAAGCCTGGCCTCCAAATTCTTTTTCGTTGTTGTTTGTTTGTTTTTTGAGCCACAGTCTCGCTCTGTCACCCAGGCTGGAGTGCAGTGGTGCAATCTCAGCTCAGTGCAACCTCCTCCTCTCGAGTTCAAGCGATTCTCCTGCCTCTGCCTCCTGAGTAGCTGGGATTACAGGCGCACACCACCACACCCAGCTAATTTGTGTATTTTTAGAAGAGACAGGGTTTCACCATGTTGGCCAGGCTTGTCTCGAACTCCTGACCTCAAGTGATCCACCCACCTCGGCCTCCCAAAGTGCTAGGATTACAGGCATGAGCCACAGCACCTGGCCCATCAAATTCTTGAAGAGCATCACTTTTAATGGCTATTTTTTTTGTCTGTTGGCCTCACACTTCCAAATCTGGTAAAAATTCCAGGGTCCCCAGTACTGTCCCAGCAGCAGGGGGAAAAGACGTTTTTCTCTGGACAACTGCAGGCTATGTGGAGTGCCCAGGGCTGGGGAGTGGGAATGAGGAGAGGAGAGGTAAATGGAGAGGAAAGTTGGCTCATGCCAGAGGCTCTGCCTGGTAGCTGGTCAGCCAGTAAAAGGGAATGACATGCTTGTGGCCCCAAGTTCCCATCTCTCATCAGCCCAACCTCTTTTATAAGGACACCAATCCCATTCATGAAGGTGGAGCCTTCAAGACTTAATCACTTTCCAAAAAGCCCCACCTCTTAACACTCTTTTTTTTTTTGAGACAGAGTCTCACTCTGTCGCCTAGGCTGGAGTGCAGTGGCACCATCTCGGCTCACTGCAAGCTCCGCCTCCCGGGTTCATGTCATTCTCCTGCCTCAGCCTCCCAAGTAGCTGAGACTACAGGCGCCCACAACCACGCCTGGCTAATTTCTTGTATTTTTAGTAGAGACGGGGTTTCACCATGTTAGCCAGGATGGTCTCAATCTCCTGACCTCGTGATCCGCCTGCCTCAGCCTCCCAAAGTGCTGGGATTACAGGCGTGAGCCACCGCTCCTGGCAACACTCTTATATTGAGTATTAGGTTTCATTATACACATTTGAGAGGACACCAGCATTCAGACCAGTGCTTGCTTTGAGAAGAGACATGTGGCTTAAGCCTGGCCTATCGGAGTACTTTCCTGGGATTTTCTGTTGGAGTTGGAGGAGAAAAAGCACCTGTCATTATTCTCCAGTCATACAATTATAAAGAAATGATCATAAAGCTTCCAGAAGCTACTGGTCTCTAACATGCAAGAAACTCAGAAAAAAATGACGCCAACTGTATGCAGATGCAGAGAGAAGTTGGAACGAACTTTCTTTGAGTCAAGCCTCTAATTCCTGTCAGTATCAGTTTGGATTCTTTGTTGCAAGCAACAGAAACTAATTCTGGCTAAGTCCAAGAGGAATTTATTGAAAGGATATCAGGTGGCTATTGTAATTGACAGAAAGGCTGGAGATTTCAGAGCAGAGCACCACCAAGACCAAACCACAGAAGGAAGTTGGTCATAGCCAGGCACGGTGGCTCACGCCTGTAATTCCAGCACTTTGGAAGGCCAAGGCAGGTGGATCACCTGAGGTCAGGAGTTTGAGACCATTCTGGCCAACATGGTGAAACCCCGTCTCTACTAAAAAAAAAAAAGAAAAAAGAAAAAATTAGCCACGCATGGTGGCACATGCCTGTAATCCCAGCTACTTGGGAGGCTGAGGCAGGAGGATGGCTTGAACCCAGGAGGTAGAGGTTGCAGTGAGCTGAGGTCATGCCATTGTATTCCAGCCTGAGCGACAAGAGTGGAACTCAGTCTCAAGGCCAGGTGCAGTGGCTCACACCTGTAATCCCAGCACTTTGGGAGGCCGAGGCAGGTGGATCACGATGTCAGGAGTTTGAGATCAGCCTGGCCAACATGGTGAAACCCCGTCTCTACTAAAAATACAAAAATTAGCCGGGTGTGTTGGCACATGCCTGTAATCCCAGCTACTCAGGAGGCTGAGGTAGGAGAATAGCTTGAACCCGGGAGGTGGAGGTTGCAGTGAGCCGAGATTCTCAAGCACTGTACTCCAGCCTGGGCGATAGAGCAAGACTCCGTCTGAAAAAAAAAAAGAGTGAAACTCAGTCTCAAAAAAAAAAATGATGAAATGATGGAAGCTGGCGAGGAGGATCCCACTGCCAAACACTAGAGGATGTTGTGACCGGCTCCACCCTCACCTTCCTCTGATGGATGCCCTTGCTGCCCCGCAGATCCTAGAGAGATGGGACCTCGCCACCAAAGCTGCTGCTCTGGGAAAGGATTCTCCAACTGGCCCCAGGCTGAGATCAGGAAGTCTGCGTCTGATTGACTGAGCCCGCTCATGTGACCCATGCCCTGCCCATGCCCTCGCTAAGGCATAGCTGGAATGAAGGTCTGGTCTTTTCAGCCTCCATGGTGGGAGGTGGGCTCTAGCACCCACCAACACTCAGAAAATGAAGAATTTCCCAAGCTTTAGAAGGAGGTTAACAGACCAGGCAGCCAAAAAAGACCAAATTTCAGAATTAAGTCCCACCTTTCCCTCTCTCAAATAACCAGCACTTCCTCTTGGTACTGTCAGCTGCTGATCTTATTTCTGAGACAATAAAAGCAATCAGAAGAGACTTTTTTTTTCCCCCGACAAGGTCTGGCCAGGACCTATTGCCCAGGATAGAGTGCAGTGGCACGATCTCGGTTCACTGCAACCTCCTTCTCCCTGGCTCAAGGGATCCACCTACCTCAGCCTCCCAAAGTGCTGGGATTACAGGCGTGAGCCTACGCGCCTAACCAACAATCAGAAGAGACTTCCACAGGCTGCCATCATAGCTACTAGTCTGTTCGCACAGGTGTCCACCTACTCTGCCTTTTCCCTCAAAACAATGGATGAGTGCCCTGTGCCCCTATCTCAGTCCAGCCTCTCCCCTGGTCCCCTGGGTCCCTGCCCTGTGCCCCTATCTCAGTCCAGCCTCTCCCCTGGTCCCCTGGGTCCCAGCCCTGCTGCTCAGAGCCTGCATTCCTCCTGCAGTTGTCCTTCCTTTCCTCTATCATTAATTCCCCCTCTCTACTAGAACATTCTCTTGAGCATAAACAGGCAGCTAAACCCCCCATCTTAAAAACAAACAACATTCCCTTGACCTCACATCCTCCAGCTGTTAGCCCATGTATCTATGAAGCAAGAGTTCACTAAGGAAACAGAAGCGCTGCGAGTGATGTAGGTATTATGGGGATTCGACCTTACACAATCAGGGGAGGGGCTGGGGAAGTGAAGACCCAGAGATGGAAGCTGCAGAATCGGAGACAATCACTCATCAAGCTCCTGAAAGCACCCACCTGGGTGGGCACGTCTGCGCTTGCAGGGAAATCTGAGGAGCCACATGCGTGCAACTGCAGAAGTGGATCCATATGGAGAGGTCTAAGGGTAGATGTGGCTTCTTTTCTTTTTTTTGAGATGGAGTCTCACTCTGTTGCCCAGGCTGGAGTGCAGAGTCATGGATTCTCATTCTGTTGCCCAGGCTGGAGTGCAGAGTCTCACTCTGTTGCTCAGGCTAGAGTGCAGTGGCGTGATCTTGGCTCACTGCAACCTCCACCTCCTGGGCTCATGCAATTCTCCTGCCTCAGCCTCCTAGGTAGCTGGGATTACAATTGCCCACCACCACACCTGGATAATTTTTGTTTTTTTTTGTTTTTGTTTTTGTTTTTGTTTTTGTTTTTGAGACAGAGTTTCACTCTTGTTGCCCGGGCTAGAATACAACGGCACGATCTCAGATCACTGCAACCTCCGCCTCCCGGGTTCAAGCGATTCTCCTACCTCAGCCTCCTGAGTAGCTGGGATTATAGGCATGCACCACCACGCTGGCTAATTTTTTATTTTTTTTAATAGAGACGGGGTTTCTCCATGTTGGTCAGTTTGGTCTCGAACTCCCAACCTCAGATGATCCACCCGCCTCGGCCTCCCAAAGTGCTGGGATTACAGGCATGAGCCACCGAGCCTGGCCTAATTTTTGTATTTTTTTAGTAGAGACGGGGTGTCGCCATGTTGGCCAGGCTGGTCTCAAACTCCTGACTTCAAGTGATCCACCCGCCCTGGACTCCCAAAGTGCTGGGATTACAGGCATGAGCCACCACACCAGGCCAAAAGGTATGGCTTCTGTGTAGCTACTGCCTCTGTGTGTTGCAGCCAGGTGTGTTTTGATGGGCCCATGTCCTCCAGTGGTGTACAGAGCCAACAGTCTGGAAGCAGAACTGAACGTGGGTGGAGGAGAGTCTAAAGTAAGCTGGGGCCTCCAACTACTTCTGCTTCTGTGTCTCACCCTGAAGTCCTTCAGATATTAAGAGAGCTGCTTCACTTCCACCTCCCAGAGCTTGGGTATCTTCCTCTTTTGTCCAACTCTGACCCAGAATCTAACAAGGCTTCTGGGAAACAGAGTCCACAGATGAACCAAAAGAACAAAATATGTTCCTCTTTTTTCCAACTGTAACCCAGAATCTAACAAGGATTCTGGGAAACAGTCCCCAGATGAACCAAAATAACAACATGATGATCAGCCACATCATGCTTCTCTGTTCCTTTTCAGAACGACAGCAAATGAAAGGGCGTTTTGTACTGTATCTCCACTTCTTCACCTCCCATATTCTGCTGGACCCAATGTGCAATAATTTGGATGTTTTTCCAAATCTCATGTTAAAATTTGATCCCTGATATGGTTTGGCTCTGTTCCCACCCAAATCTCGTCTTGAATTGTAGCTCCCACAATTCTCACATGTCATGGGAGGGACCCAGTGGGAGGTAATTGAATCACGGGAGCAAGTCTTTCCCGTGCTGTTCTCGTAATAGTGAGTAAGTCTCATGACAGACTTACTTACTTACTTATGAGGAGGAGTTCCCCTGCACAAGTTCTCTCTCTTGTCTGCCACCATGTAAGACATGCCTTTCACCTTCCACCATGTCTGTGAGGCCTCCTCAGCCACATGGAACTGAGTCCATTAAACCCCTTTTTCTTCCCAGTCTCAGGTATGTCTTTATCAGCAGTGTGAAAATGGACTAATACAATGTTGGAGGTGGGGCCTAATGGGAGGTCTTTGGGTCTTAGGGACAGGTCACTCATGGACATCTTGGTGCCTTCCTCACAGTGGTGAGTGAGCTCTCACTCTTATTAGTTCCTGTGAGAACTGGTTGTTATTAGGTTGGTGCAAAAGTAATTGCAGGTTTTGCCATTAAAAAAAAAAAAAAAAAAAAAAATAGCAAAAAACGCAATTACTTTTGCACCAACCTATGAAAAGAGCCAGGCACCTTTCCCTCCTACCCTCTCTCTTGCTTCCTCTCTCACCCTGTGATCTCTGCACACACCAGCTCCTCTTCACCTTCCACCATGAGTGGGAGATGCAGCCTGGGACTTTCCCCAGATGTCCAGTCTTCTAGCCTGCAGAATTGTGAGCCAAATAAACCTGTTTTCTTTATAAATTACCCAGCCTCAGGTGTGCCTTTATGGCAACACTAAATAGACTAAGATCCAATCTGATCAGCATTTCATCATCACCACATCATCAGAGCTGGTCTCACTGAGATCACAAATGCCAGACCTTCATACTGCCAAATTCAGTTATGTGCTCTCAGTCCTTTTCTGATTTGATGCTTCAACAGCACGTAATACAACTGACCACTTCCTTCTTAAAACATTTTCTTCCGGTGGCATCCGGGACACCATTTCCCTTTGATTCCCCTCTTGCCTCACTGCTGCTGCTTCTCAGTTGGCTTTGCTGGTTCCTTTGATTCCTAACCTCTAAATGTTGGAATGCCCCAGGGCCCTGTTCTCTGAATTCTTCTCTTCTCTGTCTATGGTCACCATGCAGATGATCTTACCTACTTCCATGAGCTTAAATACCCTTATCTCAAAGGTATATATCCAGCCCCAAACTTTTCTCCTGACCTACACACTTGAAAATCCAATGCCTATTTGTTATTCCAACAAATAACTAATCATTAATAGACTTTTAAAATGCACTATGTCCATGGCTGGGTGCAGTGGCTCACACCTGTAATCCCAGCATTTTGGGAGGCCAAGGTGGGCAGATCACATGAGGCTAGGAGTTTGAGACCAGCCTGGTCAACATGGTGAAACCCCATCTCTACTAAAAATACAAAAATTAGCCAGGCGAGGTGGTGGGCGCCTGTAATCCTAGCTACCTGGGAGGCTGAGGCAAGAGAATTACCTGAATCCGGGAGGCAGACGTTGCAGTGAGCTGAGATCGTGCTGCTACACTCCAGCCTGGGTGACAGAGCAAGATTGCATTTAAAAAATAAAATAAAACAAAATGCACTGTGTTAAAAAGAACTGTCTGGGCACAGTGGCTCACACCTGTAATCCAAGTACTTTGGGAGGCTGAGGTGGGAGGATCACTTGAGCCCAGGAGTTTGAGACCAGCCTGGGCAAGATAGTGGGACCCTATCTCTACAAAAAATTAAAACAAATGTTTTAATATATTATGTCTGAAAACTAACTCATAGTTTCATATCCCCCACCAAACCTGCTCTTATCACATTTTCCCCACTTTTGTAAATGACAAGTTCACTCTGTCATGTGCTCAGGGCAAAAATCTTGGGCTCATCCCTAACTTTCCTTTTTTTCTCTTAAACCCTGCATCCAAGCCATTGGCAAACCCTGTCAGTTTCACCTTGTAACATAATTAGAATTTGTTCATTCAACAAAAACTTATTGAGGCTGGGTGCAATGGTTCATGCCTGTAATCCCAGAAGTGTGCGAGGCCAAGGCAGACAGAGGCTTGAGTCCAGGAGTTTGAGAACAGCCTGGCAACATGGCGAAACCCGTCTCTACAAAAAATGCAAAAATAAGCCAGGCATGGTGGCACATGCCTGTAGTCCCAGCTACTCCGGAGGCTGAGGTGGGAGAATCACCTGAGCTCTTGGAGGTCAAGGCTGCTGTGAGCCATGATTACACTGCACTCCAGCCTGGAAGACAGAGTGGGCCCCTGCCTCAAAAAAAAAAAAAAAAAAAAAAAAGTATTGCTGGGGTGGACAGATGAGCAGAAAGTACAGTCTGTGTTTGAATGGATGACAGAGGGTACCATGTGTGAAGGTACAGATACAAAAAAAAAAAAATGAGAATTTTTTTAGTGCATTTAAGTATGGTTGGAATAAAAGCATATTGAGGGAGTGGTGGGAAATCAAGTTAGGGAAGTAGGCTTCGTCCATAAAAATGATAGGCGTTTTAAGGGCCTATCTGACTCTTACCCCAAAACCTTTAGGACACCACTGGATGATTTCGAGAAAGGGAATGACATGATCAGATTTATATTTCAGAAAAATTCTCTGGGGGCTTGTGGAGGGGAACCAGAATTAGGCAAGAAGGCCAAGTGGAGACTATTTTAGTTAATTCAGTTAAGAAGCGATGAAGGTCTGAGCTAAGGCAATGGCCAAGGAATGGAATTGCCAGATGTCTTCCATAAAAATACCAGGCAGTGGACCAAGCCTGGGGGGAGATGCTGGCAGGCAGGGGTGCTTTTGAAAAATATCTTCTTAAACAATATCTTCTGTATTAATAATATCCACTCTTTTTGTACAACTTTTATACTTTTTTTTTTTGAGACAGAGTCTTGCTCTGTCACCCAGGCTGGAGTGCAGTGGTGCAATTTCAACTCACTGCAACCTCTGCCTCCCATATTCAAGCAATTCTCTTGCCTCAGCCTCCTGAGTAGCTGGGACTACAGGTGCGCACCATCACGCCTGGCTAATTTTTGTATTTTTTGCAGAGATGGGTTTCTCCATGTTGGCCAGGCTTGTCTCAAACTCCTGACCTCAAATGATCCACCCGCCTTGGCCTCCCAAAGTGCTGAGATTACAGGCATGAGCCACCGCACCCGGCCTATACCTCATTTTTTTTAAAGAAACAGATTTCTTTTTTCCTGACAACAACTTGCAAGGAATAATAAAGAAAAACAAAGGCAAAGTTTTAAAAAAAAAATTTCATTGTATAACATCGGAAGCTCCTATACCAGACCACTCCAGTCAATACCAGATAGTCACCAACCCCACCAACTTCATGGTCTTAAAAGTGGCTTAGGGTAAAAACTACAGTTTGCTCTTAAGACTGAGCAAAGAAAATGAGAAGGTGTCACACCTGGGTGCTGAGTCTTGAGGGAACTGGAGCACTAAAGTTTGCCATCAGCCCCATATGTTTCTCCCTCCCCAAAAATGGTAGGAGTTTCTCAGCCAGGCATGGAGGCTCATGCCTGTAATCCCAGCACTTTGGGAGGCTGAGGCAGGTGGATCACCTGAGGTCAGGAGTTCAAGACCAGCCTGGCCAACATGGTGAAACCCCATCTCTACTAAAATACAAAAATTAGCTGGGCATGGTGGTGGGGCACCTGTAATCCCAGCTACTCGGGAGGCTCAGGCAGGAGAATCGCTTGAATCTGGGAGGCGGAGGTTGCAGTGAGCCAAGATCGCGCCACTGCACTCCAGCCTGGGCAACAGAGTGAGACCGCCTCAAAAAAAAAAAAAAAAAAGGAATTTCTCCATTAGAAAAGCAGCTGCCTCTGCTTCCCTCATTCCTCCAGCACCCAACCTTGTGGCTCTGGGAGAGTGTTCCAGCGTCAATTAGATTCAGACTCAGGCCCAAGGGGAGGCACAAGGGGAGGCCCCAGAAGGACAGGCTTGGTCGCGTGATCCATGACTGGAAGAGAAACCAGAGACTGTGTGGATGGCACCGACTGTTGCAGAGCCCTCCCATTCCTATTTCTCTCCTCTGGGAAGAAGTGGCCCATCCCCACTCGCTTCTGGAAATATCCACAGTGGAGGCCATGTTTCATCTTGTTTCTTGATAAAGAGATTTTGGGAACCATGTACGGTGTGCTGTGCCTCTGAGTTATAAAGTATGGCTCCTCACTGGCAACTCAGAAATGAAACTGTGATAATGAGTTCTGTACCTCTAGCTCCTAAATTTCTTTCTTTTTTTTTTTTTTTTTTTTTTTTTGAGACAGGGTCTTGCTCTGTCACCCAGGCTGGAGTGCAGTGTCTTCATCACAGCTTACTGCAGCCTTGACCTCCCAGGCTCAAATAATCCTCCCACCTCAGCCTTCCCAGTAGCTTAGACTATAGGCAAATGCCACCATGCCTGGCTAATTTTTCTATTTATTGTAGAGACTTGGTCTCAGTATGTTGCCCAGGCTGGTCTCAAATTCCTGGCCTCAAGAAATCCTCCCATCTCAGTCTCCCAAAGCACTAGGATTACAGGCATAAACCACTGCACCTGGCCTTAAATTACTTAAAAGGTGTATATGGACCAAGGAATCTTGAGATCACTGGTTGTTCCCTCAGGAGCAAACAATGGACACACAGAGATCCTGTTCCTAGGACATGGAAGCAAGAGTCCCAGATAAGCCTGCCAGGGTTTGAATATTGTTTGTCCTCACCAAAACTCATGTCAAAATTTGATCCCCAATATGGCAGCACTGGGAAGGGGCACCGGGTGGGAGGTGTTTGGGTCACGGGGATGGATCCCTCATGAATGGCTTGGTGCTGTTCTTGCAGGAGTAAGTGAATTCTGACTCTCATGAGACTGGATTAGTTCTTGCAGGAATGGGTGAGTTCCCGACAGAGTGGGATGTTATAAAGCCAGGACGCCCCTCAGGTTTTCCCCTTTTCACACATATCTGCTTCTTCTTTGACCCTCTCTGCCATGTTGTGATCCAGCACAAAAGTTCTTTGCCAGTAGCCAGGGCCATCCCCTTAAACTTCTCAGCCTGTAGAAACATGAGCTACATTAGCCTCTTTTTTTTTATAAATTGCTCAGCCTCAGATATGCCTTTATAGCAAAATGAAACAGACTGAGATGAAGCCTTCAAAGAGAGTCACAGATCATTGCAAGGGGATCTTCCTGAGCTTGTCATCCCAGTGTGTCTTGAGTTCTGAAGGGGCACCTTTAAAAACATTGCCTGGCCAAGTGCAATGGCTCATGCTTGTAATCCCAGTGCTTTGGGAGGCTGAGGTGGGAGGATTGCTTGAGCCCAGGAATTTGAGACCAGCCTGGGCAACATAGTCAGACCCCATCTCTACAAAAATTACAAAAAAATTAGCCAGGAGTTGTGGTGTGTGCCTGTAGTCCCAGCTATTTGAGAGGCTGAGGTGGGAGGATCACTTGAGACTGGGAGGCTGAGGCTGCAATGTGCTGTAATTGCACCACTGCACTCCAGCCTGGGCAACAGAGCAAGACCCTGTCAAAAAAAAAAAAAAAAGAGGAGAAGAAAAAAGCACTGTCAGAGAAGGACTGCTAGAAAGAGCAGCCTCAGGCAGAATCATGTAGTGTAGTAAGTTTGTGTTCATTCTCTGTTGCATGTGACAAATTACCACAAACTCAGCAGCTTAGAATAACATATTTATTTTCTCACCGTTCCCATGTGTCTGGAGTTCAGGTACGGGTTAGCTGGGTCTTCTGCTCAGGGTCCCCAGGCTGCAATCAAGATGTCGGCTAGGGCTATGGTCTCACCGGAGGCTCAGTGTCCTCCTAGCTCCTGTGGTTGTTGGCAGCATCCTTTTTTTTTTTTTTTTTTGAGACAGTCACCCAGGCTAGAGTGCAGTGGCATGATCTCAGCTCACTGCAACCTCCACCTCCCAAGTTCATGCGATTCTCCTACCTCAGCCTCCCGAGTAGCTGGGATTACAGGCACCTGCTACCACACCCAGCTAGTTTTGTTTGTTTGTTTGTTTGTTTTGTGTTTTTAGTAGACATGGAGTTTAATCATGTTGCCTAGGCTGGTCTCAAACTCCTGGCCTCAAGTATCAGCCCACCTTGGCCTCCCAAAGTTCTGGGATTACAGGCGTGGGTCATTGCACCTGGCCAGAATTCATTTTCTTACAGTTGTAGAATTCTCAGTGGCTAGCTTCCTCTAGGCCAGTAGGAGTATATCTCTGACTATTTCTGAGCTCTAGACCCTCTTTTAAATAAAGAACTCACCTTATTAAGTCAGGCCCACCCAGCATAATCTCCCACTTTATTTGCTTAAAATCAACTGATTAGGGACTGTAATTACATCTTCAAAATCCCTTCCTCGGCCAGGCTTGGTGGCTCACGCCAGTAATCCCAGCACTTTGGGAGGCCAAGGCAGGTGGATCACGAGGTCGGGAGATCGAGACCATCCTGGCTAACATGGTGAAACCCCGTCTCTACTAAAAATCCAAAAAAATTTGCTGGGCGTGGTGGTGGGCGCCTGTAGTCCCAGCTACTCAGGAGGCTGAGGCAGGAGAATGGCATGAACCCAGGAGGTGGAGCTTGCAGTGAGCCGAGATCACACCACCACATTCCAGCCTGGGCAGCAGAGCAAGACTCCATCTCAAAAAAAAAATAAATCCCTTCCTCTCTGCCATGTATCATAGTCCAAGAGTAGCATCCATCACCTTTGCCATATTCTACTGGTTGGAAGCAAGTTATGGGCCCCACCCACATTCATCAGAAGATTATGCAAAGATATGGGGTCATTAGAGTTCACTGGGGGTCATCTCAGAATTGTGCTTACCACAGAGTCCAAGATCTTCTGGAGAAAACAGCCGTTCCCTGGTGGGGTGGCAGTGATTGGAGTGGATGCTAAACTTATGGGAGCAGAACTCCCAGTTAAAGGGCTCACAAGTGTCTCTCACTGTAGTGGGTGAGGTTTGTTCACCTGGAACCTCAGAATGTAACTTTATTTGAAAGAAAGGTCTTTGAAGATGTAATTAAGGTGAGGATCTTGAGATGAGATCATGCTGGACTAGGATGGGCCCCAAATCCAATGAGAGGTGTCTTTATAAGAGACAGAAATGGCTGGGCACCATGGCTCACACCTATAATCCCAGTACTTTGAGAGACTGAGGCAAGAGGATTGCTTGGGGTTAGGAGTTCAAATCCAGCCTGGGCAACATAGTGAGACCCTCTGTCTACAAAAATAAAAAGATTAGCCAGGTGTGATGGCATGGGCCTGTAGTGCCAGCTACTCAGGAGGCTGAAGTGGGAGGATTGCTTGAGCCCAGGAGTTTGCAGCTGCAGTAAGCTATGATTGTATCACTCCACTCCAGCCTGAGTGACAAAGTGAGATCCCATCTCAAAAACAAAAACAAACTTTGGGAGGCCAAGGAGGGCAGATCACCTGAGGTCAGGAGTTTGAGACAACCTGGGCAACATGGTGAAAGTCCATCTCTAGTAAAATACAGAAATTAGCCAGGCACGGTGGCATGCGCCTGTAATCCCAGCTACTCAGGAGGCTGAGACATGAGAGTCGCTTGAACCTGAGAGGTGGAGGTTGCGGTGAGCCAAGATTGCGCCACTGCACTCCAGTCTGGGCAACAGAGCAAGACTCTGTCACCAAAAAAAAAAAAAAAAAAAAAAAACAGAGAGAGAGAGACACACAAAGGAGAAGACACACAGCGACACAGGAAAGCCACACAAATTGAAGCTAGAGGTGGCGACTGGAGTGACATGTCTATAAACCCAGGAATGCCAAGAACTGCCAGAGCCACCAGAAGCTAGAAGCCACCAGGGGCATGGAGCGGATTTTCCCCTGAGAACCTCCAGAAGGAACCAGCTCTGCCAAAACCTTCATTTCAGACTTCTGGCCTCCAGAACTGTGAGGGAATACATTTCTGTTGTTTTAATCCACCAAGGTTGTAGTAATTTGTTTTAGCAGTCTCAGGAAGCTAATATACTTATTGATAATTATCCCCATAAGAATCAATGTCAAGGAGATGGACTTGGTGGTCTCAGGTGCAACAAAAACTCAGACTCTAGAGAGATGTTGGTTCTCATAGGTCAGAGGTACCCTGCAAGGTACCAGAGCAAGGCCGCTTTATGGCTAGATTAACCTAAGCTACACTCATTGCAGAACCCAGGAAGATGTCCATGCCTCTCCCCAGAGGTATAACCTATATACCCTAAAAAAGGTATAACCTTCTTTCCCACTCCTTGGCTGATATATTTGTTCAGGTCAGCTACCGTTAAAAAAGAAAAGAAAAATGGCTAAAGTAACTGTGGCTTAAACAAGATATAAGCTTATTTCAGTATTTGTGTGTGTACATGTGTGTTTTTAGAGGCAAGGTCTTGCTCTGTTGCCCAGGCTAAAGTGCAGTAGTGCAATCTCACTGCAGCCTCAACCTCCTGGGCTCAAGCCATCCTCCCACTTCAGCCTCCTGAGTAACTAAGACTACAGGCACATGCCACCAATACCCAGATACATTTTTAAAAATTTTTTGTAGACATGGGGTCTCCCTGTGCTGCCCAGGTTGGTCTCAAACTCCTGGACTCAAACAATCCTCCTGCCTCAGCCTCCCAAAGCCCTGGGATTACAAATGTGAGTCACTGTGCCCAGCCCTGTGTGGCTTGGTTTGTGGAGCTGGATATAAGGCCTTGAAAATGGGCATGAGATCTATGAGCTACTGTGCCTGGCCAGAAGTTTATTTCTCTTTCATTTAAGGGTCTTAAACATAAGCAGTCCAGGGCCAAAATGGTGGCTCCACACTGCCAGAGACCCAGGCTCCTTCCATCTGGTTCCTCTGACATCCACAACACATGATTACCGTCTTGTGACCACAGGCGGCTACTTCAGTTCTCACCATCATACCCGCATTCCAGCCAGTGCTGCACACTTCTGCTGGTAGCACTTAGTCACGTGGCCATGCCTATCCGCAAGTTAGGCTGCCAAGTGTTTTTTTGTTTTGTTTTGTTTTTTTTGAGACGGAGTCTTGCTCCGTCACCCAGATGGAAGTGCAGTGGCACAATCTCGGCTCACTGCAACCTCCACTTCCCAGGTACGAGCGATTCTCCTGCCTCAGCCTCCCGAGTAGCTGGGACTACGGGTGTGTGCCACCACATACTGCAAATGCTGCCAAGTGTTTTTAGCTAGGAGGCTGTGTTTCCAGCTAAAACTTAAATTTTCTACTACTCAAGGAAGATGGGAAGAATGGAGAGTGGACAGCAACTTCTACTCCAAGGGACAGCAAACGCAAGGTCTGATTTGATAAACGACCCCTTCAATCTGGGCCCAGGGAGATGGGAGGAAAGCCCCAGCAATGGAAATCCAGGAATGGGAGCACCTCTGCCACCCTCCTGGCTGGCGACAGGATGAAACAGAGCCTTAGAAATGTGGGTTTGGGCCAGATGCAGTGGCTCAAGCCTATAATCCCAGCACTTTGGGAGGCCAAGGAAGGAGGATCACCTGAGGTCAGGAGCTCAAGACCAGCCTGGCCAACATGGTGAAACCCCATCTCTACTAAAAATACAAAAATTAGCTGGGCATTGTAGCATGCACCTGTAGTCCCAGCTACTCGGGAGGCTGAGGCAGGAGAATTGCTTGAACTCAGGAGGCAGAGGTTGCAGTGAGCCAAAATCACACCACTGCACTCCAGCCTGGGCGACAGAGCAAGGCTCCATCTCAAAAAAAAAAAAAGAAAAAAAAAAGAAAAAGAAAAAGAAATGGGGGTTTGAAGCAGCAGGAATAAGATAAGCTTGGAAAGGTCTGGAGCAATTCTGTCTTCCCCTTCCCCATCATACCCTCTGTTAGGGGTTGAATTATGTCCCCTTGAAAGTTTGTTGAAGTCTTAACACCCAGAACTTGTGAATGTGACCTTATTTGGAAATGGGGTCTTTGCACATGTAACCAGGTTCAAATGAGGTCATGCTGGATTAGGTTGAGCCCTGATCCAATGGCCGATGTCCTTATAAGAGGAGAGAAATGTGGGCACAGACAGACAGGGGAAGGCCTTGTGAAGATGGGGGAGAAGTTAGAGTGATACAGCTCCAGTCAAACAATCCCAAGGATTGTCAGCAAACACCGGGATAAGAGAAGAGGCAAGGAAGGATCTTCCCCTCCCGCCTCACAGGGAGCACAGCCCTGCTGCCACCTTGATTTTGGACTGTTAGTCTCCAGCACTGTGAGAGAATCAGTTCCTCCTGTGTTAAGCCACCCAGTTTGTAGTCATTTGTTATGGCAGCCCTAGCAAAGTATACGCCACCTTCTCTCCCCTTTCTGGTTCCTTAGGGTCCCATTCTCATGAACCCCCTACTATAATAGACCATAATGTCCTGAGATCCAGAAGTACCTTCTGTTCTAAATCTTCTCATTCTTTTTTTTTTTTTTTTTTTTTTTTTGAGAGTGCAGTGGCACAATCTCGGCTCACTGCAACCTCTGCCTCCCTGGGTTCAAGCGATTCTCCTGCCTCAGCCTCCCGAGCAGCTGTGATTACAGGCGCCTGCCACCACGCCCGGCTAACTTTTGTATTTTTAGTAGAGATGGGATTTCACCATGTTGGCCAGGCTGGTCTTGAACTCCTGACCTCAGGTGATCCACCCGCCTCGGCCTCCCAAAGTGCTGGGATTACAGGCGTGAGCCACTGCGCCTGGCCTACCCATTCTTAAAATTGTTCTCGTTGTAAATGTTGCATTGGTAATGATGGGGTGATCCAGACCAGGAGCAAAATATCGGGCCAGACCAGGGTCTGAACATGGAAACAGAGCCAGAGGTGGAGATGTATAAAGACCAGGACAGAAAACCAAAGCAGTCAGTCTGAGGTGAGTACAAACTTGCAGAAGAAAGACCAGGCAGGGCATGTCCACAAAGACCAAAGACAAGTGGGTCCAAGACCCAGGCTGTCGACAGAAACAGGAATATACAGGGAGCAAAACCAGGGCCAGGCACAGTGGATCATGCTCATAATCCCAGCACTTTGGGAGGCTGAGGCAGGAGGAACTCTTGAGCCCAGGAGCTCAAGACCAGCCTGGGCAACATAGAAATACCCAGTCTCCACAAAAAATAAAATTTAATTAGCTGGGCATAGTGGTGCAAGCCTGTAGTCCTGGCCACTTGGGAGGCTGAGATAAGAGGATCACTTGAGCAGGAGGCTGAGGCTGCAATAAGCCATGATTGTGCCCCTGAACTCTAGCCTGGGCAACAGAGCAAGACCCTATAAGACAGTGATCCCCAACCTTTTTGGCACAAGGGACCGGTTTGGTGGAAGGCAATCTTTCCACGGACAGGGGAGAAGGAGATGGTTTTGGGATAAAGCTGCCACCTCAGATTATCAGACATTAGATTCTCAGAAAGAGCATGCAACCTAGATCCCTCACATGTGCAGTTCACTTTAGGATTCGCGCTCCAGTGAGAATCTAACGCAGCCGCAGATCTGACAGGAGGCGGAGCTCACGTGTTAATGCTCGCTTGCCCTCCACTCACCTCCTGCGCTGCAGCCCAGTTCCTAACAAGCCACAGACCAGTAGCAGTCTGCGGCCCAGGGGTTGGGGATCCCTGCTATAATAGACCTGGGACTCATCCAAGCTCCAGATTCTGATTTCACCGCTTTATACCGGAGAAGCATTTTCAGTTTCCAAACCACTTTCACACACAGTGTCTCACCGGGTCTTCAAAAGCAGCCTGCATGAGCTGAGTAGAGTGATCATGTAATCTCCAGTTGACTCACAGGCAAAGAAACAGTCAGAAAGGCTAAGTGACTTGTTCAGTGTCACACAACTGCTTCTAAGCAGTGCATATAGAGAAGAGAAAATGGACTTTGGAATCTGGTAGATGGGGTGAGAGTCGATACAAGGAAGTTATTTGATTTCTATGAGACTGTCTTTTTCCTTGTCCCTTTTTTTTTTTTTTTTTTTTTTGAGATGGAGTCTCACTCTGTTGCCCAGGCTGGAGTGCAGTGGTGCCATCTAGGCTCACTGCAACCTCTGCCTCCCGGGTTCAAGCATTCTCCCTGCCTCAGCCTCCCAAGTAGCTGGGATTACAGGCACCCACCACCATGCCCGGCTAATTTTTGTATTTTTAGTAGAGACGGGGTTTTGCCATGTTGGCCAGGCTGGTCTCGAACTCCTGACCTCAGGTAATCCGCCCACCTCGGCCTCAAATTAAACTGAATTGCATGTTATGCTTCAGCTGCTTCTCACTGGCCAAAGGCAGACTATACCCAGGGCTTGTTGTGTGGGGGAGAGCATTAGCAGTGCTTGCCATGGCAGGCTCCCATTTCCCCGTTCTGGACAGACACCCAAACACAGACAGTGTGTAGACATACCTTCGCCAAGAGGCCTTCAAAAGGCCTGGATCTAGGCAGTTTTAAGATGAAAACAGTAAGAAGCGCTATTCCCATGCCTTCCCCTGTGCTCCTAGGACCATGTAGGGTGCAATGGAAACACACAGAGGAGAGGAGCTGCTCCTACTCTCCTAGGGTTGAGGATGCAGTCAGCATGGGACTAAGGCCCAGGGACTGCCCGTGAGGACCACAGCCTGCACCTACCTCCATTCCCCAGAAGAAAGTCTGGGAAAGTCAGCCCCCCACATCCTCCTGTACCCAAATTCTGCCTGTTCCCCCTCAGTTCCACTTGATGCAGAGGGTAGGTCAGCTCTGAAAAAGCCCGCTCTTCATTCCCTCTCCTCCAACTCAGCCCTCTCTTCCATGTCATTTCTGTCCCATGCCCAGCTCCAGCTAACAGACTCTGGGGAGGCCAGCGGCTCTAGGGACTCTGTTGTTCTCACGGGCCTGGAAGTCATCATATCTCTGGGTTCAGGGGACAGCTGTTTGTCTTCTACAGTTCAAGTGCTCAGGCCTCATGCTAGCAAAAGCAGCCTGCTCCCATCCAAGGATGTAAATCTCCCTCCACTTGATGCCTGGCCACAAGTTGCTGGAGAAATGACCAGACTGTCAGATTCTATCTGACAATCTGCAGATGGAATCCATAGCCCCAGCACAAGTCTAAACACTGCAAAGGAGTGTGACAGCTGGCGCACGGGCAAGTCCAACAAGACTCAAGCAGTATGAGCTTCTGGACAATGTTCAAGGACAAGTCTACACACCAGGGGCCCCACCTCCAACATCATCATTCTCCCCTGCCTAGCACTGACTGGCCAATTTTATCCAGCGATGTTGGGAGAATATCCAGAGATGGGGAGAGGAGGGCCTCTTATTTGTCAAGCAAGACTTCCTCCTCCACTAACAGCCACAAAGTTGAGTCTTTGCCAAGAAATCTTGCACACCTCAGACACCAGAGATCTCACCCTGCCCTGGTTGAAAAGGAGAAAGTCATCTTTGGTATGAAAACATCCTGAGAAATAAAACCTGGGCTCCTGGAGAAAAGAGAGCAGCACAGACCAGGTCCAATTCACAGGGAACACCCATATGTGGAAATCTATCGAGCTCCTCCTTGGGGCAGATGGAATTTTATAACTCTAGGGCCCCTGAACCAAGACAACACATTGCGCACTACATCACAAACACGCAAAACATCTGTGATTTACCGGGCATTCCATAAATCATCCTGGACAATAGTCTTGGCTCATAGAGTTTAAATAGAAACTCACAAAATGATCTAATGATTTCCTTAGAAATTTTCTTTACATAGGAAACCTGGCTGATAAGATTCATAAAATGGAAATAAGAGAAAACTGCATCAACAGGCTCAAATTTGTAACTCCAGTTTTACTTTAAGAGGATAATACAGATTTTTGTAGCTGGGGAAGGTGAGTGGGAAGGTAGAGGTTGTGGAAAGGCTGGGAAACATCAGAATATATTTATGACACAAGACATTTGACCAACCCAAGCAATGCTTTGTGCCTGTGCCTCCAGACACACACACACACACACACACGCACACACACACACACACACCATGTAAGGCACCACTGGATTATAGCATGGAGGGGACAAATGCCCCCTGCCCTAAACCTGGCCACAGCCAGCCCATCCCCCTGTGGGCCCTCTGTCCAAGTCCTGTGGGGAGCGTGGCTTTGCTACTCAATGGCAACTGGATTTCAAGAGTTTCAGGAAGGGTGGGGGAGCAAGATATCAAAGGCTCAAGCTCACTCCCCTTCGTCCAGACAGACTTTTCATTTTTTGTTTGATGAAGATTAGGAAGAAAAGAGTGAGGATTAGGCCTAATTTACTGCCTCTGTCAAAAGCCAGCGCAGAGTAGAAGGGAAGGGAGTAAGTGGATTATGAAAAGAAAACAAACGGAGGGAAAGGGGGCCGAGGATGAACTGCATTCAGTGATATTTATTTATCTGATTGCAAAAGGAAAAGAAGGGATCTGTTCTAATGGTTCACCTTCTTATGAACCCTGGAGCTCCCAAAACCCTGGCGAAGTCCTTCTGACACTGCTGTGAGGTAGATCGGAGCCATTCCATGGCTAAAGTGAGAGAGGCCACTGCTTGAGAGCAGTAATAAGGGAACCAGAGATAAAACCCCAAATCTTGGTCTTTTCTACCCTGCTGCTCTCAGCCTGGGCCACAGAGCCTGGAGAACACTAAGGTCTCATCAGGGTTTGGGTGGCAGAAGGAATGGAACCAGGGGAGCTCTCTTTGCCCTAAGCACTCACTGACTGCACAGGCAAGCCGGGTGATGGGTGCCCCTACCAAAGCCAGCCTGCTGCTCCACGGCACCTGGACACTACCACTGAGGGAGGAGTGAAGTTCAAGGCTGGGGTTTAGAAAACATCTCTCAGACAGAGAGCAAGAGGATGGTGAAAACCCACTTGGTAAGGATCCCTCCTTGGGTCACATGGCCCAGTCGTCAGGTTCTGGAGGGTAGAGTGTCACAGCCGGGGAATCCCATGGGACTCATTCTGAACAGAGGCCAGAGGTTTTCCACAGGTTCTGATCAACAGAGTTGTTGCTTCTTGTCCTTCAGGCCTAAGAAACTCCCCAAGAAGCCCTGGGAAAAAAAGTGGAGATAATAGACCCTGGGGTGAAAGGAGCAACAGGTGCACTGAGGGGAATGACAGAGATCAGAGACCCTGGAACGCATATTTAGTTACACAAAAACGCCAGGGCACCACCCAGCCACACACGCCCCACCCCATCCCTACTCCAACCCAGCCCAGGGAGCGGGAGGGCACACATCTGCACTCACAGGCTCCTCACTCACAACTGTACTTCATACCGGAAGTGGATTCTCACCTCCACAGCTGTCAAACCTTTGAGAAAACCCAGAACTGAGGCCGAGGGCTTGGGGGGCGGGTGGGGGGGCACTAGCCCTGCCTTCAAGTCCGAGCCAGGTCTAGTGATGGCAAGAAATCGGGGGAGGGGGGCAAAGAACTGAGCTGGAAAACCAAAACTAGAGCCGACCCGGCGCCCTGGCTCCGGCCTGTAATCCTAATGCTTTGGAAGGCTGAGGCAGAAGGATCACTTGAGGCCAGAAGTTCAAGACAAGCCTGGGCAACATAGCAAGACCCCATCTCTACAAGAAATTTTAAAAATAGCTGGGATTGGTGGGGCTCGCCTGTAGTCCCAGATACTCAGGAGGCTGAGGTGGGAGGATCGCTTGAGCCCAGGAGCCAGGAGTTCAAGACTGCAGTGAGCTGAGATCGCGCCACTGCATTCCCGCGTGGGCGACAGAGACGAAACCCTGTCTCTATTTAAAAAAAAAAAAAATCCCTAAAGCCGACCAGGCGAGGCGAGAGTCCTCGGGACACCGCAGCGCTTTCCGGTGGCGCACCTTGGGTCCTTGGGTGAGGAACGACGGCCCGCTCGCCCTCCTTTGCTTCTACCCTAGTGACTGGATCCGGAAAGAAAAGGACCCTGGGTCCCATTTTGGTTCGCTACTCCTCGTTCCCTTTTCTCTCCAAGCAAAGCCATCCCACCTTCTCTTAATAAACTCCACACTCAAAAAGTTGACCCACGGACACATCGCATGCTTCCCGACCCTGAGCCGCCGGTCCCTCTGCCCCGGTTACCTACCCGTCGAGCCGTTGGCAAAGCCTGGGCTGCGCTGGGCTGCTCCGGGCCGCAGGAACGCCCGAGGGGAAGAGGGCCGGGCGGGCGGCGGCGCAGGGCTCCGGAGGCAGGCGACGGCCGCAGCGGCACAGAAGACGGCGGAAGGCGCTGCGAAAGTCCGGGCTGCGGCAGTAGATGAGCGGGTTGAAGGCAGAATTGGCATAACCTAGCCAGTTCAGGGCAAGGAAAGCCGGGCCCGGGACTAGAGAGGGGCCCCCCAGGGCGCGCAGCACGTTGGCCAGAAAGAAGGGCAACCAGCAGAGAGTGAAGGTGCCCATGATGAGACCCAAGGTGCACAGGGCCCGGTGTTCCCGGAGAGGCAGGAGGCGCGCGGGCCGCCGGCCGCAGGCGGGCACCCCTTCGGGCGGAGCGCACGTCCCCACCGGGGCCGGGGCCAGAGAGCGCGACGGCGCCGGCGGAGACTCCTCGGGCGGAAAGCGGCCCAGCTCCCCGCGCAGCAAGCGCAGCTGGCGCGTAGCCACCACGAAAACCCGCGCGTAGACGAAGAGCATCACGAGAAGAGGAAGGTAGAAGGAGACGGAGGAGGACAGCAGCACGTAGGGCATGTTGGAGGCGAAGGCACAGCAGCGCGGGTTGGAGTGGCAGCGCTGCGCCTCGGCGTCGGCCCCTACGCGCCACCACTGGCTCATGATGGGCGCAAACGACACCGCGGCCGACACGACCCACACCAGGACCACAGCTGTCCGGGCGCAGCGCTTGGTGACCAGTGCGCCGTAACGCAGCGGGTTGGTCACAGCCAGGTAGCGGTCCACGGCCAGGGCGCACAGGGTTTCGATGCTGGCGGTCACACACAGCACGTCCACCGAGGTCCACAGCTCGCAGCCAGTGGCGCCCAACGGCCAGTGGCCAGTCAGCGCCAAGGTGGCCGCCGGCGGCACCACCAGGAGTCCCATCACCAGGTCGGCTGCGGCCAGCGAAGTCACGAACACGTTGGTCATGGTCTGGAGTCTCGGAGTCCAGGCGATGGCCACGATGACCAGCAGGTTGCCTCCCACGGTGGCCAGCACCGCCAGCGCCAGCAGGGCCCCGGCTAGGGCCGCCTCCCACGGAACCCCTGGCAGCCCACTGGTGTTGGCGGTATTGGGCGCCAGGGTGGGGAGGTCCGGCCATGGGGCAAGAGAGCTGTTCTCGTGAGGCCACGGAGCCATCCCCGGGTCGCGCGTGGGGCGGTAGGGAAAGAAGGAAGGAGGGGGTCTCCCAAATCACCTGGCTCAGGGGAGGGGACAGCAAGGCATGAGAGCGACTTCCCCAGCCTGGGCCATCTTCTCTAGCTGTCCCAGCCAGAGCGCTCAGCCTCCCCCCACCCCAACTCCCTCGGTGCCACCGCTCTTGGGGGAGGAGTAGCGACGCTTAAAGGGGCAGCTGCCTATAGTCTGGAGGGGCCTCTGGAGCCGAATTGGAGAGTGGGGAGGATGGCCAATGGGATGCTCCACGTTTCCTTTAGCTAAATCTGGAGGAAGGGACACCGTGGTTCCTCTGCCACCATCTGTCCACCCCTGCCGTGGCCAGGCTCCTGGACTCAGCATAGCACTCCCTGGGCACTGGCTTCCTGGAGCCCTGCACCTCCTTTCCCAGAAGTTCCCACAGCAAGGCAGGGGAAGGAGAGAGGAGAGCGCTCCCATCCCCACCCTTTATGTATCAGAGGCAAAGGTAACCCGCTGGAGTCAAGCAAAGGATTCACAGGAGCCCCGCATCCACTTGGGTGGCCTCCCCTAAGGTATTTTAAATTAAGTAATAGGGCTCAGCCAGTATCTCCTCTCCCAAGACCTCAGCTTGGTGAGATCTGTCCCCTTTCCCTTCTGTTTCAGTTACCTTCTCTTTCCTTCTAGCTTTTTGTTTTTTTTAATATTTTCAGGTACTGAGGAAATTTACCATATTTCAAGTCTCTCTCTCTCTCTATTTTTCCCAGGCTGGCTTTGAACTCCCGGGCTCAAGCCACCCTCCTGTCCCAGCCTCCTGAGTAGTTGGAATTGCAGGCGTGAACCACTAGGAGGCTCAGGAGTCTTTTTCTTTTTCTTTTCTTTTTTTTTTTTTTTTTGAGACGGCGTCTCGCTCTGTCACCCAGGCTGGAGGCTGGAGTGCAATGATGTGATGTCTGCTCACTGCAATCTCCACCTCCCGGGTTCAAGCGCTTCTCCTGCCTCAGCCTCCCAAGTAGCTGGGACTGCAGGCACCCGCCAGCATGCCCAACTAATTTTTATATTTTTAGTAGAGACGGGGTTTCACCATGTTGGCCAGGATGGTCTCGATCTCCTGACCTCGTGATCCGCCCGCCTCGGCCTCCCAAAGTGCTGGGATTACAGGCGTGAGCCATCGCGCCCGGCCAGGAGTCTTTTTCATTGCTAGCTCTGGATTTGCATTTGGATTTGGCACTATGTAGTCTGGGATGCTGAAGAATTTCAATTTCTCCATCTTCCCCACTCTGCACTGCCCCTTCCATGCACCTTTCCACCTAGAGATTTTCTAGATAGCCCCTTCTCTTAAAATCTTTCTGCTATAAAGACATATTAAAAATGGATGAATCAACAGGTGGGCGCGGTGGCTCACGCCTGTAATCCCAGCACTTTGGGAGGTCGAGGTGGGCAGATCACCTGAGGTCAGGAGTTCAAGACCAGCCTGAACAACAAGGAGAAACCCTGTCTCTACTAAAAATACAAAAAAAAAAAAAAAAAATTAGCCAGGTGTGGTGGCGCATGCCTGTAATCCCAGCTACTCAAGAGGCTGAGGCAGGAGAATCTCTTGAACCTGGGAGGCAGAGGTTGCAGTGAGCCGAGATCACACCATGGCACTCCAGCCTTGGCAACAAGAGCGAAACTCCATATCAGAAAAAAAAAAAAAAAAAAAAAAAAGAAAGGATGAATCAAGAGGCTGAGAGGAGAGGATCGCTTGAGCCCAGGAGTTCAAGGTTACAGTGATCTGTGATCATGCTACTACTGCACTCCAGCTTGGAAGACGGCAAGAAGCAAGACCCTATTTTAAAAAAAAAAATGGGTAAATGGGTGACTGGGTATGAGGCAGGTCCACCATCCCCCCAAACTATACACAACTCTTCCATTGCCATCTCCCCAATGGTAAGTGTTCGCTCCACTTCCTTTAGGTTTTTTGTTTGTTTATTTGTTTTTTGAGATGAAATTTTGCTCTTGTTGCCCAGGCTGGAGTGCAGTGGCACAATCTCTGCTCACTGCAACCTCCACTTCCCAGGTTCAAGCAATTCTTCTGCCTCAGCCTCCCAAGCCTCCCAGCCACCCAAGTAGCTGGGATGAGCATGTGCCACCAAGCCCAGCAAATTTTTGTATTTTTAGTAGAGACGGGGTTTCACCATGTTGGCCAGGCTGGTCTCAAACTCCTGACCTCAGATGATCCACCCGCCTCGGCCTCCCAGAATGCTGGGATTACAGGTGTGAGTCACCGTGTCCGGACTTCCTTAAGGATTTCATTCATTAACTTTTAAAAACTAGAAGGCGTTGAGTTGAGGAATTCATGCGTTCATTTTTGAGCGTGTGTGGTGGCAGGCCTGGTGTTTCAAAGCCTCTGAAGTCTCTTAGGCGGTTCCACCAGAGGCTTCCCTCTTCCTCTTCCCTTCTCCCTGCCCTCACTCAAGACTTGCAAGGCTTCCTTTTTCCAGCCCCTGCTCTCTCAATCTCTAAACCAGTTCCTCTCAGATTGCGTACGGGGAGGGGGGCGCTGGAAAATAAAGCCCCAGGGTTCAAGTGGAGAGGCAGGAAGATGTGACACCTTATCAGGGACTATCAGGACCTGATTCTTGAGCTATCATGCTTCCTCCTCTGAAACAATGGGACAAAGGGGGAAAAATTATCATGGAAAATGCCTCCAGGGCTATGCCCTGGCAGGTCTCTGAACAGCTCTATATTTCGAGAGAACACTTTATAGTCACTGGTATGAACAATCCCTCTGGGAGGCTGAGCTGGGGGCTGGGAGTTAGGAAGGTTGCAGGGGAATTCAGAACCTAAAATTATCCCCAAGGAAAAAGAACCAGCCTCGTCTCCCAGGGACCCAGCTGCTCACCCATGAGCAGGGTTTGTCTTGGGCTCCCAAGCAAGTGACTTCTATGCCCATGAAGAACCCCAAGCAGGCCTTTGGATCCATGGAAATCCATGGGGGTGAAAGTGAAGAGGCAGCCTCTGGCCCCTTCCACCTCTTACTGCCCCCACTCAAGTCATGACAGAGTGGTGCAGGCCCCACTGGGCACAGAGTCTTGGCTGTGGCTTCCTGTTGACCAGCAAGGCAGTCACTCCCAAGTAGGGTTTTGCAGCACCCCAGAGTGTTGTTGCCAGTTATCTCAAAGGGATATCATAAGATTCCCAAAAAGTAATCTCCAAAATCAATGCATGCCATTCAGCAATTTTTTTCCAGGACATCAGCATTGGAGGGGGAAGGGAAAGGGGTGCCGGAAAGTGAAGCAACCTCAATGATGTCAATGCCTTAGGGGTGACCTTGTAATTTGGAAGAAGTGTGTAAAAATGTTTAACATTTTCAAAAAAGACAGGATTTCTCAAACCACCTGAGTGTGCCTGAGTTTGGGGAATGATTAGGCCAATAACCAAACGACACTGTAAGAAGAGAAATTTCTGACTCCGGTTAGGGATGGTTTTATGAGCAAATCCATCAATGTTGAGACACTTGGCTTCTTCCTCCTCTGCCAACTCATCCCTGCTCTCATTCCTCAGTCTGGTTTTCCCCCGCCCAAGCAGATGGCAGGGGGAAGGGCTCCCTCTTTTGCCACCTTAGTCTATAGACTATTGGGTCTCTTTTGTGATTTTGTGTTTTATAACTTAATATTTTGAATAGATTATACGTGCACATTATTCAACCATCAAAATATAACAAATGCATATAATAGAGACTTGCCTTCATCCCAGTTTTCATCTCCCTAGCAGGTAACTACCATTAGTCTCTGGTTTATCCCTCGGCTCATATTTTATATAGATACAAGTCAATACAAATATATATATTCTTTTATCCTTTCTTTTCTATACAAATAGCAGTCATATATACCCACTGTTCTGCACCTTGCTTATTTTAATTTGACTATGTATCTGTGATCCTTCCAGATAGATATACAAAAGTGTCTCATTTTCTTTTTCTTTCTTTCTTTCTTTTTTTTTTTTGAGACAGAGTCTTTGTCACCCAGGCTGGAGTGCAGTGGTGCGATCTCGATTCACTGCAACCTCCACTTCCCAGGTTCAAGCGATTCTCCTGCCTCAGCCTCCCAAGTAGCTGGGACTACAGGCGCGTGCCACCACACCCGGCTAATTTTCGTAGTTTTAGTAGAGACGGGGTTTTGCAATGTTGGCCAGGCTGGTCTCAAACTCCTGACCTCTGATGATCCACCCACCTGGGCCTCCCAAAGTGCTAGGATTACAGGTATGAGCCACCGTGCGCAGCCAAAAGCATCTCATTTTCAGTATCCCATTGTATGGTTATATGATTGTCTATGAAACCAGTCTGCTACTGATAGACATCGAGCTTACTTCTTATCTTTACTAACAGATGATGTTGCAATGAATAACTTAAACACATGTCATTTCACCTGTATGTGAGTATATTCTACAAATAGATTTTGCTATGTTATAAGGTCTATGCATTTGCAAATTTGAAAGATACTGCCAAATGGTCTTCCCTGGGGATGTACCCAATTATACTCTCACCTTCATTTTTGATGGTCAGCAGAGGGGTGGAGACAGCTGGCCTACTGTTCTGGGAAGTCGTCCTAATGACTGGCCCGAGGGGAATTAGTACTGCCTGGGCCGGAGAGGTCATCCAACTCGGGATAGAAGTGTACATTGCCCAGAGAGAGCACTGCGCTGGCCCTCAGCCCCCAGATGACCTTTGTTCTGTGCCCTTGGAAGCAGGCAGCGTCTGTGGGCCTCTGAATGCACTGAGTTCAGGCCCTCAGGCTGCTGTTTACATGTTGGTGCTCGGGGGTTATGTGCCAGGGAGAATAGCTCTGTGATTTAGAATATGTGTCTGGCAGAGCCAGAAGTGGCAGCAGCCGCCTGATGAGCAGAAGTTCTAACAGCAGGGAAGAGTACTCTCTCCTGTGAACATCATGATTGGGTGCATGTATATGTGTGTCTGTATATGTTCATGTGAGGTGGACTAAAGAAGCCAAAAAGAGTTCAGGTGATCGCAGCCTTATACCCTGTCTAAGACTACATGCGTAACAGGCAGTTCTATTCTAACATTCATAATCCACCCTTCTGGCTTTAAAGTTCTTGGAATGGAGCAAAAACTAGGTGGAAGTTTTTGCTACCCCTTTACCCTGTCTCTCCTCTCCATTGCCCACAGCAACCATCCATTCATTTTTATGAAATCATGCGTGTATATGTGGCCTCTGAGCAGCTGGTTTGGTGTTTGCTGTTTCTTCTTTCGTCACAAATAGTCTAGGGGCATAGGGTGGAGGTGGCAGAGCATAAGCGCTAAAAACAGTCTTAACGGTCAAATCCAGCACCAACACTTTACAGAATTGAAAACCTGAGGCCCAGGCTGGGTGCGGTGGCTCACGCCTGTAATCCCAGCACTTTGGGAGGCCGAGGCAGGAAGATCACTTGAAGTCAGGAGTTCGAGACCAGCTTGGCCAACATGGTGAAACCCTGTCTCTACAAAACTACAAATATTAGCCAGGCGTGGTGGTGGGCGCCTATAATCCCAGCTACTCAGGATGTGGAGGCTTGAGAATCGCTTGAATCCAGGAGGCGGAGGATGCAGTGAGCCTAGATCAGGCCACTGCACTCCAGCCTAGGTGGCAGAGCGAGACTCTGACTCAAAAAATAAATAAATAAATAAAATAAAAAATAAAGAAAAGAAAACCTGAGGCCCAGAGAGGAAATGGAGGCTTGTCCATTATAACACAGTAAAGGTTTGTTTCTTTTTTTTTTTTTTTCATCTTGTGGAAAGTGTGCAGTAAAGGTTCATTTCTAACAGGTACACAGGCATCCAAGGAGTTGGTCCCTTTTCCAAAACAACTTCCTTCACTCCCAGCCAGGCTGTGGCTGGTGCCACCTGCCAGTCTGCCTTCTCCAGGCCCCCACCATGGCAATGGCCCACCATCTAACCAGAAGGCAGAGAGATAAAAACTATCAGAACTGAAAAGAAGCCCCTAAGCTAAGACTTTTCTTGTATTCTGTAATGTGGCACAGCCAACTCTGCACACACCTGATTTGTTTCCCAAGGTCAGATCCAGAGGACTTGAAGGGGAGACAGAAGGGATCTCCTTTATGCGGAAACCAAAGGCATTCTGGTGCCTAAGGACTGGCCTGGAATGAAAGCCTTATGCCTGGGGAGACAGGGGTGGACAGGGAGTGTGTTCTAGCAGTGCCTTCTCTTTTAGCTCCTGGTCATAAATGGAAGAAGGGACCAAGAAATGCTTCTTTCTCTCCTGAGGTAGGAAGAGAAATCCTTCTTCCAGTTTCTGAATAATCATTGAACTTTTGCAAGTGGCACGAAGGAAGGAAGGAAGAAAGGAAGGAAGGAAGGAAGGAAGGAAGGAAGGAAGGAAGGAAGGAAGGAAGGAAGGAAGGAAGGAAGGTCATTGAGATCCCTGACTATTGGAGAAGCTGCTCCCCAGAGGCTGGGAGAGGTCACGAGTCCCACCTACAACCCAGGCCCAAATGCTTAGGCTTCCTTCCAGGAGGTAAGAGAGGGATCAAGCCAGAGGGGGAAAGAGAAAGCAGTGACGCAGGATTTTTTTTTTTTTTTCTTTGAGACAGAGTTTCACTCTCGTTGCCCAGGCTGGAGTGCAATGGTGCCATCTCGGCTCACTGCAACCTCCGCCTCCCAGGTTCAAGCGATTCTCCTGCCTCAGCCTCCTGAGTAGCTGGGATTACAGGTCCGTGCCACCACGCCCGGCTAATTTTTGTATTTTTAGTAGAGATGGGGTTTCACTTTGTTGACCAGGCTGGTCTTGAGCTCCTGACCTCAGGTGATCCACCTGCCTCGGCCTCCCAAAGTGCTGGGATTACAGGCGTGAGCCACCATACCCAGCCGATGCAGGATTTTTCTCGGCCACTTTGCCAACCAGGGAGACCTCCAGGCTGGCAACAACCCCCCTTCCCACCACTGCCCCCTGTGTTATAGATTGCACTTGCAATCAGCGGTTCCCAAGCTCCTGTCCTGCATCCAAGAAGAATGAGGTTATGCTGACAATTAGAAGGGTGAGGATGGGTGGAGAAGGATTTTGTTGAGCAATGGAACAGCTCTCAGTGGAGAGGGGATGTTGGGAGTGGGGCTCGTTCTCAACCCCTGCAGTCAGGTGGTTTCTGTCTCAGTGTGGCTGAGTCTGGGGCTTTTATGGACTCAAAATGGGGATTGCGTGCTGATTGGTTTGTGAGTATGCAATAAAGGTTAAAGCGAAGACACCACTCAAAGGTGGGGCATGGACAGTGTAGAAAACCAATTAGGAAAGGGTAGGTGAATGTAAAATAGGTGAAGGGTGGGGATTAATAAGAGGAAAGCACACCAAGACAGGTTCTCAATCCGGTCCGTGGATTTGACTTGTAGCTTGGCTTTCAGGCTTTAAAATATCTTCGGCTTGGAGGTGTGGTTTCACCAGGGACCTGCCCCTATCTGCCTAGGCATTTGTCTGCCTCCTGCCACTATTAGCAGGAGGGGTTGCCCACCAACCCAGTGGTAAGTTTCTAGCATCGCCTTTCAAGTCACCCCTAGATGCTGCTTTGGCTGGCTTCTTTGCATCCACCCAAGCTGGAGTGCAGTGGCATGATCTCGGCTCCCTGCAACCTCTGCCTCCCAGGTTCAAAAATTCCCCTGCCTCAGCCTCCCGAGTAGCTGGGACTACAGGCGCACATCACCATGCCCAGCTAATATTTGTATTTTTAGTAGACGCAGGGTTTCACCATGTTGGCCAGGCTGGTCTCGAACTGCTGACCACAAGTGATCTGCCCACCTCAGCCTCCCAAAGTGTATTTATTTATTTTATAGACAAGGTATTACTCTGTCACCCAGGCTGGAGTACAGTGGTTCAATCAGAGTTCACTGCAGCCTTGAACTCCCAGGCTCAAGTGATCCTCCCTCCTCAGCCTCCTAAGTAGCTGGGGCTATAGGTACCCCCCACCATGCTTACTATTTTCTTTGATGTTTTGTAGAGCTGGAGTCTCACTCTCTTGCCCAGGCTGGTCTTGAACTCCTGGCATCAAGTGATCTTCCCACCTCAGCTTCCCAAAGTGCTGAGATTACAGGTGAGAGCCACCCACTTTCTTTGATGGAAGGAGGCAGCACAGAGGAGGGCAGATCCTCCATGCTGCTTGGTCCATGCTCTCCTCTCCCTTCCTTCCCTAGGAGGGAAAGCTCAGACAAGGCTGGAACCTTTCTGCCTCCCAAAGAAGCTGGTACTAGAGCTAAAACACTCTCTGATCCCTTCCCTCCTACCAACCACATCTTTCCCCTGGGAAGCAAGTGCTGGGGAAAGAGCAGCTGGTGCTGGGAGGGAAAGAAGACAGGACACTGAGGATGGCTCCTCCCCAGTGGGGAAGCCAGTGCTGGGTTTTATCAAATGCCTTTAATTAAGAAAGGAGTGAGGAGCTTTCCTGGCTGCAAAGAGGAGGGAAGCGGAGCCCCCCATGCCCTGGCACATGGCTGAGGGCCCCTCAAGAAAGCATCAAGAGAATGGTCAGGATCCAGATGCCAGTGGGAGAGGGTGTGGTGGGAGAAAAGAGAAGTGTTTCCTGTTTTTGAAGAAGTCATGGATGGGAAAAATGCTACTTTTTTTTTTTCAGTCCCAAGAGGTGGCAGGGCATCTTGCTTTCCAGTCAGGATCGGATTCTCTTCCCCGCCATGATAAATTGAAAATGGGCTGGCCGGGTGTGGTGGCTCACGCCTATAATCCCAGCAGTTTGGGAGGCCAAGGCGGAGGATCACAAGGTCAGGAGTTTGAGACCAGCCTGGTCAACATAGTGAAACTCCGTCTCTACTAAAAATACAGAAAAAATTAGCCAGGCAGAAGAATCGCTGGAACCCAGGAAGCGGAGCTTGCAGTGAGCCGAGATTGTGCCACTGCACTCCAGCCTGGGCAACAGTGTGAGACTCCATCTCAAAAAAGAAGAAAAGAAAAGAAAAGGAAAAAGAAAAGAAAATGGGCCAGGCATGGTGGCTCACACCTGCAATCTTAGCACTTTGGGAGGCCAAGGAGAGAAGATCACTTGAGGCCAGGAGTTTGAGACCAGCCTGGACAACATAGCAAGACCCCACCTCTGCAAAAAAATATAAAATAAATAGCCAGGCACGGTGGCATGCACCTGTAATCCTAGCTACCTGGGAGGCTGAGATGGGATGATTGCTTGGGCCCAGGAGTTGTAGGTTACAGTGAGCTATGATGGCACTGCTGCACTCCAGCTTGGGCAGAAGAGTGAGACCCTGTCTCTAAAATAAATCAATAAATAGGAGGGGAGGAAGAGAAGCCACTCAGCCTAAGTCATCACAGGACAACCTGGCTGGTAGGGCTGCAGCACCCTGGGGCATCCAGCCTTTCCTTCACTCCTCACACTTTTTCCAAGCCCCTACTTGTCCTTGGCCAGTCTGCACCTTCAGTGTGCTGATGGAGAGGTGACTAGGACCCGGTCCCTGCCCCTGGGTAGGGAGCTCCCAGCCCCACAGAGAAAGTTTCGTTTTTACTTTGTTCCGCCAAAGGAGTCTTGCCAGTCCTGTGGGAGAGGCAGCTTTCGGCATAGATATTGGTAGGGTGGCTTTATCCCATCACGGAGAGGGGAAGGAAAGCAAGTGAAGGCATCTCCTGGGAAGACAAAGTTTAATACATATTTAATTTAATCCTGACATATTTAATTTTTTTTTTTTTGAGACAGTTTCGTTCCGTTGCCCAGACTGGAGTGCAGTGGTGAGGCCTCAGCACACTGCAGCCTCCACTTCCTGGCTTCAAGCGATTCTCCTGCTTCAGCCTCCTGAGTAGCTGGGATCACAGACGCCCACCAACATGCCTGGCTAATTTTTATATTTTTAGTAGAACCAGGCCAGGCTGGTCTTGAACTCCTGACCTCAAGTGATCTGACTGCCTCGGCCTCCCGAAGTGCTGGGATTACAGGGGTGAGCCACCATGCCCAGCTCACCTGCCCCTCACCAAGAGTCATCACATCCATATACATAGTCATGTACACCCAGTGGGTGGGTCCCCCCACTCACAGATGCAAGCCCACACCTCCACGTGAAAGCCCAGAGACTGTACTCCACATGGGAATAAGCTGGGAATGAAGCGCCAGACCCCATGGCTGCAGAAAGCTCCAACCCTGGTGCAGAAGCGGAACCAGGTCAAGGGCCGGCACACTTGGCTGCATCTGTCACCACTCATCTCTGAGCCCTGGTGCTAGTGGCACAAACCTTTAGGTCCCCAGTCTGTTGTGGGAAAGTCCTTTGAAAGCATGAAAGGCAGAGCAACATAAATTAAACCCAGCAGCACAACCCCTGCTTGCTCAGAGGGAACAAGTCTCTGGATAGCAAGCTCTTCAAGTCTCAATGTCATTAAACAAGGACTGAGAAAGAATGCCTGCCCTGATGCGTCAATTACCCATCCATCAGTCAGCAAGTACGGGACACAGCTATGTGCTAGGCACCAGGCTAGGGCCAGGTGCTGGAACATACCAAGAGGTGTCAGACACAATGGCCACCTTCAGATTCCACTCTAGAGGGAGAGGCTTAAACATAAGAAGTAACTGCCAAATGACTAGGGTAGAGGAGGGAAGTGAGTGCCAGTGAAGGTGGGATGCCAGCGAAAGAGAAACCACTCCCAGAGGGCATGGTCAGAAAAGACTTCACGAAGAGGAGGAATTGGAGTTGAATGTTAACAAACGATTGGGGCTGGGCATTGTGGCTCGCATCTGTAATCCCAGCACTTTGGGAGGCTGAGGTAGGCAGATCACTTGAGGTCAGGAGTGCGAGACCAGCCTGGCCAACATGGTGAAACACCATCTCTACTAAAATTACAAACATTACCAGGCGTGGTGGCGCATGCCTGTAATCCCAGCTACTTGGGAGGCTGAGGCAGGAGAATCGCTTGAACCTGCCAGGCGGAGGATGAAGTGAGCCGAGATCATGCCACTGCACTCCAGCCTGGGTGACAGAGCAAGACTCTGTCTCAAAAATAAAACAAAACAAAAAAACAAATGATTAGGATGTGGAAAGGCACAGGAAAGGGAAATTGGCATCCAGATGGTGGGACTCGCATACACAAAAGTGCAGAGGTTCCAGGCCAGGCGCAGTAGCTCACATTTGTAATCCCAGCACTTTGGGAAGCCAAGGTGGGCAGATCACCTGAGGTCAGGTGTTCAAGACCAGCCTGGCCAACGTGGTGAAACCACATCTCTACTAAAAATACAAAAATTAGCCAGGCATGGTGGCGCATGCCTGTAGTCCCAGCTACTCTGGAGGCTGAGGCAAGAGAATAGCTTGAATCCAGGAGGTTGCAGTGAGCCGAGATCACGCCACTGCCCTCCAGCCTGGGCAACAGAGTGAGACTGTCTCAAAAAAAAAAAAAAAAAACAAAAGTGCAGAGGTTCGGGATTGGGGTGGCTTCTTGGAAGAGAGTCCCACTGATTTTTACTCAGTGTTCTCATCCTCCACTCTGGATGCCTGACCTTTATCCATTCACTGCTTGTTGTTTTCAAACTTATAGGCTTTTTTTTTTTAATATGTACAGTGTCTCATTCTGTTGCCCTGGCGGGAGTGCAATGGTGTGATCAAAGCTCACAGCAGCCTCAAACTCCTGGGCTCAAGCGACCCTCCTGCCTCAGCCTCCTAGGTTGCTGGGACTACAAGCACTCACCACCACACCCAGCTAATTAAAAAAAATTTTTTTTTTTTTTGTAGAGATGGGTCTGTCTGTATAGCCCAGGCTGGTCTCAAACTCCTGGCCTCAACCAGTACTCCTGCCTTTGCCTCCCAAAGTGCTGGGACAAACTTACAGACCTGACACTCATTATGTTTTGGTCTTAGCCTCTCATCTTGAATTTGACAGAAGTGACACCTTCCTACAGGTCATATTATCTCCTGAAAAGTTTTCTCATTCCCAAGGCCAGCGATCCCACCACAGGCTTCCTGGAACCACATCCTCTTCCCTACTGAACCTGCCACTAGGACCTGCATCCATCAGCACCTGCCACGTGGTGCCATTTCCACCTGGTACACCAGCATGAGAGGATGCTGTGAGCCTCCTATGGAGATGTTCCCACGGGGGTCTTTTCCTGCTGGAGTTTCCCAGAGGCTGTAGCACACCAGGAAGAAGAATAAATCAAAAAGGAGTGCTGGCCGGGCACGGTGGCTCATGCCTGTAATCCTAGCACCTTCGGAGGCTAAGGTGGGTGGATCACTCGAGGTCAGGAGTTCGAGACCAGCCTGGTCAACATGGTGAAACCCCATCTCTACTAAAAATACAAAAATTAGCTGGGTATGGTGGTGCAGGCCTGTAATCTCAGCTACTTGGGAGGCTGAGGCCAGAGAATTGCAGTGAGCTGAGATCGTGCCACTGCACTCCAGCTTGGGCAACAGAGCGACACTCCATCTCAAAAAAAATAAAAAAAATAAAAAAGAGTACTGCTGGGCGCAGTGGCTCATTCCTGTAATCTCAGCACTTTGCAAGGCCGAGGCAGGCAGATTACGAGGTCAAGAGTTCGAGACCAGCCTGGCCAACATGTTGAAACCCTGTCTCTACTAAAAATACAAAAATTAGCCGGGCATGGTGGCACGTGCCTGTAGTCCCAGCTACTTGGGAGGCTGAGGCAGGAGGATCGCTTGAACCTGGGAAGCAGAGGTTGCAGTGAGCCGAGATCACGCCACTGCACTCCAGCCTGGGCAACAGAGTGAGACTCCATCTCAAAAAAAAAAGGAGTGTTAATGGAACACTGTCCAGCCAGCTGTTGTAGGGACAATGTAGCCTGTGATGTCAGGGATAAGAAGGTCTCCTCCTCCAAGGGAAAAAGATGTTTTCACCTTAAAATTTCATCATTAGGCTGGGAATGGTGGCTCATTCCTATAATCCCCGCACTTTGGGAGGCAGAGGTGGGTGGGTAGATCTCTTGAGGCTGGCATTCCAGACCAGCCTAGGCAACATAGTGAGACCTCATTTCTACAAAAAATAGAAAAAATTAGCCAGGTGTGGTGGTGCACGCCTGCAGTCCTAGCTACTTGGGAGGCTGAGGTGGGAGGACCCCTTGAGCCTGGGAGGTCAAGGTTTGCAGTGAGCTGTAATCACACCACTGTGCTCCAACCTGGGCAGCAGAGTGAAACCCTGTCTCAAAACAAAAAATTAAAAATTAAGATAAAATAAAATAAAAATTCATCATTATAAATTCATGCTTTTTAACTGAAGATATTATCTCGTATTAAAATGGAAAAACTGGCTGGATGCAGCGGCTCATGCCTGTAATCCCAGCACTTTGGGAGTCTGAGGCAGGTGGATCACTTGGGGTCAGGAGTTTGAGACCAGCCTGACCAACATGGTGAAACCCTGTCTCTACTAAAAATACAAAAATTAGCCAGGCATGGTGGCACATGTCTGTGGTCCCAGCTACTCAGGAGGCTGAGGTGGGAAAATCATTTGAACTCAGGAGGCAGAGGCTGCAGTGAGCCTAGATCACACACCACTGCACTCCAGCCCGGGCAACAGAATGAGACTCCATCCCAAAATAAATAAATAAATAGAAAAGACTTCTGGTGACTATAGTCCCAGCTACTCAGGAGGCTGAGATGTACCGAGCAGCAGTGAGCTATGATTGTGCCACTGCACTCCAGCCTGGGCAACAGAGCAAGACCCTGTGTCTAAAAAATAAAATAAATAATTTTTTTTTTGAGGTGGAGTCTCACTCTGTTGCCAAGGCTGGAGTGCAGTGGTGAAATCTAGGCTCACTGCAACCTCCACCTCCCGGGTTCAAGAGATTCTCATGCCTCAGCCTCCTGAGTAGCTGTGATTACAGGCACATGCCACCACACCCAGCTAATTTTTGTATTTTTAGTAGAGTTTGGGTTTCACCATGTTTTTTGTAGAGATGGGGGGTCTCACCATCTAGCCCAGGCTGGTCTTGAACTCCTGACCTCAAGTGATCTGCCCACCTCGGCCTCCCAAACTGCTGGGATTACAGGCGTGAGCCACTGCGCCTGGCCAGAAGAATTTCTTATCATTGTAATGTGTAATTTGATATATCAGTGAGGCCGGACATGGTGTCTCATGCCTATAATCACAGTACTTTGGGAGGGAGAGGTTCTGCCAGCCTGGACAACATAGCAAGACCCTGTCTCTACAAAAAATACAGAAATTAGCCAGGGGTGGTGCTGCAGGTCTGTAGTCCCAGCAATTTGGGAGGCTGAAGCAAGAGGATTGCTTGAGCCCAGGAGTTCAAGTTTGCAGTGAGCTATCATTATACCACTGCACTCCAGCATGGGCAACAGAGCAAGGACCAATCAAAAAAAAAAAGCAAAGACTTCTGAAAGAGAATGCCCCTCAGTCAGCTACAACTTGGGTGACTGACTTTACAAGAACTTTCTTTAAGAAGAGTTTGCCCAAAGGGTAAGGACACTAGATGCTCTCCTGGAGAATGGGAGAAATTTCTTTTTGCACAGCCAAATATGGGTGTATGGGAAAATGGGCACTTTGATAAAGAGGAGAGAGAGTCCCTTTGAGAAGCTCGCCTAGGGTGATGTCTTCTGTGATAAGCAGAACCACTGAAATGCAATGGGTTAAACCAATATCTCTGCATGAAACTTTCAAACAAGGACCATTTTTTTTGTAAAATGAGGGGAAGGAACTTAAGGCTGGGTGTCCTAAAAGTTACACTGACCAGTCATGACTGTGATTGCAGTTTAAAATAATAGACTCTGGAGGGTCAGAGCTGTGAAGTGTTTTGATAGGTGGAGGAGTCAGGGCTCTCCAGAGGAACAGAAACAATAGAACAGAACAAGTGGGGCGGGGTGGCTCGCACCTGTAATCCCACTTTGGGAAGCCAAGGTAGGCGGATCACTTGAGGTCAGGAGTTCAAGACCAGCCTGGGCATCTGTGTATGTGACATTCCAGCCAGTGACAATTATAATGGAGCTGAAAAACTGCTATCGCCTAGTGACATTGTAGTGCAATGGGTGACTCCTGTGTTTGTGGTGATGGTGGTATAAACAAACCTACTGCACTGTCAATCCTATAAAAGTAACGCACCTACAATTATGTACAGTGCATACTTGATAATGATAATAAACAACTATGTTACTAGTTTATGTATTTACTTTTCCTGTTACTGTTATTTGAGAGCCTACTTCTTCTATTTATGGGTATATATATGCATATATAAGATGTGTGTGTGTGTGTGTGTGTGTATACATATATATATATTTTTTTTTTTTGAAAAGAAGTTTTGTTCTTGTTGCCCAGGCTGGAGTGCAATGGTGCGATCTCGGGTCACTGCAACCTCCATCTCCCGGGTTCAAGTGATTCACCCGTCTCCGTCTCCTGAGTAGCTGGGATTACAGGCATGCGCCACCACGCTTGGCTAATTTTTTTTGTATTTTTAGTAGAGACGGGGTTTCACCATGTTGGTCAGGCTGGTCTTGAACTCCTTACCTCAGGTGATCCACCCACCTCAGCCTCCCAAAGTGCCCGGATTACAGGTGTGAGCCACTGTGCCCAGCCACATTTTTTTTTTTTTTTTTGAGACAGAGTCTCACTGTGTCGCCCAGGCTGGAGTGCAGTGACAGGATCTCGGCTCACTGCAGCCTCTGCCTCCCAGGTTCAAGCAATTCTCCTGCCTCAGCCTCCTGAGTAACCAGGATTACAGACATGCACCACCATGCTTGACTAATTTTTGTATTTTTAGTAGAGACAGAGTTTCACCATGTTGGCCAGGCTGGTCTTGAACTCCTGACCTCAAGTGATCTGCCTGTCTTGGCCTCCCAAAGTGCTGGGATTACAGGTGTGAGCTACCCCGCCTGGCCTACTTATGTATATTTTAAAAGTTAACTATAAAACAGCCTGAGGCAGGTCCTTCAGGAGGTATTCCAGAAGAAGGCATTGCTATCACAGGAGACGGTAGCTCCATGCGTGTTATCGCTCCTAAAGACCTTCCAGTAGGACAAGATGTGGAGGTGGAAGACAGTGATATTGAGGATCCTGACCCTGGGTAGGCCTAGGCTAATGTGTGTGTTTGTGTCTTAGATTTAACAAAAAAGTTAAAAAACTTAAAAATAAAGGCTAGGCGCGATGGCTCACGCCTATAATCCCAGCACTTTGGGAGGCTGAGGCGGGTGGATTGCCTGAGCTCAGGAGTTCAAGACCAGCCTGGTCGACATGGTGAAACCCCATCTCTACTAAAATACAAAAAAATTAGCCGGGCGTGGCAGCGTGCATCTGTAATCCCAGCTACTTGTGAGGCTGAGGCAGGAGAATTGCTTGAACCCGGGAGGAGGAGGTTGTAGTGAGCCATGATGGTGCCACTGCACTCCAGCCTGGGAGACAGAGCAAGACTCCGTCTCCAAAAATAAATAAATAACTAAATAATAAAATAAAATATTTAAAAATAGAAAAAGCTGATAGAATAAAGATATAAAGAAAGAAAATAATTTTGTACAGCTGTACAGTGGGTTTGTGTTTTAAGCTAAGTATTATTACAAAAGAGTCAACATTTAAAAAAATTTTAAAGCTTATAAAGTCTTTCGGTTTTCAGCTTGGAGGAGGATGTGGGGCAACTTTCTTCTGCTGTCCCAAATCCAGGTTCATCTGACACCAGCTGCCTAAGTTCAACCCCAGTGAGATCAAATTCATACACCTGGGGTGTACTGGGGGTGAAGTCAGTGCCACATCTGCACTGGCTCCCAAGATCAGCCCCCTAGGTCTGTCTCTAAAAGTTGATGATGACATTGCCAAGGCAATCAGTGACTGGAAGCGTATGAGGATTACAGTGAAACTGACCAGAACAGACAGGCCCAGATTGAGGGGGTACCTTCTGCCTCTGCTCTCATCATCAAAGCCCTCGACAAACTGCCAAAAGGCAGAAAGAAACAGAAAAACATTAAACACAGCGGAAATAACACTTTTGTTGTTGAGATGGAGTCTCACTCTGTAGCCCAAGCTGGAGTGCAGTGCGGCAATCTCAGCTCACAGCAACCTCTGCCTCCCGGGCTCAAGTGATTCTCGTGCCTCAGCCTCCCTAGTAGCTGGGACTACAGGTGCGCCCCACTGCGCCTGGCTAATTTCTTTTATTTTTTAAAGTATAGATGGGGTTTCACCATGTTGCCCAAGGTGGTCACGAACTCCTGAGCCTGAGCTCAGGCAACTGACCCACCTCGGCCTCCCAAAGTGCTGGGATTACAGGCGTGAGCCGCCACACCCTGCCTGGAAATAACACTTTTGGATTGTCAAGGTTGCCCAGGCATCAATCTTTAGCCAGCATACTCTCTGGAACCGTTGAAGAGATTTTGGGGCCTGCCCAGTCTGTGGCTGCAATGTTGATGGCCGCCACCCTCATGACATCATAGATGACTTTTAACGGTAGTGCGGAGGAATGCTCAGCTAGTTAAGAACCACAAAGGACAATATTTTAATAAAGGATCATTTGACAACCAAAAAAAAGTTTATAAAGTAAAAAAGTTACATTAAGCTAAATTTAATTTACTGAAGAAAGAAAAACATCTTTAATAAATTCAGTGTAGCCTAAGTGTTCAGTGTTTATAAAGTCTACAATAGTGTAATGTCCTCAGCCTTCATTCACTCACCACTCACTGACTCACCCAGAGAAACTTCCAGTCCTGAAACCTCCATTTATGCTAAGTGCCCTATACAGGTGTACCATCTTTTAATCATTTATACCATATTTTTACTGTACCTTTTATAGGTTTCGATGTGTTCCTTTTTAAGATTTATTTGGGGACAGGTGCAGTGGCTCACACCTGTAATCCCAGCACTTTGGGAGGCTGAGGAGGGCAGATCATCTGAGGTCAGGAGTTTGAGACCAGCCTGGCCAACATGGCGAAATCCCGTTTCTACTAAAAATGCAAAAATTAGCCAGGTGTGGTGGGGCGCACCTGTAATCGTAGCTACTCAGGAGGCTGAGACAGGAGAATCACTTGAACCCAGGAGGTGGAGGTTGCAGTGAGCCGAGATCGTGCCACTGCACTCCAGCCTGGGTGACAGAGCAAGACTGTCTCAAAAAAAAAAAAAAATTATTTGGGCCTGGCACAGTGGCTTACGCCTGTAATCCTAGCACTTTGGGAGGCCAAGGGGTGAATCACGAGGTCAGGAGTTCGAGACTAGCCTGGCCAACATGGTGAAACCCCATCTCTACTAAAAATACAAAAAAAAAAAAAAATTAGCCGGGCATGGTGTTGGGCGCATGTAATCCCAGCTACTTGGGAGGCTGAGGCAGGAGAATCACTTGAACCCAGGAGGCAGAGGTTGCAGTGAGCTGAGATTGTGCCATTGCACTCCAGCCTGGGCAACAAGAGTGAAGCTCTGTCTCAAAAAAAAAAATAAAAATAAATAAGTAAATAAATAAACAAATGAATTAATTTTTAAAAGCTTGGAGGTTCCCAAGTTGGATCTGAATCCGTGGGACCAACCTGATAATTCAACCAGTGTAGTTTACAGAATGCTAAACTTTGTACAGCCACATTGGAGTTTATGTGCCCATCTCATTGTAGGCCAATGTGGGGGCCTGTCTGGAGTTAACCAGTCTTGCCTGGGAACTAGATCTATTGGAGGCTTCCTGGGGAGTCTTTGGGTTCTCGCCTAATGAGTCAAGGGTGCCCAGGTTCCTCAGGGTCACTGCGACCCAGACCTCTGAGAGGCCCACTAGGTCTGAACAGTCTATCCGAAGTCCTGGAGACAGTCAGAGTTGCCCCACCTGTTGTCTGCATCGCAAGCCGACTAGAATTAGTCTAGTCCTAGCAATGCAGCAACTCAAATGGACAGTTGCTGTTTCCTGGTGTGCTTCCAAACCCCCTTCCTACTTGTACACCTTCCCCCATTTTCCTCAGAGTCTTAAGTACATTAAAAAAAAAAAAAAAAAAAGAGGGCAAGAAAGAGAAACTTCCCTCCTGAAAGCTCTACTGCCTGTCCCCACTGCTTCTCATATTTTACACTGGCAGATGGCTGTACCCAGCCCCTCCACTCCTGGGGAGGTCTTCTCCAGGGCACGCCCCTCCACTAACCCAAAGGTGAAGGGTGACTGTCCTGAGAGGAAGGGGTGGTAAAGGGAGGTGTGAGGCTGCAAGAGAGCTGGCAGGCTGGGGATGGAGGGGTGGCTCCCCGGATGCCTGCAGCTGCTCAGATGTTTATTGGGAGCCTTCTCTAGGCTGCCCAGAGGGTTGGGGACATGCCCTTGAGGCACAGACCCGGAACCTTGTAGGGCAACAGGAGTGAGGGCCTTGAAGAGATGGCCCTTTCAGCCCCATGCTGTGCTGGGGCCTCGGCAGCAACTATATCTGCCCAAGTCTTACTTGGCCAATGATGCATCGTTAATGTTTTGTTTTTATTTTTTGTAGAGATCGGGTCTGGCTATGTTGCCCAGGCTGATCTCAAACTCCTGGGCACAAGTGATCCTCCCACTTCAGCCTCCCGAAGTGCTGGAATTACAGGCTGAGCCACCTGGCCCAGGGACTTTTGCCCCACTTTGGGCTCTCTTCTTACTTGTCTTATTTGCTTGGTTTGGTTTATCTTACTTTCCACTCACACGCCTGGGCTCACATCTGTCCCGGATTAGAAAGTGATTCCAATGTCGATGTCCTGATGCCATTTGAGATCAAAGGCAGCAGCCCCAGGAGCCAAGAAGGCATTCCAGGATGGTGTGGTGGGGAAGAAGGAGACCCAGGCTTGCAGGAAGAAGGGAAAGTCCTCAACCACCATCCATGACCACCAGGGAAATACAGTGAGGCCCATGGAGTGGGAGAGCCCTGTACCCCACAGGCTAGGGGGTTATCTTTTTAGCCACTTGTATTGTCTGGGGTCCTCTCAAGGCTGCAGGAAGGAAATCCCTCCAATGTAAACTTACCATGACCTCTTCCACCTCCCTGATGTAAAAATGAAATGCTCCCTACACAAATGTCTCCAGCCTGGACCAAAGGGTCACTGGTGCCTGCCTTTCATTCATTCCAGACACTGTTCCCATTTCTCCTGACCCCACCTAAGCCCCTCACCCTTTTTATCTTTTCTATTTTTTTCTTTTCTTTCTTTCTTTTTTTTTTTTTTGAGACAGAGTCTCGCTCTGTTGCCTAGGCTAGAATGCAGTGGTGCAGTCGCACAATCTTGGCTCACTGCAGCCTCCGCCAACCACGTTCAAGCAATTCTCATGCCTCAGCCACCTCAGTAGCCGGGATTACAGGCGTGCAACACCACGCCCAGCTAATTTTTGTATTTTTAGTAGAGATGGAGTTTCATCATGTTGGCCAGGCTGATCTCGAACTCCTGACCTCAGGTGATCCGCCCGCCTCGGCCTCCCAAAGTGCTGAAATTACAGGCGTGAGCCACCGCACCTGGCCACGCTTCACCTTTTAATGAGTCATGGGGTACTGGAAGAGGAAAGGCCCACAGGATGAGGGTCTGGTTGCCTCACTGATTCCAAACCAGAGCTTGGCTGGGGAAGGAGGGCCAGCCTGATTTCACCTTTGTGTGGGATTCGTCTAGGTAGTCCCAATTTCAGTCTTGCTTCTTCATGTATTTTTTTTTTTTTTTTGAGATGGAGTTTCACTGTTGTCGCCCATCACCCAGGCTGGAGTGCAATGGCATGATCTCGGCTCACTGCAACCCCCACCTCCCGGTCCAAGTGATTCTCCTGCCTCAGCCTCCTGAGTAGCTGGGATTACAGGCACCCGCCACCATGACTGGCTAATTTTTGTATTTTAAGTAGAGACAGGGTTTCGTCATGTTGGCCAGGCTAGTCTCAAACTCCTGACCTCAGGTGATCTGCCTGCCTCGACCTCCCAAAGCACTGGAATTACAGGCATCAGCCACCATGCCTGGCCCTCCTTTCCCCTATTAAAATGAGAGTTCTTCCCATTATCATTCCATTGGGAAAAAAATGAGAGTTCACAGGGGGCAAAAGAGAAAATAATGTAGTCTAGGCTGGGCTGGGTCCATTGTCACACTGCTATAAAGACATACCAGAGACTGGGTAATTTATAAAGAAAACAGGTATAATCAGCTCATGGTTCTGCAAGCTATACAGGCTTCAGCTTCTGGGGAGGTCTCAGGAAACTTACAATCATGGCAGAAGTCAAAAAGGAAGCAAGCACCATCCTCACACAGCAGAGCAGGAGAGAGTGAGAGTGAAGAGGAGAGGCTACACATTTTCAAACAACCAGATCTCATGAGAACTCTGTGACAAGAACAGCAAGGGGGAAGTCTGCCCCTGTGATCCAGTCACCTCCCACAAGGCCCCTCCTCCAACACTGGGAATTACAATTCGACATGACACTTGGGTGGGGATACAGGGCCAAACCATATCAGCCTAGCACACAACTATAAACCAGGAAACAGGCTGGGCGTGGTGGCTCATCCCTGTAATCCCAGCACTTTGGGAAGCTAAGGGGGGCGGATCACTTGAGGTCAGGAGTTCAAGACCAGCCTGGCCAACACGGTGAAATCCCGTCTCTACTAAAAATTTAAAAATTAGCCAGACATGGTGGCAGGTGCCTGTAATTCCAGCTACTTGGGAGGCTGAGGCAGGAGAATTGCTTGAACCCAGGAGGCAGAGGTTGCAGTGAGCCGAGATCACACTGTTGCACTCCAGCCTAGGCAACAGACTGAGACTCCTTCTCAAAATAAATAAATATATAAACAAACAAACAAACAAACCAGGAACCTGATGCTCTTCTGCCTTCAAATTTCGGGTGCACGTGGGGAAAGAAGTAGAACATTCAACTCACCCATGAGACAACCTCAAGAAACCAGCAGCATTTTAGAATCTCTCTTCCAGGCATGGTGGACTCTTCTCACTAAAGTTCCAGCTACTCTCAAAGGAGCTTAAAGAGATGGGAATTTTCTCAGGGAAACCAAGCTTCCTGTACGCCCACAGCCTTCCAGTGACCATGTGACCATTGATGCTTCAGCTATCAGATGAAAGCAAGCCCCTGGGATTCTGTCTCCACTATCTCAGAGGAGGGCTGGCCAGAGTTTGATCTCCCTTTTTCTTTCATCCTGTTCTTCTACAGTATCTATTTTATCTTAATAAGAGGTAGAGTAATTCCTCCCACTTTCATCTTTCTTTTTTTCCCAAGATTATTTTCCTGTTCCTAGAGTCTATATTTTCCCATGTACATTTTAGAATAAACTTGTCTATGTCTACAAAATACTTTGCTGGGATTTTAATAGTAATTACACTTCTAAAAAAAATTATTTTTGGCTGGGCTCAGTGGCTCACGCCTGGAATCCTAACACTTTGAGAGGCCAAGGCGGGTGGATCACCTGAGGTCAGGAGTTCAAGACCAGCCTGGCTAACATGGCAAAACCCTGTCTCTACTAAAAATACAAAAGTTAGCCAGGTGTGGTGGCACCCACCTGTAATCTCAGCTACTTGGCAGGAGAGTCACTTGAACCTGGGAGGTGGAGGTTGCAGTGAGCCGAGATCTCATCACTGTGCTCCAGCCTGGGTGACAGAATGAGACTCTGTCTCAAAATAAAGAAATAAATAAGGCCGGGCGCGGTGGCTCACGCCTGTAATCCCAGCACTTTGGGAGGCCGAGGCGGGCGGATCACGAGGTCAGGAGATCGAGACCATCCCGGCTAAAACGGTGAAACCCCGTCTCTACTAAAAATACAAAAAATTAGCCGGGCATAGTGGCGGGCGCCTGTAGTCCCAGCTACTTGGGAGGCTGAGGCAGGAGAATGGCGTGAACCCGGGAGGCGGAGCTTGCAGTGAGCCGAGATCCCGCCACTGCACTCCAGCCTGGGCGACAGAGCGAGACTCCGTCTCAAAAAAAAAAAAAAAAAGAAAAAAAAGAAATAAATAAAACTAAAAATTAAAAAAAATTTTGAAGATGGAGTCTCACTATATTGCCCAGGCTGGAGTGCAGTGGCTATTCACAGATGCGATCATTTCAACTACAGCCTCAAACTCCTGGGCTCAAGGGATCTTCCTGCCTCAGCCTCCCAGGTAGCTGGGACTACAGGTGTACATCACTGCACCTGACTCAATTTGGGGAGAATTGACCTCTTTACTACATTGAGTATTCCACTCCATGACCACAGTGTATTTCTCCATTTACTTAGGTCTTTTAAAATTTTTTTCATCGGACTGGGCATGGTGGTTCACATCTATAATCCCAGCACTTTGTGGGGCTGAGGCAGGAGGGTCACCTGAGGTCAGAAGTTCGAGACCAGCCTGTCCAACATGGTGAAACCCCATCTCTACTAAAAATACAAAAATTAGCTGGGGGTGGTGGCACGTGCCTGTAACCCCAGCTACCCAGGAGGCTGAGACAGGAGAATCACTTGAACTCAGGAGGCAGATGTTGCAGTGAGCTGAGATCAAGCCACTGCACTCCAGCCTGGGCAAAGAGCAAGACTCCATCACAAAATAAATAAATAAATAAATAAATAAATTATTTCATCAACATTTTGTAATTTTCAGCTTGCAGAGCCTGTGCAAGTTTTGTTCAGCTTATGCTTAAGTGTTTCACTTTCTTTGGACCATTTGTAAATGATGCAGTGTTTTAAATTTCAGTTTCCACATGTTTGTTGTTAGTATACATAAACATGATGGATTTTTGTGTGTTGATCTTGTATCTTGTAACCTGTTTAATTCACAACCAATTATAAGAGGGTTTTGGTTTGGGGGTCAGCTTTATTTTGTAGATTATTTCGGATTTTCTTTATAGACAATCATGTCATCTGCAAAGAGAAACAGTTTTATTTCTTCCTTTCCATTTCATATGTCCTTTATTTCTTTTTCTTGTCTTATTGCAGTGGCTAGAACTTTCAGAACTAGGGTGAATAAGAGAGGGGAGAGCAGGCATCCTTACCTTTTTCCCAGTCTTAGGGAGAAAGCATTCAGTCTTTCACCATTCACTATGATGTGGGCTGTCAGGTTTTTTGTAGATGCTCTTTATCAAGTTAAGGTAGTTGCCCTCTATTCCTAACTTGCTGAGAGTTTTTATCATAAATGTGCGCTAGATTTCATCAAATGCTTTTTCTTCACCAACTGATATGATTATATGATTTTTTTCTTTAGCTTGTTGATATGGTGGACTTTTTAAATATCTAAACTCTATTGATCACTTGATATGGAAGACTTGTTTTTTTACCTTCCTTTCTTGATGGCAGACTTTTGAGTGTTGTACCAGCCTATATAATGGGAATAAGTCCTACTTGGTTACAGTATATAATTATTGTTATACTTATATTAGTAATTCTATTTTTATTTTATTTTTTTGAGACAGAGTCTCACTCTGTCACCCAAGATGGAGTGCAGTGGCACGATTACAGCTCACTGCAGCCTCGACCTCTCCAGGGTCAGGTGATCTTCCCACCTCAGCCTCCGGAGTAGCTAGGACTACAGGCATGCACTACCATCCCTGGCTCATTTTTCTATTTTTTGTAGCAATGGAGTTTCACCATGCTGCCCAGGCTGGTCTGAAACTCCTGGGTTCAAGAGATCTGCCTACCATGGCCTGCTAAAGTGCTAGGATTACAGGCATGAGCCACTGTGCTGGAGCTTATATTTATAATTCTTTTACGTTGATAGATTCAATTTGCTAATATTTTATTAAGGATTTTACATCTAAGTTCATGGGAGATATTGCTCTAGAGTTTTCCATTTTAGTACTGCCTTTGTCTGTTTTGTTGTTGTTGTTGTTGTTGTTTGTTTTGGTTTTTTTTTTAGATGGAGTCACACTCTGTTGCCGGGCTGGAGTAGAGTGGCGTGATCTCGGCTCACTGCAACCTCTGCCTCCAGGTTCAAGCGATTCTCCAGCCTCAGCCTCCCCAGTAGCTGGGATTACAGGCACCTGCCACCAAGCCCAGGTAATTTTTGTACTGTTAGTAGAGACGGGGTTTCACTATGTTGGCCAGGATTGTCTCGATCTCCTGACCTTATGATCTGCCTGCCTCGGCCTCCCAAAGTGCTGGGATTACATGCATGAGCCACCGCACCCGGCCCTTTGTCTGTTTTTGGTCTCATAAAATTGGCCGGGAACAGTGGCTCATACCTGTAATCCCAGCACTTTGGGAGGTCAAGGAGGGTGGATTGCTTGAGGTCAGGAGTTAGAGACCAACTTGGCCAACAAGTTGAAACCTTGTCTCTACTAAAACTACAAAAATTAGCTGGGTGTGGTGGCTTACACCTGTAATCCCAGCTACTTGGGAGGCTGAGGCAGGAGAATCACTTGAACCTGGGAGGTGGAGATTGCAGTGAGCCAAGTTCACACCATTGCATTCCAGCCTGGGTGACGAGAGTGAAACTCCATCCCAAATAATAATAATAATAAGACAATACTGGTGTCATAAAATCAGTTAGCAAGTGTTCCCTCCTCTATTTTCTGGAAAAGGTTGTGCAAAAGAGATGTCTGCTGTTCTATGAGTGTTTGAATGAATTATCCAGTGAAACCATCCAGGCCTGCAGATTCCTCTTTTGGGAGAATATCTATTTTATCTTGATCTCAACCTCTGTGTCCACCAGATCACAAAGGCTTTGGCCAAGTTATAGAATCTAGAACTGCAAAAGGCTTTGGAAATCATCAGGTCCCACATCCTTCACCACATATGAAGAGAGGCCTGGGCCAGGTGCAGTGGCTCATGCCTGTAATCCTAGCACTCTGGGAGGCCAAGGCAGGTGAATTGCTTGAGTCCAGGAGTTCCAGACCAGACTAGACAACATGGCAAAACCCCATCAATACAAAAAAATTACCCAGATGTGGTGGCATGTGCCTGTGTCTGTTCTCACACTGCTATAAAGACATACCCAAGACTGGGTAATTTATAAAGAAAAGAAGTTTAATTAACTCACAATTCCACAGGTCTGAGGAGGCCTCAGGAAACTTACAATCTTGGAGGAAGGGGAAGCAAACATGTCTTTCTTCACATGGCAGCAGGAAGGAGAAGAATGAGAGCCAAGTGAAGGGGGAACCTCTTATAAAACCATCAGATCTCATGAGAACTCACTAATCATGATAATGGTATGAGCAGCATGAAAGTAACCACCCCATGATCAAATTACCTCTCACTAGGTCCCTCCCACTACGATTCTAGGTGACATTTGGGTAGGGACACAGCCAAACCATATCATTCCACCCTGGCCCCTCCCAAATCTCATGTCCTCACATTTCAAAACGCAATAATGCCCTTCCAACAGTCCCCCAAGTCTTAACTCATTCCAGCATTAACTCAAAAGTCCAAGTCTAAGTCTCCTCTGAGACTAGGCAAGTTCCTTCTGCCTATGAGCCTATAAAATCAAAAGCAAGATAGTTACTTCCTAAATACAATGGGGGTATAGGCATTCGGTAAATACACCCATTCCAAATGGGAGAAATTGGCCAAAATAAAGGGGCTATAGGCCCCATACAAGTCTGACATCCAACAAGGCAAGACAGTAATCAAATCTTAAAGCTCTGAAATAATCTGCTTTGACTACGTGTCTCACATCCAGTTCATGCTGATGTAAAAGGTAGGTTCCCACAGCCTTAGGCAGCTCCACCCAGGCTGCTTTCATGGGCTGAGATTGAGTGTCTGTGGATTTTCCAGTTGCATGGGTGCAAGCTGTCAGTGGAGCTACCATTCTGGGGTCTGGAGGACAGTGGCCCTTTTCTCACAGCTCTAGTAGGTAGTGCCCAAGTGGGGACTCTATGTGGGGGCTCTGACCTCACATTTCACTTCCTCACTGCCTAGCAAAGGTTCCCCATGAGGGCTCCACCCCTGCAGCACACTTCTGCCTGGACATCCAGGTGTTTCCATACTTCCTCTGAAATCTAGGCAGAGGTTTCCCCAACAGCCAAACCATATCACCCAGCTGCTTGGGAGGCTGAGGCATGAGAATCGCTTGAGCCTGTGAGGCAGGGGTTGCAGTGAACCAAGATCACACCACTGTACTCCAGCCTGGGTGACAGAGTGAGATCCTGTCTCAAAAATAAATTAAAATAATTAAAAAAAAGAGAGACCTGGGGTTGGAAGTAGTGACTTGCCCAAGGTCACAGAGCTAATTAGCAGCAGAAGTTGGAGAAGCCTCATTTCCAGATGTTGTGCTGCTTCCTCTGCTGCTGAAGTCAATGGCAATGGATTAGGACATGGAGACTTCCCACTTTTCAGACACCCTCAGGAGGGCGCATTCATTGCCCACTTGCTCTCTTATAACAGATAAAATGCAAAAGCCTAAATAAGATTTAGGTGTGTGCAAAGCCTAAATAAGATTACCCCAAGTTCCTTTCAGCCCAAAGTTAGAACACAAAAGGGCAGAGGGCAAGAGAAGAGCTGGCCACTCAGGGCTGCAGGGGCAAAGCTTTGACAACCAAAATCTCCCAAGGAAGAAAACCTAAGGGTGGGTCAGCCTGGGGACCAGCTCCCTCTGCTGGTCGATGGGCATTTGGATAAGAAACTGGGCTAAAGGGGACCCGAGAAAGCAGGCGCTTGTCCCAACATGGTTAACAAAGAGTAGGAAGTTAGGTCTTCCAATGCATACACTCTCTGTGTTCCTTATGGCATCAGCTAGAGGCCACTTTCCAAACTGCAGGTTAGAAGGCAAAGAATGGAGTGGACGGATTACACCTCCACATCAACATGACAGGACATTCCCACAGCTGGGTCCTCACCCCTGCTTACACAGTGGGGTCCGATCTTTTGGCTTCCCTGGACCACACTGGAAGAATTGTCTTGGGCTACACATAAAATATACTAACACTGGCTAAGCGTGGTGGCTGAAACCTGTAATCCCAGCATTTTGGGAGGCAGAGGTGGGTGGGTCACTTGAGGTCAGGAGTTAGAGACCAGCCTGGCCAACAAGGCAATATCCTGTCTCTACTAAAAATACAAAAATTAGCTGAGCGTGGTGGCGCGCGCCTGTAATCCCAGCTACCCAAGAGGCTGAGGCAGAAGAATCGCTTCAACCTGGGAGGCAGAGGTTGTAGTGAGCCAAGATTGTGCCAGTGCACTCCAGTCTGGGCAACAGAGCAAGACTCCGTCTCAAAAAAAAATAGAAAATAAAAATAAACAAAAATTTTTTAAAAATACACTAACACTAATGATAGCTGATGAGCTAAAAAACATCACAAAAAAACTCACAATGTTTTAAGAAAGTTTATAAATTTGTGGTGGGCCACGTTCAAAGCTGTCCTGGGCCACATGCAGCCCACAGGCTGCAGGTTGGACAAGCTTGGCTTACAGTGTAGGCCGACAGAATGTTCTGAGATGGATATATTATGTATATATCTGCACTGTCCAGTGAGATAGCCGCTAGTCATGTGGGTATCGAACACTGGAAATATGAATAGTGCAACTAAGGAACTGAATTTTACATTTGATTTAATTATAATTAGGTTTTGTTTGTTTGCTTTGAGACAAGGTCTGGCTCTGTCACTCAGGTTGGAGTGCAGTGACATGACCTCAGCTCACTGCAACTTCCACCTCCCAGGCTCAAGTGATCCTCCCACCTCAGCCTCTAGAGTGGCTGGGACACAGGTGCATGCCACCATGCCTAGCTAATTTTTTATATTTTGTAGAGACAGGGTTTTGTCATGTTGCCCAGGCTGGTCTCAAACTCCTGAACTCAAGTGATCCACCTCCCGCAGCCTCCCAAAGTGCAGGATTACAGGCGTGAGCCACTGTGCCTGGCCTAATTTAATTACAATAAGTTTAAATATAAAAAACTGTAAGTGACTAGTGGTTACCGGATTAGAAAATGCAGGCTAGAAGAATCCCTGGAAGTGGTCATTGCACTCATAAACAAACCTAAAAAGCATATGAAAATCAAAATAAAGGCCAGGCGTGGTGGCTTAGGCCTGTAATCCCAGCACTTTGGGAGGCCAAGGTGGGCGGATCAACTGAGGTCAGGAGCTCGAGACCAGCCTGGTCAACATGGTGAAACCACGTCTCAACTAAAAATACAAAAATTAGTTGGGCATGATGTCGGGTGCCTGTAATCCCAGCTACTCAGGAGGCTGAGGAGGGAGAATCATTTGAACCTTGGAGGCAGAGGTTGCAGTGATCTGAGATCACGCCACTGCATTCCAGCCTGGGCGACAAATCAAGACTCCGTCTCAAAAAAAAAACAAACAAACAAAAAAAAAAAAACAGAATAAAAATCTATAGTAAAGAAAAAAAATCACTAAGACACAATAATTTGCTTAAAATTGAGCCAAGGTCAGGAGCAGTAGCTCATATCTGTAATCCTAACACTTAACGAGGCTGAGGCAGGAGAATCACTTGAAGCCAGGAGTTCAAGACCAGTCTGGGCAACATAGTGAGACCCCTATCTCTACAAAGAAAACAAAAAAAATTAAAAATTAGTTGGGTGTGGTGATGTGTACCTGTGGTCTTAGCTACTCAGGAGGCTGAGGTGGGAGGATTGCTTGAGCCCAGGAGTTCAAGGCTGCAGTGAGCCATGATTGTGCTACTGAAATCCAGACAGGTCGACAGAACACCCTGTCTCTAAAAAAACAAACAAATTAAGATAAAATAAAATTGAGCCAAAAGCCTTCATCCTCAAATTTGCACCAATATGACAAAATGCTCTGGTTTCATTTTATTTGGACTCTGTGTGTGATAGTGTAAACATTTATAGAGTGAATGAAAAGACAGACTGATGGACCAACTGTGAAATGAACTGGTTCTATTTAAAAGAAAAAAAGGTCCGGTATAGTGGCTCACGCCTGTAACCCCAGCACTTTATGAGGCTGAGACAGGCAGATCACCTGAGGTGAGGAGTTCAAGACCAGCCTGGCCAACATAGTGAAACCCCATCTCTACTAAAAATACAAAAATTAGCCTGGCATAGTGGCATATGCCTGTAATCCCGCTACTAGGGAGGCTGAGGCGGGAGAATTGCTTGAACCCTGGAGGCAGAGGTTGCAGTGAGCCGAGATCACGCCACTGCACTCCAGCCTGGGCGACAGAGCCAGATTCTGTCTAAAAAATATATATATATATATTCACAAATCAAACCCTACAGTCTCACCAAGAGTGCCACTAGAGGGAGCTGCGGCGCAGCGTTCACCCCATGGGAGCGCCCTGGGGCTCCCCCAGCACTTCCCACGCTCTGGGGTGGCTTTCGAGGACATTCCGGCTACCCCTTCCCATCACACCCCCATGTCTTTCTTTTTTGTTGACCCGCATGTTTTCTCATGTACATGCCAACCCAGAGGTTAGGGACAGAGGCGAGTCCATGGGCAGAACTGGTCCCCAGTGCGCTGGGACACTTAATAAATGTCACATTTTGTGTCTCCAATAAAGGAAACTGAGGGCCTGTTGGCAGAAGCCCAGCCTGGGAACCAGGAGGCGGCTGCTCAACGGCGCTGGGCATTCCCTGTGAGTCCACCACGGTTCCCAACATGACGCCTTAGGTTTTACATGGGGAAGTAGTGCTTCCTCCATTTCACTCGTGGAAAAAAAAATGGAATTTCAGAGTGATTTGTAAAGGGTGCATAGGAAGTTAGTGGACTTTGAACCCAGAACTTTTTATCCACAAAACTCATGGAATTAACACTGCACCATCGGCTTTGAGTTTTCAAATATGTCCATACTGAGAGGGTTGCTTTTTGTGAGATCCAGTGAGGCTAGAAGACTGAGTCCAGGGTTCCGTTGGAGTCCGCAGAAGGGAAAAGGAAGGCAGTTACCCTGGAGTCCTTCCCGAGGGCCGGAGGCCGGCCAGTGTCACCACTCCGAAGCGCAGTGTGGACCCGCCCCAGGCAACAGTCCTCAAGGTTCCTGTCTGTAATGGATTGAATGTTCGTGTCTTCCCCAAATTCACGTGTTGAAGCCCTAACCCCAATGTAATGGGATTGGGAGGTAGGGCCTTTGGGAGGTAAGGAGGTTTAGATGAGATCATTAGGGTGGAGCGCTCATGATGGGATTAGTGTTCTTATGAGAAAAGACACCACAGGCTCTTGCACTCTTGCAGGGCGTGCTGGGTTGTGCTCTCTCTCTCTCTCTCTTGCCCCCCCCCCCCGCGCGCTCTCTCTCTCCCGCCCCCTTTCTCCCTTTCTCTCTCTCTCTCCTTCCCCCACTAATTCTCTCTCTCTTCTCTAGTTCTCTCTCTCTCCCTTTCTCCCTCTCTCTCCCTCTCTTCTCCCATCCTCTCCCTCTCTCTCTCCCTTTCACCCTCCCTCTCTCTCCTTCTTTTCTCCCATCCTTTCTCTCTCCCCCCTCTCTCTCCCATTCTCCCTCTGTCTCTCTTTCCCTCGCCCCCTTTTTCCCTTTCTCTCTCTCTCTCCCTCTACCACTTCTCTCTCTCCCTCTCCCCTTCCTCTCTCCTTGCCTGCTTCCCTTTCTCTTTCTCTCTCTCTCCTCCTTTCCCTCTCCCTTTTTCCCTCTCCCTTTCTCCCTCTCTCCCTTTCTTTCTCTTCCTTTCCATCTCTCTCTCTCTGCCCTCTGAGTTCACAGTGAGAAGGCAGCAATCTACAAACCAAGCAGAGGGCCCTCGCCAGCAACCAAATCAGCCAGCACCTTGATCTTGGACTTCTAGACTCCAGAACTGTGAAAAATACATGTCTGTTGCCTAAGTCGCTGAGTTTATGCTATTTTGTTTGTTATAGCGGCCCAAGCAGACAAACACACTGTCCTCACCTCTCTCTTCTTTAAGATGGTTTTCCCCTTCTCCCAGTAAAACCTGCTCTCAGCTAAAGATTTCACCTATTTCACAAACTCCTCAGCTGATGTGATATACTCTGAAGTGCGGGAATCATTGGTAGAGTGGTTAAGTGTATGGGTTTTGGATTAAATACATTATGCAAATACTTAAATTTGGAGCCTGGGCAACATAATGAGACCCAGTCTCTACAAGAAGTAAAATAAATAAATAAATAAATAAACAAACAAACAAACAATGAGGCGGGTGTGGTGGTGCACACCTGTAGTTGGCTACTCCAGAGTCTGAGGTGGCAGGATCACTTGAGCCCAGGAGGTGGAGGCTGCAGGGAGCTATCATTACAACACTGCACCCCAGCCTGGGCCATAGAGCAAGACCTTGTCTCAAAAAAAAAATGGGCTTTGGGTATGGGCAGGCTATCCCCCCACCCCCGCCGACCCCAAACCTCCTCTCCCTCGTGTGTGAAATGAAGATACTAATACTTTTCTTATAAGGTCGTGGGGACATTCAGTGATTCCATCCATGTGCAACCTTGTGCAGTGCAGGCACTGGGTAAGAGCTCCATAACGTTTGTTTCCTTTCTTCCTTGTACAGTCTCGGATTCCAAGGACATGTTTACAGTTTTGCAGAAACTTTAGTGAAAAGAAAAAAGCAGCCAGGGCTGGGCGCTGTGGCTCACACCCATAATCCCAGCACTTTGGGAGGCTGAGGCAGGTGGATCACGAGGTCAGGAGTTCAAGACCAGTCTGGCCAATATGGTGAAACCCCATCTCTACTAAAAATACAATTAGCCGGGCATGGTGGCAAGTGCCTATAGTCCCAGCTACTCAGGGGGCTGAGGCAGAAGAATTGCTTGAACCGGGGAGGCAGAGGTTGCAGTAAGCTGAGATAGCGCCACTGTACTCCAGCCTGGGCAACAGAGTGAGCCTCCGTCTCAAAAAAAGAAAGAAAGAAAAAAAGCAGCCAGGCTTAGTGGCTCACACCTGTAATTCCAGCAAATTGAGAGGCCAAGGCAGGAGGATCACTTGAGCCCAGGAGTTCAAGGCCAGTCTGGGGAACACAGTGGGACCCCCATCTCTACAAAATTTAAAAAATTATCTGGGTGTGGTGGTACATGCCTGTGGTCCCAGCTTACTCTGGAGGCTGAGGTGGGAGGATGGCTTAAGCCTGGGAGGTCGAGGCTGCTGTGAGAGTGAGCCATGGTCGTGGCACTGCACTCCAGCTTGGGTGACAGGGCAAGACTCTGTTTCAAAAAAAAGAAAAAGAAAAAAGCTAAAATGGGAAAATTCTAGGCATCAACCTGTGAATGGAAGAAGTATTTGGGGTGGGGAGGAACATTTAGAGATTGTGGACCTTGAATCCTCACCCTGTGCACAACGGAATTGTGGACTTCGGTCCACAATTGGGGACTCGCCCCCAATGCAAGAAGAGTGCATCGTGATACTCCACACACACGCATCCACATGTACACACAGACACATACACACACAGACACACACACACAGAGGCACAGACACACACAGGCGCACACACACACACACACACACATTTGTTCAGGATCAGGATTTGCTTTCTGGTTCTTGTTTTGGTTTGTTTTTTTTTCGGTTTTGGTTTTTTGTTTTGTTGAGACAGAGCCTCACCATGTTGCCCAGGCTGGAGTGCAGTGGTACGATCTCAGCTCCCTGCAACCTCCGCCTCCCAGGTTCAAGCGATTCTGCCTCAGCCTCCCGAGTAGCTGGGATTACAGGTGCCCGCCATCACGCCTGGCTAATTTTTGTATTTACAGTAGAGATGAGGCTTCGCCATGTTGGTCAGGCTGGTCTCAAACTCCTGACCTCGTGATCTGCCCGCCTCGGCCTCCTAAAGTGCTGGGATTACAGACATGAGCCACTGCACCCGACCAGGATTTGCTTTCTTGACTGCTCTGCACATCCCCTCCCTGTTTGTCCTCTACTCCACTGTGCTGGAATCTTCTGTTGCCCTTTTGAGGTTTACTCTCCACTCTTTTCCACCCTGCTCTGAGCCCCAGGATGTTGACCTAAGGGACACATCAATGGGCTCCCTTGTCCTTTGTCTCCCAGCTGGATTAGGGAACTGGCGGGATATCTGAGGGCAGGAGGCAGTGAGGTATGACGGCCTATGTCCCAACTCCCTCCCTATACCCGGCCCAGGCCTGAAGGTGGTAGCCACTGTGTGGCTCCCTCACTCTCTGGATTCCAGTAATCACTTCCTTTCCCTTGCTGGGATTCTAGCCTGGCTGTTGAAGTTTCCCTTCTGTTTCCCCTATCTCCAGCCCACCCCATTGTAAATCATCCCTTAATTAAACTCTCCTTAGATGACCCAGTTTGGGTGACCCTGACTGATACATCCCTGAAGACCTCTAGGTCCACATGGCCAGTCCCCTCCTGGTCCCCCACTGTCACTGAAGACCACAGTGTCACTGTTCTTCAGCTGCAGCCAAGGGCTCTCCCTGCTATGTCAGCTCTCCTGCCGAACACACAATGTCTCTAAGCCTGAACCAGCTCAGAGGGACACACCCAAATCCACTGCAGGAGAAAAACCCCAGGCAGACCTCCCCGTGGCCACTTCCTTCACTCTCCAAAACCATGGTGTGGTTTTGTTAGGATGGCAAAACCAGGTATCCAAAGGCAAAAGTATCCAACCATGCCCAGGAAGGAAAGGAGTTGTTGCTTTGTAGAAGGGGTTGGGGTTTGAAAGATCAGCCAGGGAGAGCACGTGTGTTTTCATGAAGAATTATGGCAAGGTAGGTAATGGATGGAGAAGAAATTTGAGCTTTGGAGGGGGATACCTGATATCCCTTGGAGAATAAATATTGAAGGAGCAGGAGGGTGTCTTGTTGAGAAGATTCAAAGGAGGGGCTACAAAGTAGAAGGTCATCAATATATTGAATAAAGTGAGAAGCAGAGGGGTGGAAAGAAAGTAAATCATGAGAAAGAGCTTGGCTGAAGTAATGAGGGCTGTCCCTGAAACCTTGTGGCAGTACAGCCCAGGTAAGCTGCTGGGACTGATGGGTGTCCGGGTCAGTCCAGGTAAAAGCAAAGAGAGGCTGGGACGAGGGGTGCAGGGGAATAGTGAAAAAAGCATCTTTAAGATCAAGAATGGAATAGTGAGTTGTGGAGGAAGGTATTGAGGACAAAAGAGTGTACGGGTTGGGCACTACAGAGTGGATAGGCAAAACAATTTGGTTCATAAGGCACAGATCCTGAACTAACCTGTAAGACTTGTCCGGTTTTTGGACAGGTAAAATGGGAGTTGTAAGGAGAGTTTATAGGCTTTAGAAGCCCATGCTGTAGCAGGCGAGTGATAACAGGCTTTAGTCCCCTTAAATCCTGTTGTGGGATGGGATACTGACATTGAGCGGGGTAAGGATTATTAGGTTTTAATGGGATAGTAATGGGCATGTGATCAGTTGCCAGGGAGGGAGTAGAGGTGTCCCATACTTGTGGGTTAAGTTGGGGGGATACAAGAGGAAGACGTGAAGGAGGCTTTGAGTTGGGGAGAAGGGCAACAGTGAGATATGGCTGTAGTCCAGGAATAGTCAGGGTAGCAGATAATTTTGTTAAAACATCTCAACCTAATAGGGGAAATGGGCAGGTGGGGATAACTAAAAAGGGAGTGCATAAAAGAATGTTGCCCAAGTTGGCACCAAAGTTGGAGAGTTTTAAGAGGTTTAGAAGCCTGGCCGTCAATACCCACAACAGTTATGGAGGCAAGGGAAACAGGCCCTTGAAAAGAAGGTAATGTGGAGTGAGTAGCCTCCATATTGATTAAGAAGGGGATGGACTTACCCTCCACTGTAGGAGTTACCAAAGCATCTGTGATGGTCCAGGAGGTTTCCATGGCAATCGAGCAGCATCAGTCTTCAGCCACTAAGCTGAGAAGATCTAGAAAGGAGTCAGTCAGAGAGCCTTGGGCCAGAGTTCCAGGGGCTCTGGGAGTGGCTGCCGGGCGAGTTTGGACAGTCTGACTTCCAGTGGGGCCCCGCACAGATGGGACATGGCTTAGGAGGAATCCCAGGCTGTGGGCATTTCTTGGCCCAGTGGCCACATTTCCAGCACTTGAAGCAAGATCCTGGGAGAGGAGGTTCTGAAGGAATGCTTGACCACTGAGGTCTAGGTGTTTTGAAGTTCTTTTGTGCTGGAGATGTGGCTGGGATTTCTCTCACAGCAGAGGCAAGTAATTGCAACTCAGAAATAAGTTGCTGCTTGGCTATCTCTTTTCTATTATTGTACACCTTGAAGACAAGGTTAATTAAGTCCTCTTGTAGAGTTTGAGGGCCGGAATCTACTTTTTGGAGCTTTTCCTAATTTTGGGAGTGGATTGGGTAACAAAATATATAGAGAGAATAAGACGGCCTTCGGCCCCTCTGGGTCTAGGGCAGTCAAGTGTTAAGGGTTGTTGCCAAACGGGCCATGGACTGGGCTGGGTTTTTTTATTTGATGAAAAGGAGCCTAAACGCTAACTGATTTGGGAGAGGTCGGCTAAAGAAAGGGGAGCACTAACCTTGACTATGCCTTCAGCTCCAGCCACCTCTCTAAGAGGACATTGTTGGGCAGGTGGGGGAGGGCTAGTCATGGAATGAAACTGTAAGCTGGACCAGGTGTGAGGAGGTGAGGTGATAGAAGGATTATAGGGTAGGAGAGTGAAGGCTAAGGAAGAATTGGGACCTGGCTCGGCCTGGTGAGGAGCAGCCTGGGGAGGAGGGGAAAGGTCAGATGGGTTCATAGAAAAGGAGGATTCAAAGGACTCAGAGCTTGGAGTGGAGACTAAAGGAACAGACAGGAGAGAAAGAAGAAAGATTTGAGATGAGTCGCATTGGGAGCAGAGACTAGGGAGGGACCGATGTGTAAAAGAATGCCTGGACATCAGGCACCACAGACCATTTGCCCATTTTTTGACAAAAATTATCTAAATCTTGTAGGATAGAGAAATCAAAAATGCTGTTTTCTGGCCATTCAGAACCATTGTCAAGTTTGTATTGGGGCCAAGCGGTTTTGCAGAAGAAAATAAGATGCTTAGGTTTTAGGTCCGGCAAGAGTTGAAGAGGTTTTAAGTTTTTTAGAACACAGGCTAAGGGAGAAGAAGGAGGAATGGAGGGCAGAAGGTTGCCCGTAGTAAAAAGGTAAGTTTAGAGAAAAGAGAGGGTAGAGACACAGAGAGAGTTGGGGGGTGGTACTTGCCACCCAGGGGAGGTGGTACTTGCCACCAAGGTGAAAGATTAAGGCAGGCATCCCCGCGGTGATCAGACACCTCTGAAATGTGGGTGAATAATCAGGCAGGCATCCTCACAGTGATTAGACACCAAGGGAAGACTGTCTTCCTGAGTCCGTGACCGGCGCCAGAGTTTTGAGTTCAAGGATAAAACATGTCTCCTCTGTCTCTAACAAATAGGGAAAGGAACCAAATTAAGGAAGGGAGAGATTGAAGGGTGGAGAAATAGCAAGAGAGGTTGGAGAAGAGAATAAAAAGAGGCTGCTTACCCAATTTAAAATTGGTGAGATGTTCCTTGGGCTGGTCTGAGGACCCAAGGTTGTAGGTGGATCTCCTCACGGAGTGAGGGCAAGGACAGGGGACCGGTCTCCCTAGGGAGTCCCCCTGTCCCGGGTCTTTGGCACCAAATGTCATGCGAGTCCATGTGAAGAGAGACCACCAACAGGCTCTGTGTGAGTAACAAGGCTGTTTATTCACCTGGGTGCAAGTGGGCTGAGTCTGAGAAAGGAGTCAGCAAAGGGAGATAGGGGTGGGGTAGTTTTATAGGATTTGGGTAGATAGTGGAAAATTACAGTTAAAGATGGTTATCTCTTGTGGGCAGGGGCGGGGATCACAAGGTGCAGGGTGGGGAGGTCATGAGACTCATTGTCCAGGAGAAGGAATGTCACAAGGTCAATTGATCAGTGGGGCAGGAACAAATCACAATGGTGGAATGTCATCAGTTAAGGCAGGAACCACTTCCTTTGTGGTTCTTCAGTTGCTTCAGGCCATCTGGATGTGTAAGTGCAGGTCACAGGGCATATGATGGCTTAGCTTGGGCTCAGAGGCCTGACACAGCCCAGGCGCGGTGAGTTACACCTGTAATCCCAGCAATTTGGGAGGCCGAGGTGGGCAGATCACTTGAGGTCAGGAATTCGAGACCAACCTAACCAACAGGATGAAAGTCCGTCTCTACTAAAAATACAAAAATTAGCCTGATGTGGTGGTGGGTGTCAGGCCTCTAAGCCCAAGCTAAGCCATCATATCCCCTGTGACCTGCACAAATACATCCAGATGGCCTGAAGCAACTGAAGATCCACAAAAGAAGTGAAAATAGCCTTAACTGATGACATTTCACCATTGTGATGTTTCTGCCCCACCCTAACTCATCACTGTACTTTGTAATCTCTGCCACCCTTAAGAAGGTTCTTTGTAATTCTCCCCACCCTTGAGCATGTACTTTGTGAGATCCATCCCCTGCCCGCAAAACATTGCTCCTAACTCCACTGCCTATCCCAAAACCTATAAGAACTAATGATAATCACACCACCCTTTGCTGACTCTCTTTTCAGACTCAGCCCGCCTGCACCCAGGTGAGATAAACAGCCTTGTTGCTCACACAAAGTCCGGTGGTCTCTTCACATGGATGCACATGAGACAGTGGGCACCTGTAATCCCAGCTACTCGAGGGGCTAAAACAGGAGAATAGCTTGAACCTGGGAGGTGGAGGCTGCAGTGAACCGAGATTGCCCCACTGCACTCCTGGCTGGGCAACAGAGAAAGACTCTGTCTCCAGAAAAAAAAAGAATGGCTACTCCATAGACAGAGTGGCCCCAAGGGCTGCTGGTTGCCCATTTTTATGGTTATTTCTTGATGATATGCTAAACAAGGGGTGGGTTATTCATGCCTCCCCTTTTTAGGCCATATACAGTAACTTCCTGACATTGCCATGGCATCTGTAAACTGTCATGGCGCTGGTGGGAGTGTAGCAGTGAGGACGACCAGAGGTCACTCTCATCACCATCTTGGTTTTGGTGGGTTTTGGCCAGCTTCTTTACAGCAAGCTGTTTTATCCGCAAGGTCTTTATGACCTGTATTTTGTGCCAACCTCCTATCTCATCCTGTGACTTAGAATGCCTTAACCATCTGGGAACGCAGCCCGGTAAGTCTCAGCCTCATTTTACCCAGCCCCTATTCAAGATGGAGTTGCTGTGGTTCATACGCCTCTGACAAGACTCGCCTCCTTTTTTGTGTTTTATTTTACAAACATAGCCAGGTGCGGTGGCTCATGCCCATAATCCCAGTACTTTGGGAGCCCAAGGCTGGCCTCAAACTTGAGCCCCACTTGAACCCAGGAGCTCAAGCTCAGCCTGGGCAATATAGGGAGACTCTAATATGGTTTGGCTCTGTGTCCCCACCCAAATCTCATATTGAATTGTAATTCCTAGTGTTGGAGGTGGAGCCTGGTGGGAGAAGATTGGATCATGAGGGTGGTTTCTAATGGTTTAGCACCATTCCCCCGAGTGCTGTATCCTGATAGAGTTCTCATGAGATCTAGTTGTTTAAAAGTGTGTAGCGTCTCCCCCACCCTGCTCTCTCTTCCTCCTGCACCAGCCATGTAGGACATGCCTGCTTCCCCTTTGCCTTCCATCATGATTGTAAGTTTCCTGAGGCCTCCTCAGCCATGCTTCCTGTACAGCCTGCAGAACCATGAGCCAATTAAACCCTCTTTTCTTTTTTTTTTTTTGAGACGGAGTCTTGCACTCTTGTTGCCCAGGCTGGAGTGCAGTGGCTCAATCTCAGCTCACTGCAACCTCTGCCTCCCTGGTTCAAGCAATTCTCCTGCCTCAGCCTCCCAAGTAGCTGGGATTACAGGCACCCGCCATCACCCCCAGCTAATTTTTTTTTCGGTTTTTTAGTAGAGACGGATTTCACCATTTTGGCCAGGCTGGTCTCGAACTCCTGACGTCATGTTTCGCCCACCTTGGCCTCCCAAAGTGCTGGGTTAACAGGCATGAGCCACCATGCCCAGCCTAAACCCTCTTTTCTTTACACATTACCCAGTCTCTGGTAGTTCTTTATAGCAATGTGAGAACGAGCTAAACACAGACCCCATCTCTACCAAAAATAAAAAATTTAGCCAGGTGTGGTGGCACATGACTGTAGTCTCAGCTACTTGGGAGGCGAGGCAGGAGGATTGCTTGAGCCCAGGAGTTCGGGACCAGCCTGGGCAATATAGTGAGACCTTATCTCTTCAAAAAATAGAAAAAATTAGCCAGGCATGGTGGTGCACACCCATAGTCCCAGATATTCAGGAGGTTGATGTGGGAGGATCGCTTGAGCCTGGGAAGTCAAGGTTGCAGTGAGCTGTAATTGTGCTACTGCACTCCAGCCTGGGTGACAAAGTGAGACCCTGTATCAAAAAAAAAAAAAAAAATCAGATACACGTTGGATACACACACACACATATACTTGAGACCAAGTCTCACTCTGTCACCCAGGCTGGAGTGCAGTGGCAGGATCTTGGCTCACTGCAACCTCTACCTCCCGAGTTCAAGCAATTTCTGTGCCTCAGCCTCCCAATCAGCTGGTATTACAGGCATGCACCACCATGCCTGGTTAATATTTGTATTTTTAGTAGAGACAGGGTTTCACCATGTTGGCCAGGCTGGCCTCGAACTCCTAACCTTAGGTGATCTGCCCACCTCAGCCTCCCAAAGTGCTGGGATTACAGGTGTCAGCCACCACGCCTGGCCTGGATCCATATATTAATGTGTGGCTGGGCAGATCCAAGGGTCTGGCTTCTCTTGTTTCTGCAACTCCATAGACTTGAGGTCTCATCCTGTGCCGATATTGCATATCATCTTGTTACACCACTCCGCTGATGACCATGAAGCAAAGAAAACTGTTTACGTGCAAACGCACTGCACACAAGAGCACAGTAAAGTTATTTAATATTTGCATGCATTCCAATGTTACAGTTAATTCCTGCAACAGGTATTGATTGAGCAGGTATGCTGACCTAAAGGAAGACGACAAGGCACAAAACATAATTTTATAGAGCTTTCTTGGCCGGGCGTGGTGGTTCACACCTTTATTCCCAGCACTTTGGGAGGCCGAGGTGGGCGGATCATTTGAGGTCAGGAGTTTGAGACCAGCCTGGCCAAAATGGGGAAACCCCGTCTCTACTAAAAATACAAAAATTAGCCAAGCGTGGTGGTGAGCACCTGTATTCCAGCTACTCAGGAGGCTGAGGCAGAAGAATCACTTGAACCCAGGAGGCGGAGGTTGCAGTGAGCCGAGATCGAGCCATTGCACTCCAGCCTGGGTGACAGAGCAAGACGCTGTCTCAAAATAAAAAAAAAAAAGTTTTCTTGAGCCAAAGTGAGAACAGCTGCCCAGAAAACACTTCCAAGTTGCTTTAGGAAAGTGCTCTGTTTGGCTTTTGTTACAAGTAAGTTGTTGTTTTTGTTTTTTATTTTTATTAGACACAGGTCTCACTCTGTCACTCAGGCTGGACTGCAATGGTGGGATCATAGCTCACTGTGGTCTCCTGGACTCAAGTGATCCTCTTGGGCTTCAACCTCCCAAGCAGCTGGGATTACAGGCATGTGCCACCATGGCATGTGCTTTTTTTTTTTTAGAGATGAGATCTTGCTATGTTGCACAGACTTGTCTCGAACTCCTGAGCTCAAGCGATCCTCCTGCTTCAGTCTCCCAAAGTGCTGGCATTACAGGTGTGAGCCACTGTGCCCAGCCACAAGTAGATTTTTAAAGTCAAAAGGGAAGGAGTGAGGCTGATACAGAGTTGTTTAACAGGAATTCTTATTTGTGTACAGAAATAACATTAGTTAGTGATTGGCTGTACATTGCGGAGCTATAGGGTATGCGTTAAGGTGTCCAGCATATGGCACTCTTAGGTTAATTTTATGGTTGCTTGGTGTCAGCCGGTCTAGAGCTCACATAGCGAGTGGCTCAAAGAGGTAGTTACTCAGCTCATGGGGTGGAAGGAGGCTGTTGTTGGATTTCAATGCCTCCCTGGGCCTGATCATTTAAAGAGGCATTCCTCAAATTTAGAAAGTTTCTTTTCTTTCTTTCATTCTTTTTTTTTTTTTTTTGACAGGGTCTCATTCTGTTGCCCAGGCTGGAATGCAGTGGCACAATGACAGCCTCGACCTCCTTGCGCTCAGGTGATCCTCCTGGCTCAGCCTCCTTAGTAGCTGGGACTACAGGCATGCACCACCATACCCACGTAATTTTTTGTAGTTTTTGTAGTGGCAGGATCTTACTATATTGCCCAGGCTGGTCTTGAACTCCAGGGCTCAAGGAATCTGCCCACCTCGGCCTCCCAAAGTGCTGGGATTACAGGCATGACCCACCACGCCCAACCAAAAAGTTTCATTTATTTCTCAGGTACTATGTGCCAAGAGCTGTTCTACCCTTTGGAGATACAGAAGACAAAGTCCCTGCTCATATGGAATGGGTCTTCTATTAGAGGAGATGAAAAAATTCCTAGAGTAGTTGGTAGTCGTCCAACCTATTGCAATGGGAAGGAGATGATTCAAAGAATATTAAAGGCCAGGTGCGGTGGCTCACCCCTGTAATCCCAGCACTTTGGGAGGCCAAGGCGGGTGGATCACCTGAAGTCAGGAGTTCGAGACCAGCCTGGTCAACATGGTGAAACCCCATCTCTACTAAAAATACAAAAAATTAGCCAGGCGTGGTGGTGGGTGCCTGTAGTCCCAGCTACTCAGGAGGCTGAGACAGGAGAATCACTTGTACCCAGGAGGCAGAGGTTGCAGTAAGCTGAGATTGTGTCATTGCACTCCAGCCTGGGCAACAAGGGTGAAACTCCATCTCAAAAAAAAAAAAAAAAAAAAAGAATATTAACCCTAGGATGTGGTAAAGATTGTAGACCCTGCTCTAAGCCACTACGATTTTTATGTAAAGCTTTGAGCCCATGGAGCTGTTACAGGTAGTTAGACAGGCATGAGTGGGGCAGGAGAGGGCTCTCTCTTCTCCTACCCACTAGGAATGTCAGGTGATGGTTTGGCAATGATCACATTGCCTCTCTAGAGTGATAAATTGGCAGCCAGCAACAGGGAGAGGCCATTTCCTAATGGTCCACACCTGTGGCGCTAAAGTGTTACTCGAATGCAGACGCCAGGGAAAAGCAACTTCCTGGATATGCACATTAAGAGAAAAAAATGGTGGAGTATGACCTTCTGGGGCACTCCACCAGAAAAGGGAAGAAAGCCTCAGATGGACATGTGTATAACTTCCTAAACACACTGCGCATGCTCACTTCCAAGGGTAAGGAAGGCACTGCGCATGCAGGCAGCCCACCCCAAGGGAAGAATCATGGGAAAGGGGCCAGCCTATAAAGTCCTAGGATCGATCAAGGTTAAACACCATGCTTGTTCTTCAAGTCACCCACCTGAGTCTCTCCCAAGCATACTTTCTTTCCCGTTCTAAAGCCGCTTTAAATAAACTTCCACTCCTGCTCTGAAACTTGCCTTGGTCTCTCTTTCTACCTTATGCCCCTCAGTCGAATTCTTTCCTTTTTTTTTTATGACTTTATATCCCTTTTTTTTCAGCTTTGATTTTAAGTTCGGGGTACATGAACAGGATGTGAAGGTTTGTTACATAGGTAAGCATGTGCCATGGTGGTTTGCTACACAGGTCATCCCATCACCCCGGTACAAAGCCCAGCATCCATTAGGTATTCTTCTTGAATACCCCCTGAATTCCTTCTTCTGAGGAGTGTCTACTAAAAAATGCAAAAAATTAGCCGGGCATGGTGGCACATAATCTCAGCTACCCAGGAGGCTGAGGAATGAAGTTCGTGGTTGGTGTTCACTTATCGAGCAAAAAAATGTGGAGGTTGCAGTGAGCCAAGATCACCCCACTGCACTCCAGCCTGGGCGACAGAGCGAGACTCCATCTCAAAAAAAAAAAGAATTGTAATCCCCAATGCTGGAGGTGGAGCCTGGTGGGAGGTGACTGGATCATTGGGGTAGTTTCTCACGGTTTAACACCATTCCCCCTTGGTGCCATCATCGCAATAGGAAGTTTTCATGAGATCTGGTTGTCCAAAGGGGTATGGCACCCCCCTCTCTCTCTCTTCCTCCTGCTCCGGCCATGCAAAGTACTGGCTCACTCTTTGCTTCCACCATGATTGTAAGTTTCCTGAGGCCTCCACAGAAGCAGAAGCCATTATGCTTCCTGTATGGCCTGCAGAACCATGAGTCAATGAAACCTCTCTTCTTTATAAATTACTCAGACTCAGGTTTTTTGTTTTGTTTTGTTTCATTTTGAGATGGAGTCTCGCTCTGTTGCCCAAGCTGGAGTGCAGTGGTACAATCTCGGCTCACTGCAACCTCTACCTCCTGGGTTCAAGTGATTCTCCTGCCTCAGCCTCCCTAGAATAGCTTTGATTACAGGCACGTGACACCACACCCGGCTAATTTTTGTGTTTTAGTAGAGACGGGGCTTCGCCATGTTGGCCAGGCTGGTCTCGAGCTCCTAACCTCAAGTGATCCACCCACCTAGGCCTCCAAAAGTGCTAGGATTACAGGCATGGGCCACCACACCCGACCTTCAGGTATTTCTTTATAGCACTATGCAAGATTAGGTGGAGAAAAGGCATACACATTCATTTCAGCATGCATAGCACCAGGGAATTGTAGGAGAGTTACCCAATAAGTCAGTGGGGTACAGATGGTCATACAGCTTTTTTTATTAGGGGAAAGGGAGGTGGGGAAGTGCAGATTATTTTAGGGGGGTTCTAAAAGATGTTTAAGAAAATTCAATGGACTTGAAGAACATACTGTGAAAGGAAAATAAAAACATGAGACCCCAATTCACTATGCGAAAAGGAAAAAATTAAACCAAAAGCCGAATCATGCAAGAAGCTGCTTTGTTCCAGTCGGGCGCGGTGGCTCATGCCTGTAATGCCAGCACTTTGGGAGGCCGAGGTGGGTGGATCATGAGGTCAGGAGATCGAGACCATCCTGGCTAATACGGTGAAACCCCGTCTCTACTAAAAATACAAAAAATTAGCCGGGCGTGGTGGTGGGCACCTGTAGTCCCAGCTACTTGGGAGGCTGAGGCAGGAGAATGGCGTGAACCCAGGAGGCGGAGCTTGCAGTGAGCCAAGATGGCACCACTGCACTCCAGCCTGGGCAACAGAGGGAGCCTCTGTCTCAAAAAAAAAAAAAGAAGAAGAAGAAGCTGCTTTGTTTCTAAGCAGATAGCTACTGATAAAAGGTTAAATATCTCCACAAGTAGCTACTACTCTACGTTCACCTTATCTTACGTAAAGTGCCAGTTTACTGAGTAGGAGACAAATCCATAACTGACTATTCCCTCCCTCCTCCTTTTCTCTTGTAATGTGGATGACCACAGTCTCCCTCTTTCCCTGCCAGCCTGCTTTTCCCTTTAAATATTTTTTCTCATTTAATATATATATTTATATATGATATATATTTTATATTTATATTTTTTATATATTTTTTTTTAATTTAGAGGGAGTCTCACTCTGTCACCCAGGCTGGAGTGCAGTAGCAGATCTCCACTCACTGCAACCTCCACCTCCCAGGTTCAAGCCATTCTCCCTCCTCAGCCTCCTGAGTAGCTGGGATTATAGACATGCACCACCACGCCTGGATGACTTTTGTATTTTTAGTAGGGACAGGGTTTACACCATGTTGGCCAGGCTGGTCTCGAACTCTTGACCTCAGGTGATTCGCCCACCTCAGCCTCCCAAAGTTCTGGGATTACAAGTGTGAGCCACTGTGCCCAGCTTTAGTTTTAATTTTTTTGAGACAGGGTCTCACCTTGTTGCCCAGGCTGGAGTGTATTCGTACAATCTCGGCTCACTGCTGCTTCAGTCTCCCCCTTTCAAGCAATTCTTGTGCCTCAGCTGCCCAAATAGCTGGGATTACAGGCGTGCGCCACCACAACTGGCTAATTTTTGTATTTTTAGTAGAGACTAGGTTTCCCCATGTTGCCCAGGCTGGCCTCAAACTCCTGGGCTCAAGCAATCCTCCTGCCTCAGCCTCCTAAAGGGCTAGGATTACAGGCATGAGTCACCGAGCCTGGCCTAGATATATATTTAAAAGGTCTTCATGCATTTTTTTCTCTCCTAGGATCTTGTTTTTTGAGAAAAAATGCTTTTTTTCTTCTCAGTGGACTGAATTCTATTATCTCCATATACTTCTCTCTGTCTCTCCTTCCTCATGCCATCCTCTGCTGCCTGAGGGATCTTAAATAATTTCTAACAGCCTGGGATTCCCTGAAGAAAACAGAAAAGGGCCGGGCGCGGTGGCTCACGCTTGTAATCCCAGCACTTGGGGAGGCCAAAGTGGGCGGATCACGAGGTCAGGAGATGGAGACCATCCTGGCTAACACGGTGAAACCCCGTCTCTACTAAAAATACAAAAAAAAAATTAGCCTGGCGTGGTGGCGGGCGCCTACAGTCCCAGCTACTGGCGAGACTGAGGCGAGAGAATGGCGTGAACCCGAGAGGCGGAGCTTGCAGTGAGCCAAGATCGCGCCAATGCACTCCAGCCTGGGCAACAGAGGGAGACTCCGTCTCAAAAAAAAACAAAGAAAGAAAGAAAACAGAGAAGACGCCAGACTCCTTTTTAGGAGAAGCCCCTGTTTTTCCTTATGAAATCCCAAAGGGTAAACAGACAAGTTCCTCTCAGATCTTAATCTGCTGGCTTTTGTATTGAGTTACCTAATTTATTTTATTTTATTTTATTTTATTCTTTATCGAAATAGTTATTGCTACAGGGGCTACTCTTAAGTGTTGAAGATAAGAACGGGTGTGGTTTAAACACTTAAAACACAATGTAATAGCTTTGTAACAAAGTGCACTGTAAAAGCATTACGTGGCCTACTCTCATGATGTCTCTCTTTCTGGAGACCCAGGATTCAGTGTGGGCTCTGCCCAGAGCCCAGAAGTACAGTTAATAGAGACTAAATTTAAAATTATCTGTCTAGGCAGGGCACGGTGGCTCGTGCCATTGGGGGATCAGGAAGACCAGAGAGAGATCTTGGGGTGTATACAGGATATCTTTATTGAGTGCACTCAGATGACCCAGCGGACATAATATCTAAACGCTGGGCCCAGAACAAAGACAGCACTTGACTTTTACACACACTTCAAAAAGGGGGTGGGCTAGCTTGAAGCAGGCTTACAGTTACAGTGGCGTGAAAGCAAGGATATAGAGTCAGAACAATTAATCAAATTGTGACAGGTTCATAACTCAGGACTACACATGACCAATGCCAAGCAACCTAGATGTCTGTTATCTAGGTTTTACTCTAAAGAGCCTTGCACTGGTTTATCTCATAACCTTTACTATGGTGCCCAGACAGCTGTTGTTCGGGCCTGCTCAGGCTTCTCATGACCTTTGCTGTACTTCTTAGATAAAACAGAATACTTGAAGTTACTAGGTACAGAGAACAAGAATCTATAAACTCATACCATAAAACAAAGGAAAATTTGTTTCTCTTCTCCCTATGTTGAGGAAGTGCTGGGAGAGCCTCCAGAGCACGTTCCTTTGTGTCCTGGCTTCTTAGATAGTATTATCAAGGCTTTCCCTGGGTCTGCGCTGTGCCCATTGCTGCCTCTGGGACAAGTCAGCCTAATACAGGAAAGCTTATTTCTTTCTCCTTTTAATTTTATTTTTCTTTCTTTCTTTAATTTCCCGCCTCAATGCCTATAATCTCAACACTTTGGGAGGCCAGGGTGGGCGGATCACCTGAGTTCAGGAGTTCGAAACCAGCCTGGCCAACATGGTGAAACCCTGTCTCTACTAAAAATACAAAAATTAGCTGGGCATGTTGGCACACACCTGTAATCCCAGCTACTAGGGAGGCTGAGGCAGGAGAATCGCTTGAACCAGGGAGGTGGAGGTTGCAGTGAGCCAAGATCACACCACTTCACTCCAGCCTGGATGACAGAGTGAGACTCCGTCTCAAAAAAAAAAAAAAAAAAAAAAAAAAGGCAGTGGCTCACACCTGTAATCCCAGCACCAGCACTTTGGGAGGCCAAGGCAGGTGGATCACCAGGTCAGAAGTTCAAGACCAGCCTGGCCAACATGGTGAAACCCCATCTCTACTAAAGACACAAAAAATTAGCCAGGCGTGGTGGCACGTGCCTATAATCCTAGCTACTCGAGAGTCTGAGGCAGGAAAATCACTTGAACCCGGGAGGCAGAGGTTGCAGTGAACCGAGGTCGTGCCATTGTACTCCAGCCTGGGCGACAGGGTGAAACTCTGTCTCAAAAAAAAAAAAGTATCTAAATTATAAAATCCTGTGGTAGATTTTAACAATTATATGTTTGGCTTGGTATTCCTTTTTAATCTCCCTCTAACACACCCAGATTCTCTTTCTTTCTCCCTCTCTGTACTCTGGAAAGTAAATTTCACTATCTGATTTTAACGTGAGTTGTTCCTTTACTATGCAAATTTAGGGCTATCAAGCTGACAATTGACTAAAGTAATGAAACAGGTTATCAATGTGAACCCAAAATACCTGAAACAGGTCTCAATCAATTTAGAAAGTTTACTTTGCCAAGGTTAAGGATGTGCCTGTGAAACAGCCTCAGGGGGTCCTGTCAACCATGTGCCCGAGGTGGTTGAGGTACAGCTGGATTTTACATATTTTAGGGAGACATGAGACATCAGTCAACATGGGTAAGACATACATTGGTTTGGTCCCGAAAGGCAGGACAACTCGAAGTGGAATGAAGGAGCTTCTAAGTCATAGGCAGATAAAAGACAAAAGGTTGTATTCTTTGGTTGGTTTTTTGAGACAGAGTCTCACTCTGTCGCCCAGGCTGGAGTGCAGTAGCTCAATCTAGGTTCACTGCAACCTCCGCCTCCCAGGTTCAAGCAATTCTTCTGCATCAGCCTCCTGAGTAGCTGGGATTATAGGTGCCCACCATCATGCAGAGCTAATCTTTGTATTTTTAGTAGAGATGGGGTTTCACCATGTTGACCAGGCTGGTCTTGAACTCCTGACCTCAAGTAGTCCGCCCACCTCAGCCTCCCAAAGTGCTGGGATTACAGGCATGAGCCACCACACTCAGCCTGTTTGTTTTTTGAGATAGGGTCTCACTCTTGTCTCCCAGGCAAGTGGAGTGCAGTGGCACCATCCTCACAGCTCACTGCAGCCCCGAACTCTTAGGCTCAAGCGATCCTCAGACCTCAGCCTCCCAAGTAACTGGGACTACAGGTGTGCACCACCACACCCAGCTAATTTTTGTATTTTTTGTAGCGACGTAGTTTTGCCATGTTGCTCAGTCTGGTCTCCAACTCCTGGGCTCAAACAATCCACCCACCTAGGCCTCCAAAAATGCTGGGATTACAGGTGTAAGCCAGCATGCCCAGCCTGGTTGCATTCTTTTGAGTCCTTGACCAGTCTTTCACTGAATACACAATTTAGTCTGACTCAGTGAATCTGCGTTTTCACTTAAACATAGATCAGAGGAAGCAATCAGATATGCATTTGTCTCAAGTGAGGAGAGGGATGACTTTCTGTTCTGCACCTGGGAAGATAAGCTATCAGTTTACAATGCCAGGGTGAAAGTCAACAGAACTGTTTTAAGGTAAAGATCTTGGGGCGCACAAGCAAATTGTGAGGGAGGTATGTAGCTTTCTTTTTACTTTTGAAACAGAGTTTTGCTCCTGTTGTCCAGGCTGGAGTGCAATGGCACAATCTCAGCTCACTGCAACCTCCCCCTCCCAGGTTCCAGTATTTCTCCCGTCAAGTAGCTGGGATTACAGGCATGCACCATCACACCCGGGTAATTTTGTATTTTTAGTACAGACAGGATTTCACCATGTTGGCCAGGCTGGTCTCAAACTCCTGACCTCCGGTGATACACCCACCTTCGCCTCCCAAAGTGCTGGGATTACAGGTGTGTAAAATTTAAGTAAAATTTACTTAAATTAAACACTTTATAGAAAAGTAGAAACTTTAAGCCTAATTGCCTTTTTAAGTTCGTGTGACAAGTAAATCTTTAATAAATAACCTGGTTTTAAAAGTATTTGTAAAATAAAATTAGAAATGTCTTCAGAATTGTCAACATACATTATTGTTTAGATTTATTAGTCAAGTGGTTTTATATTATCTCTGCTAGATATTATAAATTGTCAAAATGTGGCATGAGGGTTATAAAGCTATAAATGTAGCCCAAAAGAGAATTATCATTGTTTGTGTAATTTTTAAATAAATAAGGTATTTAATGTTGGCTTAATGGAAACAGCTAAATCCTGAGTTATTGGCAAAATAAAATAAAACAAAACAAACATTTATTTAACCTTAAGTTTCTTACTTTGGTAAACATCTGAAATTCATAAGATATAAAAATGTTTCACAGGAAAATAACTTTAAATGATGACTATCACAGTTTTCATAAGCTATCTAGGTAAACTATCTTTAAAAAATTAATTAGGCTGGGAGTGGTGGCTCATGCCTGTAATCCCAGCACTTTGGGAGGCTGAAGTGGGCGGATCACCTGAGGTCAAGAGTTCGAGACCACCCTGGCCAACATGATGGAACCAGGTGTCTACTAAAAACACAAAAAAATTAGCAAGGCATGGTGGTGGGCGACTGTAATCCCAGCTACTCGGGAGGCTGAGGCAGGAGAATCACTTGAACCCGGGAAGAGGAGGTTGCAGTGAGCCAAGATCACGCCACTGCACTCCAGCCTGGGCGACAAGAGCAAAACTCCCTCAAAAAAAAAAAAATTGATTAACTAGGTAAATTTAATAAAACAAATGCTTGTAAATAAACATATAATTTAGAATCTAAAGTTATATTAAATCGGCCAGGCGCAGTAGTTCACGCCTGTAATCCCAGCACTTTGGGAGGCCAAGGCAGGTGGATCACCTGAGGTCGGGAGTTCGAGACCACCCTGGCCAACATGGTGAAACCCTGACTCTACTGAAAATACAAAAATTAGCTGGGCATGGTGGTGCATGCTTGTAATTCGAGCTACTTGAGGGGCTGAGGCAGGAGAATCACTTGAACCTGGGAAGTGGAGGTTGCAGTTTGCTGGATCGCGCCACTGCACTTCAACCTGGGCAACAGAATGAGACTGTGTAAAAAATAAAAATAAAAATAGAGAGAGCACTTATATGGCCAATAATTATTCTTGTTGCATTTATGCAAATAATCAAGCCAACTATAATAAGACTAAAACTTATTTTACAAATAAATTGATCCTACTATGATTTCATCTTTAATAAAACTGAGGAGTTGGAGAGAGAAAAATTGTTTCACAATAAACTATAGTACACCAGTTATTAGCTTCTAGCCTTGTCCAGTGCTTTTCCATTTTATTATGTCTTAAAATTTGAACTGAATCCTGAAATGTTTCCTGGCTACAAGTCTCCAAAATAATGTTTGCAACTTTTTTCTTCTTTTTCTTTTCCCCCCATTTATCCTGATTTGAAATCCCTAAAAATTAAGCTATGCTTTTCTTAAAGTGCTGTGAACTGAAGCTAGACACCTTAAATTTCAGAGGAAAATAAGAGAAACCTGTCTATATACATAAACCTTTGGTTTTTTATTTTATTTTATTTTATTGAGACGGAGTTTCCCTTTGTTGTCCAGGGTGGAATGCAGTGGCATGACCTCCACTCACTGCATCCTCCACCTCCCAGGCTAAAGCAATTCTCCCTCCTCAGCCACCTGAGTAGCTGGGACTACAGGCGTGCACTAGCACACCCGGCTAATTTTTGTGTTTTTAGTAGAGATGGGGTTTTGCCATGTTGGCGAGGCTGGTCTTGAACTCCTGGCCTCAAATGATAGAAATCCTTGGCCTCCCAAAGTGGTGGGATTACAGGCATGAGCCACTGTGCCCAGTCCATAAACCATTTTTATACCTGCCTGCTGATGCATGGACTTCAGAGTAATATGGCCTATATTGGTTTTCCAGGATTGCTCTCCCTTTTTTCTTTGTTTGCTATTTCTTCCTTTTCTTCTTCTGTTTTCCTTCTTTCTTCCTTTCCCTATTTTTAATTCGTGGGACATGATACTTCACAAACTACTGAAAATGGGCTTTTCTAACAACATGGGACCTATCTAGGAATAAACCATCCTAACCATGACAGATCAAACAAAACAAAAACCAGAGACTCCTTTTCTTCTTAAATGCTTTCTCTTGGCCTGGCTTGGTGGCTCATGTCTGTAATCTCAGCACGTTGGGAGGCCGAGGCAGGCAGATCACCTGAGGTCAGGAGTTCGAGACCAACCTGGCCAACATGGCAAAATCCTAGCCCTGCTAAAAATATAAAAATTAGCTGTGTGTGGTGGTGCACACCTGTAATCCCAGCTATTAGGGAGTCTGAGGCAGGAGAATAGCTTGAACCCGGGAGGTGGAGGTTGCAGTCAGTGGGATTGTGCCACTGCACTCCAGCCTGGGCAACAGAGCGAGATTCCATCTCAAAAAAAAAAAAAAAAAAACAGTTTTGTTTGTTTGTTTTGTTTTTAGACGTCGCTCTGTCACCCAGTCTGGATTGCAGTGGTGCAATCTCAGCTCACTGCAACCTCCGCCTCCCAGGTTCAAGCAATTCTCCTGCCTCAGCCTCCCGAGTAGCTGGGACTACAGGTGCGTGCCACCACGCCCAGCTAATTTTGTTTTGTATTTTAGTAGAGACGGGGTTTCACCATGTTGCCCAGGCTAGTCTCAAACTCCTGAGCTCAGGCAATCCACCTACCTTGGCCTCCAAAAGTGCTAGGATTACAGGCGTGAGCCACTGCGCCCGGCAAAGATTTTCAAAAGAAAAGGAGGGATAAGTGTCAAAAGAAAAGGAGGGATAAGTGTCAAAAGAAAATAAAACCTCGGGACCCCAACTCAAAATGCCAAAAGGAAAAACCCCCTTAAGCTGAACACTGAATCATACAAGAAGCTGGCTTTCCTTTTGTTCCTAAGACATCTACTGATATAAAGTTAAACAGGCCCACAAGTAGCTGTGCTATGTTCACCTTATCTTATATAAAGTGCCAGTTTACTGAGCACCAGGCAAATTTATAACTGACTGTTCCCTACCTGCTCTTTGTCTTGTAATGTGAATGACCACACCCTCCCTCTATCCCCACCCACCTGCTTTTCCCCTTTAAATACTGAAGCCTCAGAATCTTCTTTGGAGAGAGGCACAGATCACAGACTGTTTCTGTGATTCTGTGTTCTTTTCTCCTGGGCATGTCCTTAATCCTGGCAAAATAACTTCTAAATTGATAGAATCCTGCCTCAGATACTTTTTGGTTTACAATACAATGGCCTAGGACAAAGTCTGTTGGCATTGTAGAGCAGAAAATGGTTTGTGACAAAATTCTGTCCAAGTGTGTTGACAAACTTCAGTCTTTCATCCTGTGGTCAGAGTTCCATTAATGAGAACGCATGGAAGGGACCAGAGGTGATTGTTTTCTTCTTTGGCAGATGTGGACTTTAGGGAGATAAGGAAACTTCAGAGAACTACTTCATCCTGTGCTTTGGGAGAGACAGAGGATTGAGAGATAGGGGGCCCAGGAAGTCAGAAAGACCTTGAGGCTTCTTCAGTTCAGCACGTCAAAGTGCCATATTGGTTTCTGAGCTCCAACGCTGGGATACCATGAATCTATCTGGAATGGAAACAGAGCTTTCTGAAGAAAGGCTGAATTTATATCTGGGGAAGGAAATTGAGAAGAGGCACTCTTGATGAAGAGTCAAACTCTGAAAAATATCTGAAGAGATTTATTCTGAGCCAAATATGAGGGACCAGTGGCCCATGACACAATCCTCAGGAGATCTTGAGAACATGTGACCATGGTGGTTGGGCCACAACTTGGTTTTATATACTTTAGGGAGACATAAGGCATCAACGTATCCATGTAAGATGTACATTGGTTTGGTCTAGAAAGGCAGGACAACAGGAAAAATGGTGGGGGGGGCCTTCCAGGTCATAGGTGGATTCAAAGATTTTCTGATTGGCAATTGGTTGAAAGAGTTAAGTTATTGTCTAAAGATGTAGAATCAATAGAACAGAATGTCTGGGTTAAGATAAGGGATTGTGGAGACCTAGGTTCTGATGCATATCAGCCTCCAGGTAGCAGGCTTCAGATAGAATAGATTGTAAATATTTCAATTTTTTTTTTTCTTTGAGACAGAGTCTCACTCTGTCACCCAGGCTGGAGTGCAGTGGTGTGATCTTGGCTCACTGCAACCTCCACCTCCCAGGTTAAAACGATTCTCCTGCCTCAGTTTCCTGAGTAGCTGGGATTACAGGCATGTGCCACCATGCCTGACTAATTTTTGTATTTGTAGTACAGACCAGGTTTCACCATGTTGGCTGGGCTGGTCTTGAACTCCTGACCTCGTGATCTGCCCGTCTCGGCCTCCCAAAGTGCTGGGATTACATGCGTGAGCCACTGTGCCTGGCCTGTAAATGTTTCTTATCAGACTTAGAGTCTCTTCTATCAGCAATTTTAAAAGGGACGAGGGTATAATAAGGCATATCCAGCTCCCCTTTCCCTTCATAGCCTGAACTAGTTTTTCAGGTTAACTTTGGAATGCCCTTGGCCTAGAGGAGGGGTCCATTCAGATGACTGAGGGGCTTAGAATTTTATTTTTGGTTTACAAAGCCCAGAATCCCTTATTGTACAAGAAATAACAGGAGCCACGAAAGATCACTGGGGCCATGACAACAGGACAAGAAAGGATTCCCAGTGGTGAAGCAGGGAATGTCTTCAGTATCAAATAGTATTTGCATTAGACCAGGCGTGGTGACTCACAGAGGTTAGAAGTTCAAAACCAGTGTAGCCAACATGGTGAAACCTTGTCTCTACTAAAAATACAAAAATTAGCCAGGTATAGTGGCACATGCCTGTAATCCCAGCTGCTCGGGAGGCTGAGGCAGGAGAATCGCTTGAACACAGGAGGCAGAGGTTGCAGTGAGCCATGATTGTGCTGCTGCACTCCAGCCCGGGTGACAGAGAGAGATACCATTAAAAAAAAAATTTGCAATGGAGACACACACACACACACACACACACACACCCAGGACACTTCTCTCGCACTGTCTCCCAAGTCCCTTTCTAGCTTGAGCAGCTTCAGAAGTCAGCTCCACTACAGGTTTCTTTTTGCTTTTGTTTTTGCTTTTGTTTTGAAGACAGAGTCTCACTCTGTTGCCCAGGCTGGAGTGCAGTGGCACAATCATGGCTCACTGCAGCTTCCTCAGCTTCAGCAATCCTGCCACCTCAGCCTCCTGAGTAGCTGAGACTACAGGCACATGCCACCACATCTGGCTAATTTTTCTATTTTTTGTAGAGACAGGGTTTCATCATGTTGCTCAAGCTGATCGCAATATCCTGGGCTCAAGCAATCCTCCTGCCTTGGCCTCCCAAAATGCTGCAATTACAGGCATGAGCCACCACACCTGGCCTCCACTACAGTTTCCATTCAGCGAACTGGAAGCATCTCACTCTTGCAGCTCTTGCTGCTTCCTGGGACCATTCCTGGGGGCCCTCTCTTGACACGCCTGCCCCAGCTGGTCCAGATCAGCAGAGCCATGTTGAGATGAACACCGGAGGGTGCTGGTGCCTGCTCAGGGCTGTCCTTAATTTTCCATCAATATAATTTATGAACCTCACAAAGCATTTCAAACCAGAAGGATGGGGCCATTGTGCCTGTTTAGGTTACCAAGATGAATTCCACCCACTTAAAGTAACATCTGTCCCTGCCTCTCCCTGCCTGTTGGTCAAGTAGAGCAAGGTGTGATGGAACCTCTTCTCGGACCCTGCATCCCCCACCCTATCTTTCTTTCTTCCTTTTTTTTTTTTTTTTAAATATGGAGTCTTGCTCTGTTGCCCAGGCTGGAGTGCAGTGGCACAATCTCAGCTCACTGTAGCCTCCGCCTCCCAGGTTCAAGCAATTTTCCCGCTTCAGCCTCCTGAGTAGCTGGGATTACAAGTGCACCCACTACACCCAGCTATTTTTTTTGTATTTTCAGTGGAAACAGGGTTTCACTGTGTTGGTCAGGCTGGTCTCAAACTCCTGACCTCAAGTGATTCACCCACCTAGGCCTCCCAAAGTGCTGGGATTACAGGCATGTGCCGCTATTGGGCAAACCTGCCCCCAGTATTTCAACGTAGGTTCTTTCTATTTTCCCTAAGTGTCGGCCAGTCTGAGAAATAAACAGAAACAGTACAAAGAGAGGAATTTTACAGCTGGGCCTCTGGGGGTGACATCACATATTGGTAGGACCGTGATGCCCACCTGAGCCTTAAAGCCAGCAAGTTTTATTAAGGATTTCAAAAGGGGAGGGGGTGCAAGGACAGGGAGTAGGTCATAAGATCACATGCTTCAAAGGGCAAAAAGGAGAATAAAGATCACATGCTTCTGAGCAAACAGGACAAGGGCAAATTCAGAACTATTGATAAGGGTCTATGTTCAGCTGTGCACTTATTGTCTTGATAAACATCTTAAACAACAAAAAACAGGGTTCAAGAGCAGAGAACTGGTCTGACCTCAAATTTACCAGGGTGGGGTTTCCCAATCCTAGTCAGCCTGAAGGTACTGCAGGAGACCAGGGCGTATTTCAGTCCTTATCTCAACCACATAAGACAGACACTCCCAGAGCGGCCATTTATAGACCTCCCCCCAGGAATGCATTCCTTTCCCAGGGTCTTAATTATTAATATTCCTTGCTAGGAAAAGAATTTAGCAATATCTTCTTTACTTGCAAGTCCGTTTATAGGCTCTCTGCAAGAAGAAAAATATGGCTCTACTCTGCCTGACCCTGCAGGCAGTCAGACCTTATGGTTGTCTTCCCTTGTTCCCTGAAAATCGCTGCTATTCTGTTCTTTTTCAAGGTGCACTGGTTTCATATTGTTCAAACACATGTTTTACAATCAATTTGTACAGTTAACACAATAGTGGTCCTGAGGTGACGTACATTCTCAGTTTACGAAGAAAACAGGATTAAGAGATTAAAGTAAAGACAGGCATAAGAAATTATAAAAGTATTAATTTGGGAACTGATAAATGTCCATATTAAAATGAAATCTTCACAATTTGTGTTCAGAGATTGAAGTAAAGACAGATGTAAGAAATTATAAAAGTATTATTTGAGAACTGATATATGTCCATATTAAAATGAAATCTTCACAATTTATGTTCCTCTGCCACAACTCCAGATGGTCCCTCCGTTTGGGGTCCCTGACTTCCCGCAACAAGCCACTGTGCCCAGCCTCCCACCCTAACTTTCTTTACTGGTTCTAGAAAACATTCCTCAGCTCATTCCAACTTTTTTTGTTTTTTGTTTTGAGACAGCATCTCACTCTGTTGCCCAGGTCAAAGTGCAGTGGCACCAACACAGCTCACTGTAACCTTGACCTCCCAGGCTTGAGCAATCCTCCCACCTCAACCTCCCAAGTAGCTGGGACTACAGGCATATACCACACCCCACTAAGTTTTGTTGTGGTGGTGATTAATATAGGGGTCTCCCTATGTTGCCCAGGCTGGTCACAAACTCCTGGGCTTAAGCCATCCTCTCACCTTGGCCTCCCAAAGTACTAGGATTAGAGGCATGAGCCACCATGCCTGGCCCTCCTTTTCTTTGGCCTCCAGCTGTAACAGTTGTGAGCTTAAGTAATAGACTTAAATGAGCCTGGAAGAAAAGTCAGAAACAAGTTTGGCTTTTGGCAGCAGCAGCACCCAAAAGTATTATCAGTGGCCTCTCTTGGGTAAGTGCTGAGGAGAGTGAGAGTAAGTAAACACATGGCCCCTGCCCTGTGTTGATACTCTGTGACAACATGGATGTCCATATGACAGGAGCTGATACTCTGTGACATGGTGAAATACTCGGCCCTCCATATCCAAGGGCTGCTCATCTGTGGACTTAACCAAGCTTGCATAGAAAAATATTTAGAAAGGCTGGGTGTGGTGGCTTATGCCTGTAATCCCAGCATTTTGGGAGGCCGAGGCGGGTGGATCACAAGGTCAGGAGTTCAAGACCAGCCTAGCCAACATGATGAAACCCTGTCTCTACTAAAAATACAAAAATTAGCTGGGCGTAGTGGCATATGCCTGTAATCCCAGCTGCTTGGGAGGCTGAGGCAGGAGAATCACTTGAACCCAGCAGGCAGAGGTTGCAGTGAGCCGAGATTGCACCACTGCACTCCAGTCTGGGTGACAAAGTGAGACTCTGTCTCAAAAAAAAAAGAAAAAGTATTCAGAAAAAAGAATTGCATCTGTACTGAATATGTACACCATAGATGTCCAACCTTTGGCCTCCCTGGGCCACACTGGAAGAATTGTCTTAGGCCACACATAAAATACACTAATGACAACTGATGAGCTAAACAACAACAACAAAAAAGGTCCATGTACAATTTTTGTGATATCTGCCACCACAGATAAGCAAAAAAGTCCTCACATTTAAAGGGTTGGACACAGCTGATGTACTTTTTTTTCTTGTCATTATTCTCTAAACAATACGACAACTATTTAAATAGCATTTATATTGTATTAGGTATTATAAATAATCTAGGGATGATTTAAAGTATACTGGAAGATGTGCATAGGTTATATGTGTAAACCAAAAATAAAAGTCTAAGTCCCCCCACAACCATCTGAATGGACCCCTCCTCTAGGCCAAGAGCATTCCAATGTTAACCTGAAAAACTAGTTTGGGGCCATGATGGGAAAGGGGAGCCAGAAATGCCTCATTATACCTTCCTCCTTTTTGGAATTGCTGATAGAAGAGACTCTTTAAGTCTGATAAGTAACATTTACAATCTATTCTCTGTAAAGCCTGCTGCCTGGAGGCTTCATCTACATGATAAAAAACTTGGTCTCCAAAACCCCTTATCTTAACCCAAACATTCCTTTCTATTGAAAATAACTCTTTCAACCAACTGACAATCAGAAAACCTTTAAATCTGCCCATTACTTGGAAGCTCCCACTTCCAGCTGTCCCACCTTTTGGGACCAAACCAATGTACATCTTACATGTATTGATTGATGTCTCATGTCTCCCTAAAATGTATAAAACCAAGCTCTACCCCAACCACCTTGGGCACATGACCTCAGGATCTCCTGAGGATGCGTCATGAGCCATTGGTCACTCATATTTGGCTCAGAATACATCTCTTTAGATATTTTACAGAGTTTGGCTCTTTTGTTGACATATGCAAATACTACCCATTTTATATCAGGGACTTGAGGATATCCTCAAGAGGTCCTGGAGCTACTCTTCTGCAGATACCGAGGGAGGGCTATATTTGGTCTTCACCCTGTTTCCTGACACAGAGCTCCTAAAACACTTAGAATCTCCAGAGAGATAACAGCATCTTTTGTGTGCTCTTGAACTCAAGAGGTAGAGGTTGCAGTGAGCTGAGATCAAGCCACTGTACTCCAACCTGAGCAACAGAGTGAGAATGTGTCTCAAACAATAATAATAATAATTTAAAAATCACTAGATTATTTATTTATACTTAGAGATGAAGCCTCACTATGTTGCCCAGGCTGGCCTCAAACTCCTGAGCTCAAGTGATTCTCCCACCCCAGCCTCTCAAATAGCTAGGACTACAGGCGCGTACGTGCCTGTGCCTTGCTTCTTTGTAATACTCTTTATAAAATACCGGGAAACCTAAGTGTTTCCCTGAGTTTTGTGAGCCACTCTAGCAAATGAATCAAACCCAAGGCCCGGGTTGTCAGAAGCACAGATCACAGGCTGTACTTTTGACTGACATCTCAAGTGGGGGGCAGTCTTGTAGGACTGAGCCCTTAACCTGTGGGATCTTGCACTATCTCCAGGCAGATAATGTCAGAATTTGACTGAATTAGAGGACATCGAGCTGGTGTCCCTTGGAGAATCTACCTTGGCCAAATTGCTCGGTTGCTGTGTAAGGAGGAAACCTCACCCAGCTGGTGTCTGAGTGTGGAGTTGGACATGTGAGAAGAAGAAGAAGAATTTGGGTTTTTTTCCTATGTCCTTTTCTACTCAATTACAAGACTTGATATTGTCAACCTAAGGAAGAAGCTGAGGCAAAATTAATATAAGTAGGGAGTTTATTTGGGCTAAACTTGAGGACTGCAACCCAGGAGCATAGATTCATGTCCTGAATATACACTCCAATTAACAGGAATTACAAGTTTACAAGTTACAAGTTTAAGGCAATAGGTTCTGATACAAAGTGGTCTGTCAAGAAATCTCATTGGTTTACAGAAATAGTATCAATTAATCATTCTCCATACATTGATTTTTAATTTTTAATTTTATTTTATTTTTGAGATGAGGCACTCTGTCACCCAGGCTGGAGTGCAGTGGCGTGATCTTGGCTCAGTGCAACCTCTGCCACCCAGGTTCAAGCGATTCTCCTGTCTCAGCTTCCCTAGTAGCTGGGACTACAGGCGCATACCACCACACCTGGCTACTTTTTGCATTTTTAGTAGAGACGGGGTTTCACCATGTTAGCCAGACTGGTCTCAAACTCCTGACCTCAGGTGATCCGCCTGCCTCGGCCTCGCAAAGTGCTAGGATTATAGGCGTGAGCTACAACTCCCGGCCACATTTTAAAAATTTTTTTGTAGAGATGAAGGGGGAGGGTCTCTCTGTTGCCCAGGCTGGTCTCAAACTCCTGGCCTCAAGCCATCCTCTCACCTTGGCTTGCCAAAGTGTGGAAATCATAGGAGTAAGCCACTGCACCCAGCCTTGGCTATACACTGTTAAGTTATAGTGTCCACACCCTATATAGTCTTTAGTGCAGCATTATTATTAATAGGTTAATTTATGGCTACTTGTGACAATAGCAAGCAGTTTCAAGAGATGAATACATAGCTCAAAAGGGGGTAGTGGGACGTGATTGCTGTCTCATTTTAATGTCTAGGCCTGATAATTTAAAAGGATTCCCATTCCTCAGATAAAAGCTGTTTTTTCCATATGAATGAGTTCCTGCTCTAGAAAAAGGTAGAGGGGCCAGTCACAGTGGCTCATGCCTGTAATCCCAAAACTTTAAGAGGCTGAGGAGGGAGGATCACTTGAGGCCAGGAGTTTGAGACCAACCTAGGTAACATAGCAAGATCTCATTTCTACAAAAATTTTTTTTTTTTTGAGATGGAGTCTTGCTGTTGCCCAGGCTAAAGTGTAGTGGCAGGATCTTGGCTCACTGCAACCTATGCCTCCTGGGTTCAAGTGATTCTCCTGTCTCAGCCTCCTGAGTAGCTGGGATTACAGGCACACACCACCACGCCTGGCTAATTTTTGTATTTTTAGTAGAGACAGGGTTTCACCATGTTGGCCAGGTGGTCTCCTGACCTCAGGTGATCTGTCTGCCTCGGCCTCCCAAAGTGCTGGGATTACAGGCATGAGCCACCTCGCCCGGCCAAAAAATTCTTTTCTTTAATTAGCCAAGTGCAGTGGCATGCACCTGTAATCCCAGCCACTGGGGAGGCTGAGGTGGGAGGATGGCTTGAGCCCAGGAGTTGGAAGCTGCACTGAGTTATGATTGTGCCTATAATTAGCCACTGCACTCCAGCCCAGGCAACAGAGTGAAACTCTTTTTTTTTTTGAGATGGAGTCTCGCTCTGTCACCCAGGATGGGTGCAGTGGCACGATCTCAGCCCACTGCAACTTCTGCCTCCCAGTTTGAAGCGATTATCCTGCCTTAGCCTCCCGAGTAGCTGGGACTACAGGCGTCTGCCATCATGCCCGGGTAATTTTTTTTTTTCGTATTTTTAGTAGAGATGGGGTTTCACCGTGTTAGCCAGGATGGTCTCAATCTCCTGACCTCGTGATCTGCCCCCCTCGGCCTACCAAAGTGTTGGGATTACAGGCGTGAGCCACCACACCCGGCCTGAAACTCTCTCTTTTTTGAAACAAGGTCTTACTATGTTGCCCAGGCTGGTCTCTGAACTCCCGGCCTCAAGCAATCCTCTGGCCTTGTAATCCCAGCTAGGGCTGGGATTACAAGTGCACATCGCTGCAACCAGCAAGGCCTGGTCTATTTTTATCTTATATTATTTATTTATTTTTTGAGCCCTGGCTGGAGTGCAGTGGTGCAATCTTGGCTCATGGCAACCTCCACCTCTGGGGCTCAGGTCATCTTCCTACCTCATCCTTGAAAGTAGCTGGGACCACAGGTGTGAGCCACAACACTGGGCTAATTTTTAAATTTTTTTGTAGAGACAGAGTTTCACCATGTTGCCCAGGCTTGTCTCAAACTCCTGAGCCCAAGCAGTCTGCTCACCTCGGTCTCCAAATGTGCTGGTATTACAGGTGTGATCCACAGCACCTGGATGAAATTAATTTTTTTTTTTTTTTTTTTTTGAGACGGAGTCTCACTCTGTCACCCAGGCTGGAGTGCAGTGGCAGATCTCTACTCACTACAACCTCTGCCTCCCAGGTTCAAGCAATTCTCCACCTCAGCCTCCCGAGTAGCTGGGATTACAGGCACCCGCCACTGTGCCCGGTCTGTTGTTTTTGTTTGTTTGTTTGTTTGTTTTGTTTTTTTGTATTTTTAGTAGAGACAGGGTTTCACCATCTTGGCCAGGCTGGTCTTGAACTCCTGACCTCATGATCCACCCGCCTAGGCCTCCCAAAGTGGTGGGATTACAGGCGTGAGCCACTGCACCCAGCCGAAATTTATTTTTTTTTCTTTTGAGACAGAGTCTTGCTCTGACGCCAGGCTGGAGTGCAGTGGCATGATTTCAGCTCACTGCAACCTCTGCCTCCCAGGTTCAAGCAATTCTCCTGCCTCAGCCTCCCGAGTAGCTGGGACTACAGGCATGCGCCACCATGCCCAGCTAATTTTTTTTATATTTTTAGTAGAGACAGGGTTTCACCATGTTGTCCAGGATGGTCTCGATCTCTTGACCTCATGATCCGCCTGCCTCGGCCTCCCAACGTGTTGGGATTACAGGCGTGAGCCACTGCGCCTGGCCCAAAATTAATTTTTATAATGTATTTTTCTTAACCCAGTATACTCAAAATATTATCAGTTCAACATACAATCAATATAGAAACAAATTATTCAGGTATTTTACATGATTTTCTTCACACTAAGTCTTTGAAATATGGTGTGTATGTTAAACTTGTGACAGTTTGGACTGGTCACATTTGGAGTGCTCAATGTGCACCTGTAGCTGGTGGCTACTGTCTTAGCCACTGTAGGCCTAAAGTTTCCCTCAAAAGTGAGACCAAACTCAACAGGTCTCCCTATCTCAGGCCTTGCCCTCCTTGGCCCATTCTGAAACTCCACTGGCTACTAGTTATCCTTCCAAAAAACAACTCAAATCATGTCATCCCCCTGCTTAAAAGATCTCTGATATCTCCTGCCCTTCTAAGACAAAGTCCAAGCACTTTGGCATAATTTGAAAAACTCAACGACCTGACCCCAATTTCCTTTTTAAAAAATTATTATATATTTTTTTAGAGATAGGGTCTCTGTCACAAAGGGTGGAGTGCAGTGGTGTGATCACAGCTCACTGGAGCCTCAAACCCCTGGGCTCAAGCATCCTCCAGCCTCAGCTTCCTGAGTAGCTGGGATTACAGGTGCACCACCCAATTTCCCTTTTAAACTGCCCTCCCCTCTTCACCCTCTTCCCCACAATATGTGCCCATAATGCTAAGAACTTCTCAAACCCAACAAGCTTTTCCATCCTCGGTCCTTCTTGCATTTTTCTCTCTCCCCTTGAACATCCATCCATCCATCCATCCATCCATCCATCCATCCATCCATCCAAGGAGTACCTACTAAACCTCAGGTGGACGTTGGACTCAATTCAGGGGCTATCGGGAAACCTCTTCGACACTCTTACTCCTCTCCAACGCCCTTCCCCACCACCCACCTCTGCGCCCCCAGCTCTAAATTTAGCTCCCAGGACGCCGCTGGTTGGTTCACTCCTCCTCCCACACCCTCTCTAAAGGCCGGGAACGGAATTGTTAGCCCCTCCACCCCCACCCCCATCAAGGTCAAGAAATTGAAGCGGGGCGGGGGGCGGTGAGCATAACTACTCAATCCCCATTTTCTCATCTGAGGAACTAAGGCACGAAACAGGGAGTGCCGAAGGGTACACCAGGCCTGATGTCCTAATGCAGAAACCGGGCCTTCCTGCAGTGGGCCGGGTCAGCTCGGATCTCCGCGCGGTCCTGAGTCGCCGCCCCCAACCCAGCCAAGGATTAATTTAGGCGAGCTATCCCGCCCGCCATCCCCATATCCGTCCCTGCCAGCGTGGCGGGGAGGGACCCCGGACGGAGGGGCAGTCGCTGCGGGGCGGCGCCAGCGCCCGTGCGGAAGAGCCCGTGAGCAGACGGGAGTGGGTCGGGGGGCGGCGGGGGATCCCACGTGGAAGCAGCGTCCTGGAGCTGGGTGGGGCTGCGGCGCGGACTACAAATCCCAGGGGCGTGGGGCGGGAGAGGCGGAAGGGGCGTCCTGGGGCGGGGCGGCACGGGGCGAGGCGGAGCGAGGCTGGAGGCGCGGGAGGGCAGCGAGAGGTTCGCGGGTGCAGCGCACAGGAGACCATGTCCGGGGGCAGCAGCTGCAGCCAGACCCCAAGCCGGGCCATCCCCGCCACTCGCCGGGTGGTGCTCGGCGACGGCGTGCAGCTCCCGCCCGGGGACTACAGCACGACCCCCGGCGGCACGCTCTTCAGCACCACCCCGGGAGGTAGGCGCGGGCTTGGCGACGCCGCTTGCCGGCTCCTGGGCGGGCGGGAGGATCGGGAATCGCGGATTGGACCGGGTGTCCAGGCTCAAGGGCGCCGTGATTGGAAAGAACGGAAAAGGGGCATCGGAGAGACAGCGAGGGTCATGGAAGTGGCCGCCCGCTTCCCCTCTGAGTGCGTCTTCCAGACCCGAGTTACAAACTGCCCCGTTTGTTTCCTCTTTCTGTTAGGTGTCAGACAGCTGACACCTAACAAACACGCACGCCTCCAGGACAGCCACATGCCGAGCTGTGCTGCCCCTTGTGGGTGTTGGGGGCGCTCCCGAAGCGGGAGAGGGCGGAGTTAGGGTGGCCCACGATCCAGGAGAGGCCTGGCCTGGTGTTTTTATGGGATGGGTATTATCTGTTGGGATAAACGATTCCTGCAGGGCCCTTTTTCCTTCCCGAAGCACGCCGAGTTTTGTGTTGGACTCGCGCGCTCTGACTGAGGTTCGGATCTGGGGGTGCTTGCCTGCTCCAGCAGCGCCTCCCGGGCACCTGTGGCACGTTCCCCATTTACGCGAGTGGGATCTCCGCGGGGGGGACCCTGGCGCCACGGCCAGGGCTGTGCAGAAAAACACGTTCTTCTGTCCGGGGAGAGGAGGAGGCACCGTGTGACCTCCCTGGGAGAGGATGAGGAAGAGGAAGCTGAGCTGGCACGGGTGGGGGGGCCAGCCTCGGGCTGCCCTCAGGAACCTGGCATTCCCTCCCAGCCCCGGAGCCCCAGCGCACAGACGCTGATGAAACCTACGCGCCTGTTTGCATGATGAAATAAATCCTCGTGGCTCTCTCCTCCCCTCTCATTGTCGCACTGCCCCCACCCCTTTTTGCTCCTCTCCCTTCATTCTCCTCCACGCTGCTTTCCATACTACTAGAAAACGCGACAGATCCTGGCGCTTGGCTAGGTGGCGGGCGGGGGCCACATGCTTATTTTCTCAGGCAGCTGTCCCACCAGCAGCGAGCGCGGCCAGATCCGAGGTCCTCTGCTGTTTGATCCAAAACATACACTGTTAGAACGGTTAGGGATCTTGTCCAGCCCTGCCGTCTTATTCTACAGAGCCCGGCATTGAGGCCCCAGAGCTTGAACACGTGTCTGTTGCCCATTGTCACACCGTTTTCCCAGATTGGACAAGAAATAGCAACCAGGCAGAGAAGGGAGAAATGCTTCCTTTTCTATTAGAAATGAGCCAAGGAAAAGCTCGCAGGGGCTCTTGTTGCCATTCCCGACTCATCCTCTTTCCCTTGCTGGGTCTTTTGTAGTCCATGCTGTTCTCCTTTGTCTCTGTCACAATGGTCTACCAGGACAATTCCTGACAATTTTGGAGTTCTTTCAAATGAGGGTGTAAGTGTCTGCTGGATTTGTTCAGGGTGGGCCCTGAGGCCGGCCTGAAGGCGCAGGTAGCCCTTTTTTGCACTCTTTATTGCTGGATTGTTGGGTCAAATTGGAAGCCAGGATACTGTTTATAGGCACTTCTGGCCCGGGTACCAAGGTTCACACCTGTAATGCCAGCATTTTGGGGAGCCAAGGCAGGAGAATTGCTTGAGGCCAGGAGTTCAAGACCAGCCTGGGCAACATAGTGAGACTCCATCTCTACAAAGAAACAAACAAAACAACAACAAAATGTTGTCCTAGCTACTACAGAGGCTGAGGCCAGAGGATCGCTTGAGCCCAGGAGTTGGAGGCTGTAGTGAGCTATGATTGACCACTGCACTCCAGCCTGGGTGACAGAGCGAGACCCTATCTCTAAAATAAATAATAAATATAAAATATAGGAACTTCAAATCCACTTTTCACTTTGGGTTGGGAAGTGGGGAGTGGGCAGGGGGCTGACAGACCACAGCAAATCCCCTTCCCTTTGAAGGTCTTTAGCAGTAGGGGGAGTGGGGAAGGGACTTCTGCATCAGGGCATAGCATATGTTTCTGAGATCACTGGAAGAAGCTAGCAGTGCCAGGAGCCTAAAGCCAGCTCACTGTTTGGTCGTCCAGTGGAGCAGGTACAGCTCACAGTCCCTAAGCCAGGGAAACCTGGCTGACTTCCACTAAAGTCAAGCAAGCCTGGTCGGCCTCGATTAGCCAAGGTGTGGACTCTTCCTCCAAAGCCCACCTCAGCCCACCTCTGCCAGGGCAGAGAAGCCAAAATGGTCACATTGCAGCCAAAATGGTCACACCCTTTTGCTCCAGAGCAGAATACTGCCTCTCAGTCTTCCAGGTGCTTGAGGATAACTGGGGGCTTCATTTAAGTGCATATTCTGATTCTGTAGGTGGGGGTGGGAACTAGATTCAGCATTTCTTTCTTTTCTTTCTTTCTTTTTTTTTTTTTTTTTTTTGAGACAGGGTCTCACTCTATCACCCAGGCTGGAGTGCAGTGGCGCAATCTCAGCTCACAGCAACCTCCACCTCCTGGGTTCAAGCAATCCTCCCACCCCAGCCTCCCCAATAACTGGGACAACAGGCATGCACCACCCATGCCCAGCTGATTTTTGTATTTTTTGGTAGAGACGGGGGTTTCACCATGTTGACCAGGCTGGTCTCAAACTCCTGGCCTCAAGTGATCTGCCTGCCTCGGCCTTCCAGAATGCTGGGATTACAGGCGTGAGTCACCATGCCCGGCCTAGATTCAGCATTTCTAACTAGCTCTGACTGATTGGTGCACATACCACACTCTGAGTACTCAGGAATTAGTGAAACATAACTTCCCTCACCTTTCAGATCTCTGGAGTCTAGCAAAAAAAAAAAAAAGATGGCTCCATCCAGGTAAACTTTGATCTCTAAATCGTGGTGTGGAGAGCCAGGCTTTTGATAGAGTGTCTGCATGGCTGTCTGCACCTGCTTACTTATAGGGACTGTCAGCTTCTCAGGAAAAACCATTGGAGTAAGTACCCCCCAGTCACTCCTGCTGGGAATGGCCCTCAAGTGATTGTCCCTGGAGGGAAAGAAGCAGCAGTTGGGTTGCACTATCTCCATTCCTATGACTCCAGTTTGCTTTCCTTTTTTTTTTTTTTTTTTTTTGAGATGGAGTTTCGCTTTGTCGCCCAAGCTGGAGTGCAATGGTGAGATCTTGGCTCACTGCAAGCTCCGCCTCCCGGGTTCACGCCATTCTCTTGCCTCAGCCTCCCAAGTAGCTGGGACTACAGGCGCCCGCGATCAAGCCCGGCTGATTTTTTGTGTTTTTAGTAGAGACAGGGTTTCACCGTGTTAGCCAGGATGGTCTCGATCTCCTGACCTCGTGATCCGCCTGCATTGGCCTCCCAAAGTACTGGGATTACAGGCGTGAGCCACTGCACCCGGCCCTTTTTTTGTTTTTTTCCTGAGACAGGGTCTCATGGTGTCACCCAGGCTGGAGTACAGTGGCACAAACATAGCTCACTGCAGTCTCAAACTCCTGGGCTCAAGTGATCCTCCTGCCTCAGCCTTGCAAGTAGCTGGGACTATAGGCACGTGCCACCATGCCCTGCTAATTTTTTTATTTTTTTGTAGAGGCAGGGTCTCTATGTATTACCCAGGCTGGCCTCAAACTCCTGGGCTCAAGCAGTCCTCCCACCTCAGCCTCCCAAACTGCTGGGATTGTAGGCATGAGTCACCTCACCTGGCCTCCAGTTTGCTTTCCATGGTCATTAACCATTTGCACACTGAGGCTCTGCTCTGAGGTTAGCTGTCCAGAGTACTTAAGATAATTTAATTGCCGAAGGGAGTGTCATGTATGAATATTTGAGTCTGTGGAGTCTTAAAAATATCCAGCGACACCATAAACAGCTCATTAGCCAGCAGAACCTTTGAGTGGGTCAGAAAGAAACTTTCCCTCATCAATCTCCACATTCCCAGCTCCGTGTTGCATGTTTGACTCTGAAGCCTATATACAGGCTTGGATGGCAGTTGTGCCAAAGACCCGTACCTGGATAAGGTGAATCCGAGGTGAGCAGGTAGGGCTGCAGGTGTTAATGGCACCCTGTTTGGTTAAGCAAACAAGGTCTGTGCCCAGGAAGCTTACCTTGGAGCAGCTCCCAAGTCTTTGGACATGAAACAGGCAGTGCTGGGAAGAAGGGGATGTAGGCTGGGCACCAAAGCCAGAGCACAGCCCATGTCCTGAGGCCTTAGTCACATGGAGGGAAGAAATTATTAAGGATGGGTTAAAAGAGCTTGGACATTAATGCAGTGAGGGAGAAACGATGGACCCTCTTCTCACATTTACCTGAGCTTCCTTTTAAAGTGTTTGAAGGAGCTGGGTGCGGTGGCTCACTCCTGTAATCCCAGCTATTAGGAAGGCTGAGACAGGAAAATTACTTGAGGCCAGGAGTTCAAGACCAGCCTGAGCAACATAGTGAGACTCTGTCGGTATAAATTAAATAAATAAAATTTTTTAAAGTGTTGGAAGCATTCCACACTGTGTCCCTTATTAAAGATTTGGTGGGGGGTTCCTGGTGTAGAGCACTCCAAAATCCCTCCAATCCCCAGACTCCTTTTTATTATTATTATTATTTTGAGACAGAGTTTCGCTCTTGTTGCCCAGGCTGGAGTGCAGTGGTGCAATCTTGGCACACTGCAACCTACGCCTCCTGGGTTCAAGTGATTCTCCTGCCTCAGCCTCCCAAGTAGCTGGGATTACAGGCATGTGCCACCACACCCGGCTAATTTTTGTATTTTTATTAGAGACAGGGTTTCACCATGTTAGTCAGGCTGGTCTCAAACTCCTGACCTCAGGTGATCCACCCGCCTCAGCTTCCCAAAGTGCTGGGATTACAGGCATGAGCCACCACACCCGGCCTTATTATTTTATTTTATTTTATTTTATTTTTGAGGCAGTCTAACTCTGTCGCCCAGGCTAGAGTGCAGTGGCATGATTTCAGCTCACTGCAGCCTCCACCTGCCAGGTTCAGGCTGAGACAGGAGAATCCCGGGTAGCTGGGATGACAGGCACGCACCACCATGCCCAGCTAATTATTTATTTATTTATTTATTTATTATTATTTTCCTCAAGATGGAGCCTTGCTCTGTCGCCCAGGCTGGAGTGCAATGGTGCGATCTCGGCTCACTGCAACCTCCACCTCCTGGGTTCAAGCAATTCTCCTGCCTCAGCCTCCCGAATAGCTGGGTTTACAGGCGCGCTACCACGCCTGGCTAATTTTTTGTATTTTTAGTAGAGATGGGGTTTCACCACGTTGGCCAGGCTGGTCTCGAACTCCTGACCTCGTGATCCGCCCGCCTCAGCCTCCCAAAGTGCTGACATTACAGCCATGAGTCACCGCGCCCGGCCTATTTTATTTTATTTTTGAGGCAGAGTCTCATTCTGTCACCCAGGCTGGAGTGCAGTGGCACCGTCTCAGCTCACTGCAGCATCCGCCTCCTGAGTTCAAGCAATTCTCCTGCCTCGGCCTCCCGAGTAGCTGGGACCACAAACCCGGCTATTTATTTTTGTAGAGACAGGGTCATGCTTTGCTTCTGAGTCTGACCCTCTAGTTTTTTATTATTTGAAAGGAGAGGCCAGGTGCGATGGCTCACACCTGTAATCCCAGCACTTTGGGAGGCTAAGCAGATCACCTGAGGTCAGGAGTTCAAGACCAGCTTGGCCAACATGGTGAAACCCCATCTCTAATAAAAATACAAAAAAAAATTAGCCGGGCCTGGTGGCAGGCGCCTGTAATCCCAGCTACACAGGAGGCTGAGGCACGAGACTCACTCGAACGATTCTGGGTGACAAGAGTGAAACTCCGTCTCAAAGAAAAAAGAGAGAGAGTTTGATTTTTTTGCTTCCTAAAAGACCAAAAAAGTCCTTCATTGCCAAATCTGAGGAAAAAGGGTCAGCAGAGCAATACCATATTTATCCATTGACATAAAGTAGCGAGGCATTTTCTCATATAGACCTTTATTTTCATGTTCTGGAAGATGAGTTAGGAAGGCACAGCAATATTGTTTCTTCTTTTTTTTTTAATTTGAAACAGGGTCTCACTTTGTCACCCAGGCTGGAGTGCAGTTGCAGCCTCAACCTCCTGGGCTCAAGCAATCCTCCCATCTCAGCCTCCCAAGTAGCTGGGACTACAGGCATGCACCACCACAACCGGCTAATTTTTGTATTTTTTGGTAGAGATGAGGTTTCGCCATGTTGCCCAGGCTGGCCTCAAACTCCTGAGCTCAAGTAATCCACCCGCCTTGACCTCCCAAAGTTCTGGGATTAGAGGCATGCTCCACTGTGCTTGGCCTGGGAAGGCACAGCAATATTGAAAAAAAGGAACATTGCTTTCTAAGGTGAGTTTTAAAAAAAAAAAATGTTCAGTTGTGCACATAGATTCTTGCCTGTGCCAACAAACCCATGAAAAACCTGTTTCTTTCTGGTCTGACTTAGACCCATGCCTGGGGTCTCTCTCCATTATGATTCATAGCGAATGAATCACACGTTTTTGTTTACGTGTTTGTTCCCTAGGTTAGCCAGGAAATTTTTTCTGAGCAGTCTTACTCATCTTTGTATCCACATGACCTAATGCCAGGTCTAGTGTCTGGAAGGTGAAGAGTTGAAAAGAATGCTGGAATGAAAGCGTTCCCCTCAGGATAACCTAGTTTTCTTATTTTATTTATTTATTTATTTTTGAGACTGAGTCTTGCTCTGTCGCCCAGGCTGGAGTGCAGTGGCATGATCTCAGCTCACTGCAACCTCCACCTCCCTGGTTCAAGTGACTCTCCTGCCTCGCCTCCTGAGTAGCTGGGATTACAGGCACGCACCACCACACCCAGCTAATTTTTGTATTTTTAGTAGAGACGGGGTTTACCATGTTGGCCAGGATGGTCTCAATCTCCTGACCTTGTGATCCACCCGCCTCGACCTCCCAAAATGCTGGGATTACAGGCGTGAGCTACCATGCCTGGTCAGGATAACCTAGTTTTCTTACTGTCAGGCCTGAGTCTCCGCTGGCTTAATGATGACGTTTAAATTTCCTTTTCTGTCCTTTCAGTTGCAGGGTATAAGTGTTTATCTCAGAATGTCCCAGGGGCAGAAACTAACTTTCTCTGTTTTGATGATGTTGTCTGTTTTTTGTTTGTTTGTTTTTTGAGACAAAGTCTTACTCTGTTGCAGGTTGGAGTACAGTGGCACGATCATGCCTCACTGCAGTCTCAACCCCCTGAGCTCAGGTGATCCTTTTGCCTCAGCCTCTCCAGTAGCTGGGACTACAGGCACACACCACCACGCCTGGCTAATCTTTAAATTTTTAGTAGTGACAGAGTTTTGTCATGTTGCCCAGGCTGGTCTGGAACTCCTGGGCTCAAGAGATCCACCACCTCAGCCTCCCAAAACACTGGGATTACAGGCGTGAGCCACTGGACCAGCCAGAGAATAACCTTCTCTGAACCCTCCTACTTATCCTCATACAGATAGTCCCCGATTATGATGGTGTGACTACAATTTTTGACTTTACGATGGTATGAAAGTGATATGTGTTCAGTAGGAATTGTACTTTTAAAAATTGTTTTAAGACAGATTCTTGGCCGGACACGGTGGCTCATGCCTGTAATCCCAGCACTTTGGGAGGCTGAGGTGGGTGGATCACGAGGTCAAGAGATAGAGACCATCCTGGCTAACATGGTGAAACCCCGTCTCTACTAAAAGTACAAAAAATTAGCCAGGTGTGGTGGCACACACCTGTACTCCCAGCTACTCAGGAGGCTGAGGCAGAAGAATCGCTTGAACCCGGGAGACAGAGGTTGCAGTGAGCCGAGATCACGCCACTGCACTCCAGCCTGGGAGACAGAGCAAGACTCCATCTCAAAAAAAAAAAAAAAGGCAGAGTCTTGTTCTATTACCTACATTAGAGTGCATTGGCATGATATCGGCTCACTGCAACCTCCGCCTCTCAGGCTCAAGCAATCCTCCCACCTCAGTCTCTCAAGTAGCTGGGATTACAGGTGTGCGCCACCACGCCCAGCCTAGAAATTGTACATTGAATTGTGAATTTTGATCTGTTTCTGGGCCAGCGATACGAGGTACATGCTCTCGAGATGCTCAGCAGGGACAGTGAGCTGCAGCTCCCATTTAGCCCCACAAACATGAGGACAAATGGCCAGTCACAAGCTTGTCCAACCCGAGACCCTCAGGCCACATGCACTCTGGACAGCTTTGAATGAGGCCCAATACAAGTCCGTAAACTTCCTTAAAACATTATGAAATTTCTTTCTTTTTTTTTTTTTTTTAAGCTCAGCTGGAGTGCAATGGCACAATCTCGGCTCACTGCAACCTCTGCCTCCCAGGTTCAAGTGATTCTCCTGCCTCAGCCTCCTGAGTAGCTGGGATTACAGGCACGCGCAACCACACCCAGCTAATTTTGTATTTTTAGTAGAAATGGTGTTTCTCTATATTGGTCAGGCTGGTCTCGAACTCCCAAGCTCAGGTGATCCGCCCACCTCGTCCTCCCAAAGTGTTGGGATTACAGGCGTGAGCCACCACACCCAGCCAGTGTTAGTGTATTTTATGTGTAGTCCAAGACAATTCTTCTTCCAGTGTGGCCCAGGGAAGCCAGAAGATTGGACAGCCCACTATAGAGTCTATAGTGTGCTGTGTTGCCAGGTGGTTTTGTCCAACTGTAGGCTAATGTAAGTGTTCTGAGCACATTTAAGGTAGGGAAGGCTAAGCTATAATGTTCAGTAGGTTAGGTGTACTAAATACTTTTTTTTTTTTTTTTTTTTTGAGTTGGAGTGTTGCTCTATCGCCCAGGCTGGAGTGCAGTGGTGCAATCTCTGCTCACTACAGCCTCTGCCTCCCAGGTTCAAGCCATTCTCCTGCCTCAGCCTCTTGAGTAGCTGGGATTATAGGCGTGTGCCACCACACCCAGCTAATTTGTATTTTTAGTAGAGATGGGGTTTCACCATGTTGGCCAGGCTGGTCTCAAACTCCTGACCTCAAGTGATCTGCCCGCCTCAGCCTCCCAAAGTGCTGGAATTACAGGCGTGAGCCACTGCACCTGGCCCTAAATGCATTTTTGACTTAAGATATTTTCTATGTATGGTGGATTTATTGGGACATACTTCATTTTAAGTCAAGGAACATTTGTATTAAACAGTATTGCTGGTATTTCTTGTCCCAATATTACCGAACAGGGAGTGGATGTGACTTTTTTTCTTTTTTTTAAAAAGCAAAAACAAAAAACTTTTAACAGATAGGGCCTCACCTCTGTGGCCCAGGCTGGAGTGTCTATGGGCTGAAGTACAGTGGCGCGATCACCACTCACTGTAACTTTGAGCTCCTGGGCTCAAGCAATCTTCCTGCCTCAGCTTCCCGAGTAGCTGGGACCACAGGCACATGCTACCACACCTGGCTAATTTTTATTTTTTGTAGAGATGAGGTCTATGTTGCCCAGGCTGGTCTTGAACTCCTGGCCTCAGGCAATCCTCCTGCCTCAACCTCCCAAAGCATTGGGATTACAGATGTGAGCCACTGCATCTGGCAACTTTTTCTTACACTGAACAAGCCAGTATTGGGGCCGGGGTCTCAGACACTGTGACTGATGCTGTTTATTTACCTGTTTGCATCCAGCATTGCTGACAAGGCAAGAGTAAGTAACTGCTGCTCACTGACATTTGGGTATGCACAGCAAAGGGCTCCATGTAATCTGATGGTTATGCCCATGAAAGCTCATTAAGAGAGCTCAGATACTAGGCCCAGAGGATCAGGGCTTCTTAGGTGTGCAGGGACACTTGGTGAAAATGGTTGTATCAGTTAGCTATTGCTATATAACAAGCCATCCCCAAACAGTAACTAAACAGCAGCGATTTGTTATTGTTCTCCATCTTTTGGGTTCGTTGGGTTCTTTGTAGATCTTGCTGAGCTTACTCATATGGCTGCATACAGTGTACAGCTGGACTGTCCTGGGGTGGAAGCTCCAAGATGGTCTTACCCATACATCTGGGGCATTGCTGGGGACAGCTGGAAGCCTGGGAGTTCCCTCTATCCTCTTGGTCTCCCAACATTCTGATCACTCAGTAGTCTAGCTTGAGTTTTATTTACATGGTAGTTTCCAAGGCCACTTAAGGCCTAGGCTCAGAAGTCCCATAACATCACTTACCAAGTATTCTGTCGGTCAAAGCAAGTCACAGGGCCAGCCCAGATTCAGGGAGAGGGGAAATACATGCCTGTTGTTGTTGTTGTTGTTGTTGTTGTTGTTTTGAGATGGAGTCTCTCTCTGTTGCCTGAGTAGCTGGGATTACAAGCATGCACCACCATGCCCAGCTAATTTTTGTATTTTTAGTAGAGACAGGGTTTTACCATGTTGCCCATGCTGGTCTTGAACTCCTGAGCTCAAGTGATCCGCCCGCCTCGGCCTCCCAAAGTGCTGGGATTACAGGCGTGAGCCATCGCGCCTGGCCTTTTTTGTTTGCTTGTTTGTTTGACAGAATCTGGCTCTGTCGCCCAGGCCAGAGTGCAGTGGCACGATCTCAGCTCACTGCAACCTCCGCCTCCCAGGTTCAAGTGATTCTTTTGCCTCAGCCTCCCAAGTAGCTGGGATTACAGGCACCTGCCACCACGCCCGGCTAATTTTTGTATTTTTAGTAGAGGCGGGGGTCTCACCATGTTGGCCAGGCTGGTCTCGAACTTCTAACCTCAGGCGATCTGCCTGCCTTGGCCTCCCAAATCACTGGGATTACAGGCATGATCCACCACACCTGGCAGGAAATATATGCCTTTTAATGAGAGAAGCTACATGTGCAAACAGGAATGGGAGGAGTGGTAGGAGCCACATTTTCGAATAATCCTCCACAAGGGCCAGACCTCAAAGAATGGGTCTTAGAGGGAACGTGCTGCCTGTCCTGATGTGTGGCCAGCAGAGCCAGGACCAGGTGCAGAAGCCGACTGGAATCACAACCCTGTGAATCAGGGTTAAAGAACAAAGGACACCTTCCTAAAGGTACTGACTCATAGATCCCATACCCTGTTCTCACGGCCTTATGTTCACTTCCACAAAGCAAACCACACAAGGTCGGGTGCAGTAGCTCATGCCTGTAATCCCAGCACTGTGGGAAGCCAAGGCAGGTGGATTGCTTGAGGCCAGGAGTTGGAGACCAGCTTGGGCAACATAGTGAGACCCTGTCTTTACAAAAAAATTTTAAAACTAGCCAGGTGTAGCAGCATGCACCTCTAGTCCTAGTTACTTGGGAAGCTGAGGCAGGAGGATCTCTGGAGCCCAGGA